>NC_000008.11:26829799-27132829 GCF_000001405.40 Homo sapiens | reverse complement strand
TGTATATGAGTATTCAAAGTAGCCTTATGTGTAGTAGTCCAAACCTGAAAATAACCCAATTTTCCATCCACAGGTGATGGATAATCAAATTGTGCTACATTTATACAATGGAATACTATTCAACAATCAAAAGAACAAGTGATATACAACAACGTGGATGAATCTTAAAATAATCATGCTGCATGAAAGAAATCAGATGAGAAAAGAGTATAGGCAGTATGATCCCATAAATATAAAATTCTGAAAAGTGCAAAGTAATTTATAATTACAGAAAGTTTATCAGTGTTTGCAGGGGAATGGGGAGGGCTATGTAAGAGTGGCACAAGAGTTTTTTTGGGGGGGGGTGATTGATATACTCATTATTTTCATCATAGTGATGTTTTCGTGGGTATACATAAGTCAAAAAGTTTCAAATTTTATTATTTAATATGTGCAGTTTATTATATGCAAATTAAACCTCAATAAAGGTAGTATTAAAAAAGAATATTATGATCGCCTTACCCTATCACTAAATACCCTTTTATAACAGTTTTAAATAACTATTTGGTACTCATTATATGGAAGCACTGTAGTTTACTTAATAATTTATCTATAATTGAACTTTAAAATTGCTCCTAATTTCTATTGTAATAAATGGAGCTGTGGCTAAAACCCATATACATACATGTGTAGTGAATATGAAATACACTCTACAGTCTCCAGTTTGAAAAATTTTATTTTTTCATGACCATTTAAGTCTAATTGTGATTCTACATTTAGGCTGGTAAGAAATTGAGATTTTTTCTTACTTGGTTCTCCCAGAGTGAATACTTCATGTCTGGAAAATGGGAGAAGCCCACTGATTTGATTAGTTTACACCAATGTTTAACGCCACACATGGACATTTCATCTTCAATAGTAAATTTATTGTCTATGTATAAGAAAATGCATAGGAATCTATTCCTATTAAATAATAAGTAGTAAATATATATTCACATTTTTTTTTGAGACGGAGTCTCACTCTGTCGCCCAAGCTGGAATGCAGTGGTACGATCTCCGCTCACTGCAAGCTCCGCCTCCCGGGTTCACACCATTCTCCTGCCTCAGCCTCCCGAGTAGCTGGGACTACAGGCGCCTGCCACCACGCCTGGCTAATTTTTTGGATTTTTAGTAGAGATGGGGTTTCACTGTGTTAGCCAAGATGGTCTCAATCTCCTGACTTCGTGATCTGCTTGCCTTGGCCTCCTACAGTGCTGGGATTACAGGCGTGAGCCACTGTGCCCGGCTTCCATTTGCTTACTTTTCTACTGCAGCATTCATCTTTTTCTTTTTGATTTGTGAGACTCTGTATATTAACCTTTTTGAGCCAAATATTGTAAATATGTTCCAATTCTTACTTTACCTCTTAATTTTCTTTATTGCACTTTTGCTAAAGCAAGGTTTTAAATTTGTATCTATCTAAATCTTTTAATATTTTATTTACAATTTTTGCCTTTGGTTTTCTCACCCCAAGATTATGAAAATATTCATCTAAATTTTTGAATAGTTCTTTTATTGTATTTACTTAACTTTTCATAATTGATTGTTTAGTTTTTGGAAATTTATTATGGTAACTTGATGTAAAATAAGAATCCATATTTTTTAAATAACTAATGATCAAGATCAGTTTATTTAGTCGTTCATCCTTATGCTACTGACCTTAAGTCCACCTTTATCATGTACTCTATATGTTTGGGTCTATTTCTAGGATTTCTTTTCTGTTGCTTTAATTTGTTTGTCTAGTGAGAGAAAGCCATTGCTTTCATCATCATAGACTTAAAATATGTCTATACATCTGCTAGTGTAAGTTCTCTTTCATCATTCTCTTTCCCCTAAAGGTTTCTGGTTATTTTTGCTCAATATATCTACAAATTATATCTACAAATTAACTACAAATTAACAATATATCTACAAATTAACTCTAGAATCCCTTTATTAGAATTTGATTAGCATTGCATTAAATTTATACATTAATTTAAAAAGAACTCTTATCTTTTAAATACTAGATGCTCCAATGCAGAAGCATAATCTATTTCTCTCTCTCTCTCCCTTTCTCCTTCTCTCTCTATCTCTCTCCTCTTCTCCTTTTTCCTCCTCCTCCTCCTTCTTCTCCTCCTCTTCTATCTTAATACTGGTACAGTATATTTCTTGTTCAATTTACTCTTGTCTAGTTTATACATAGTATTGCCATTGTGAATAACAGTTTTTCTTTGTATTTTTTATCTCGTAAGTATTATACTGGGAAAACTTTTTGCACATTTATTTTGTAATTGCCAACTATCAAATTTTTGTTTAAGTTTTTATACCTTTTCAGTAGATTTCTTTGGAAGTTCTAGGTTAACAATATTGTTATTTGTGGTTCATAATAACTGCCTTTTCCAAAGAGTTTTTTCTCTTACATACTTGTCTCCTCATTGCAATGAGCAGAATTTCCAGAACAATGGTAGCTAGTGGAGGTCGTGATGCTCTTGTTGCTTAATGGTTTGTTTAGTTGGGGATATTTGCAGCGGCGTATTTTAGGCTGCCTTGAGTTGTCTTCTTCTGCCACCACCATTGTCTCCCACCCCTCCATCATCACCCCCGCACCATCATCTCCTGCCCCTCCATGTGTCCTGCAGCTGGAATGACTGACCCAGGCTCTACTTCTTTCTTTTTTCTTTGATCTTGTTGTTGCTGTTTTTGAGACACAGCCTCACTCTGACACCCAGGCTGGAGTGCAGTGGTCATGATGGCTCACTTGCAACCTTGACTTCCCAGGCTTAGGTGATTCTCTCGCCTCAGTTCCCTGAGTAGCTGAGACTACAGGCATGCGCCACCATCCCCGGCTAAGTTTTGTAGGGACAGGTCTCACTGTGTTGCCCAGGCTAGTCTCAAACTTCTGGGCTCAAGGGATCCTCCTGCTTCGTCCCCACAAAGTGCTGGGATTTTAGGTGTGAGCTCCTGTGCCCGGCCTCTACTTCTTAACTTCTATTCCTTGCTTCTCTCTCTATGCATTGCAGGGCCCTCATCTTCCTTTATGGAAAGGGCCTGTCTTATTAAAGAGACTTAAGGAAAGCCCAACCACAGTGCATCTTCTTTTGTAGAGTGCAGCATCACCAGCAACTCCACCCTGGGCTTGCCAAAAGAACCCAGCCCCCTAGGCACTCCTGCTCCGTGGCACCCATCTCAGCCTAGGCCTAGAAGAGTGAGATGACATGAAGGGCAAGGCTATCAGATGTCCAGTGGCTCTTGGCCATAAGAATGCTCCATTTGCCCTCTAACATGCAGCTTTCAAAAGCTAGGCTTTTTGAAGTCTAATTTACCTATCATAAAATTCACCTATTTCAGCATATAGTTCTATGAATTTTGACAAATGCATATAGTTATGGAACCACCAGCATAATTGAGATACAGAACACTGACATGCATTTTTAAAAACAAGTATTTTGATTTTTTTCTGATTTACATAATAACTGTCCTAGTGCTTTGCTTTGTCTTCATGAAGAAAAAGTCAAGTTGCAAAATTTGAACAAATATATTTTCCTCCTACCCAAATTCACATGTATACAGGATCTATAATAAGACAGTGAAAGAACAAAGATGTAGTTATCTGCCTTTCCATTGGGAAAGGCATGGCCAAGTTTATAACAGAAATGAGCCAGCAGCTACTTGAAAATTCAACAGAATGAGTTTTGGAGTTGGAAATAGAAGCAGAGTAGAAACATATGCAGCCACATCAGGCATGGAGTTACACTGCCCACATATGTGTTTCCAACCTCAAGATAAATGCCCTCAGTCACAAAGGAGCAAGTTTAGCTTTCTTCCTTACAGCTTCCTACCTGTGTCTATATTCAGTGGTCTCAGACCACCAGATGATCTGTCTTATAGCCCAGAACATGATGTAATGGGGAGAACATCTTATCTAAGCTCTCAGGCAGAAGGACTTTTATTATTAAAATACAACCCCTTTGCTTAGCAACTGTCACTATATCTCTTGGAGCACACTCTCTAAGTTCCAGTTTCAATCTAAGGTGTAGCTTATCCAAGGCCATCAGGCAGCATAATGATGATTAATAGTCACTGGAGCCTAATATATCATCTTCCTTTTCTGCCCTAAGTTTTTAGCACTCAACAGTTCAGACAATTCTATGATGACTCAAATAGTAAACCCATGATCAGTTTAGAACTGATCACGAACTGCACTGGGCCAAAATCCTAGACATCTGATATACCTGGAAGAACAACAGAAAAGCTCTCCCCACCAGGCTCTAGTATTTCAGTGGTTAACAACATGAGAATAGGTTGTTGAATCTCTCTTTTGACTCATTTCCACATCTGGAATATGCAATGATGAAAATACTACCTACAATCAAAGACTTGTTGCATAGAATAAAAAGATAATATGTGAGATAGTGAAAAATGGTGCTGGCAGTCAGGCTGTGATGGTCCTAACAGAATGTAAACATACTCCCGGAAGACAAGCAAAGCTCAGAAAAAGCCATTCCAGGATCATGAGTAAACAAGCCAGACATAAGGCCACTCTACAACCACAAAATGACTAAACAGCCCCCTCTTCCAACTTACGCATTGGTTACTGCTTGTTTACTTGTTTGCTTCTTAAAGTAAAAATCTTCATTGCTATTTGAGCTGAAAACGTCATAGAAAGTATTTATTCTTGCCTTGAACCATAGCTTCATAATGCACCATGCAAATGTGTGTTACTGCTCCTTATCAATGCCAACTTGTTCTCATCCTCCTGCCTCCAGATAAATATTATGATGACCCATCACCAAATTGTTTTTACTTCTAGACAAAATCCAATCCAGAACTGGCCCCCACTGCCTTAAACTCTCATTAGAATCACCTAGAATGCACTGAAATCTACAAGAAGCCCCCACCCACTCTCTCTTACTGAGATGTCTAACGTGTCCTATGGGGTGCATTTCCCCTTGTGGAAGAAAGCTAAACTAACTTACCTTTTCTGTAGTGAGCAAAGTGTGTTATTTGTGCAGTGCCTTTTTGGCTACTCAGAATCTGTTTTATTTCTAATAACACATCTAATTTGGCAGACTCTTATTGTCAGCCAGCCAGCCCCTCTATCTCATTAGGCTTTCTCAATCCCCAGATAGAGCTATTTGGGGAATTTCCATAGTAAGCCAAAGAGACTTCTGGTTCTAAATGGTGCCTGGCTAACAGCCTCAAATCAACCTTTCCAAACCCCTTGCTGAGATGTCCACAAAGCCAAAGGAAAGCCAGTTACAAACGAAGACTGACAACTCAATGCCAGAATCTTGGAAGAAGTGACAATAATTATAAAGCAGATGGAGCCGGGCTGAGAATAACCCACCATGCTTTTACTAACGGCACACTCAGGCTTGGCTCGCAAATTAGATACCATCTGCAAAAACAGAGATGAAGATGGTTCGCACCTCCTGAACAAATGTTCTCTGGCTCATGAACCCAGGCTCAGAGGGACTATAAAATAGGCAGACAGGTGTTCTCTATCCCATGTAGGCTTCTCTGGAAATTACCCGAGTTTCATGGTCCTGTTCTCATCTCCACCTGTCTGCAACCCACCACCTTTCTAAATTCAGGCAGAGATGGAAAATTCCAAAAAACACTAGAGAAGACAAGGGAGGGGGTGAGAAGATGGTGAAGGAGGTGAGAGACTAGGGATGTTGTACCCAGGGAATAAGTGAGGAACCAGAAAGGGTCTTAGCAACAGTGCATTCTGGGGGTTGTAGTTTACATGCATTACATTTGCTGTATACAAGAACGTCCATGGAGGCACAGGCAGAGAATAGTAGAACTTTTATTTCTATTTAGTTTTTGTTTAAAAATTTTAAAAGAAATTAAGTTAGTTGATAACAATAAATCCATATTGTTTCACTAACTGATGTATCATGTGTAATGAACAAGATTAACAATGGGGAAAGTAAGTGAGGGATATATGAGAACTCTCCTCTGTCTTCTCAATTTTTCCATAAATATAAAACTGTTCTGAAGATAAAAATCTGTCAAAATACTTGAAAATAAAGAAACTAAGATTTATTAATATTTAATGTGCAATAATACTTGCACCCCAATTTATGCTATATGTCAGATGATCATTGTCACTTCCCATAAATGAGGGAGAAGTAGAAATTCAACAACATGGAGGATTGACAGAGGCACCTTCACTAGGTCACTTATTTCTAGCATTTGGCAATGTTTTGTGGTTTATGCATGCTTAATTAAATATGTGAATTGCAACATCTGGTTTTATGTAAGCTAATATTCCCAAAATGATAAATGAGTTGAAAAGACTCCTGCAAAGAAAACATGGGTTACGTGTAACACTAGTAATGTTAGCATAAATAACAAGAAAATGGCAGAAGTGACTCCTCGTTTGGCTCACATAAGTAAAAACAGTGCTTCAAGAAAACCATTCAAAATATTATTAATGATAAATTTTGTCCATTATTACCTAAAACATTATGAATCATAAAACTTTTCCTATGTGTTTATTATACCTTTCATATAAGCTAATTAAATATAAAACTACCATCATTAGCAAGACATTTAAAAACTTTGTCTTAACCAAGACATAAAGACAAACTTCTACATCTTTCTCGGTGATGTTTAAAGTCCTGCCTTATGCAATGTGGAACATCATTAAAGTGTACTAAGCATATTCATACATATTTGGCATCTGCTTTTGAGGTTTCTGACTTAATAAACACAGTCTTATGTCATACAAATGGCCAACAGAAATATTAAAAAATGCTCAACATCACTAATCATCAGAAAAATGCAAATCAAAATCACAATGAGACATCTCACCCCAGTAAAAATGGCTATTATCAAAAAGACAAAAAAATAACAAATGCTGACAAAGATGCAGAGAAAAGAAAACTCTTACCCACTGTTGGTGGGAATATAAATTAGTACAGCCATTATTAAAAACAGTATGGAGGTTTCTCAAAAAACTAAAATTAGAATTACCATATGATCCCGCAATTCCAATGCTGGCTATTTTTCCAAAGGAAAGAAAAGTATATCAAAGGGATACCTGCACCCCCCCGCCATGTTTACTGCAGCACTATTCACAATAGCCAAGATATGGAATTAACCTACATGTCCATCAGTGGATGAATGGATAAGGAAAATGTGGTACATATACACAATGGAATATATTCAGCCATAAAAAAGAATGAAATCCCGTCATTTGTGGCAACATGGATGGAACTGGAGGTCATTATGTTAAGTGAAATAAGCAAGGCACAGAAAGACAAATAGCACATGTTCTCACTCAAATGTGTGAGCTAATACAATTTACCTTATGAAGGTAGAGAGTAGAATGGTGGTTACCAGAGCCTGGGAAGGGTGAAAAAGAGGAGATAAAGAAAAGCTAATGGATATTAAACACACAGTTAGATAGGAGGAATGAGTTCTAATGTTCAATAGTACAGTAGGGTGACTATAGTTAACAATAATTTATTTCAAAATAGCCAGAAGAAAAGATATGAAATGTTCAAAAAGAAACGATAAATGCTTGAAGTGATGGCTATTCTGATTATCCTGATTTGATCATTGTACATTACACATTGTATACACATGTATCAAAATATCACATATACCCCATAAATATGTACATATTATGTATCAATAAAAAAGAAAAAGAAATATAGAAAAGCTAAATTTAAGCATACTTGATATGGCTTGGCTGTGTCCCCACCCAAATCTCATCTTGAATTGTAGTTCCCATAATCCCCATATGTTGTGGAGGGACCCGGTGGGAGGTAATTTAATCATGGAGGAGGTTATCTTCATGCTGTTTTCAGGATAGTGAGTGAGTTCTTATGAGATCTGATGGGTTTGTAAGGGGCATTTTCCTCTTTTGCTCAGCACTTCTCCTTGCTGCTGCCATGTGAAGAAGGACATGTTTACTTCCCCTTCTGCCATGATTGTAAGTTCCCTGAGGCCTTCCCAGCCATGCTGAATTGTGAGTTAATTAAACCTCTTTCCTTTATAAATTACCCAATCTCAGGTATGTATTTATCAGCAGCATGATAACAGACTAATACTTCTTTTTTAAAAAAGTCTTATGCCATTGAGGAGACAGTAAGCCACCGTTTTTCCTGCTATAATAAAAATAACTGAACTATTAGTTGGTAACTAAGTGACAAACTAAAGTGTGTTTATTGGACAGGAGATACTGGTGTAAATATACCAGTATTACCAAGTATTTGAAGAAATGTATCAGGATTAAGTACACATTTTAGAAAGCTTGCTATGTTATTTTGTCATAAATTGTAGAATCTTCTAGATTCTGTTTTCGTAATGAAATGCAGAAAGAAATATTTCTTGCTGTACTTCACTGAAGCAGGATATTCTGATGATGGCATATTTTTAGGATTAAATTTTTAAATAAATGTAATGTTTGATGGGGAAATTATGCAAGTGTTACCATTGATGGAATGACTTCTGCAACTGTGGTAAAGAAATAATTCTGGTGGAAGCTTACAAAGCTGGCATCTCCTTGCAAATTTATTCACTGTGTCACTTATAAGCAAGCTCTTGAGGCAAAGAAATAGTTACTAAACATGTGCAAAGGGCTGTAGCAGTTCTTCAATTCCATTTAATTTACATGTACATTTATAAAAACATGATTTTCAAAACAGAATGCTTTTAATGAGATGGGTTGTGACGGTGCGGATCTTTGGCATCACACAGTTGGTCATCATTAATGGCAAAGTACCCAAAGAATTCCATGTAAAAATGAGACATTCATTTTTCTCTTCTGAAGTACTTGTGTTGATCTTTTCTGTTTTCTACCTAGCAGATCTTTTTGAGGAAATGAATAATCTGTCCCTTAGGGGCAAAGTTGATATTTGAAACATATGGAATATAACTGTTCTCTGAAAGAACCATGTGGTGGAGAGTGCATTTTTAAACATTTTAAATTGTAAAAAACATAACAAAGCTTACCATCTTAATCATTTTTAAGTGCACAGCTCAGTAATGTGAAGTATACTCACATTGTCATGAAATAGATCTTTGAATACAGGTATTTAACAGTTACCTCTGGGTAGGAGGATTTCTTTTTGTTCTATTTTGGCATTTTTCAGGGTTTTTTTCCCCCAATTACTATGTATTGCCTTATAATATCACAAAATCAAATTATTTTTAAAAATGTATTTGGCAAATAATTGGCACTCTACAAAAGGGAGATCTTCCAAAAAAAAAAAAAAAAAAAAAAGGCTGGGCACGGTGGCTCACACCTGTAATCCCAGCACTTTGGGAGGCCGAGGTGGTCGGATCATGAGGTCAGGAGGTCGAGACCATCCTGGCTAACATGTTCTCTACTAAAAATACAAAAAAAATTAGCCGGACACGGTGGCGGGCTCCTGTAATCCCAGCTACTCAGGAGGCTGAGGCAGGAAAATCGCGTGAACCCAGAGGGCAGAGCTTGCAGTGAGCCGAGATCGCGCCACTGCACTCCAGCCTGGGCGACAGAGCCAGACTGTGTCTCAAAAACAAAACAAAACAAAACAAAACAAAACAAAAAAACACACAAAAAAAACAATAAAACCCGCAAACCAAAGCTCTCCTCTGGTAACTGGAATAAATAAAGCCACAGCAAGCGATGTCCACGAGAGAGCTCAGTACTTTTGCTGGGGTTGGTTGTAAGTGAACTAGAATCTTTCAGTGGTTGTTTCTTCCTCGGTTATACTGGTTATATTCTCAGTTTTACTCGGTTATATTCCCCAGTGTGTGAGACAACGAATTTGAAGTCGTTTTTCAGTCATGGGATCTGAGGCTGGACTCCCCTGACTCTTCTGAGACCTTTAGTTGATGAGCATTCGGAGGGCAACTGGAACCCTAGGAAGCAGGCAGTCCCCAAAGACCACGGCAGTCTCAAGGTCAGCGTGAAGTTCTGTCAGATGAAACTAGGATGTTGCTGGCCTAAGATGTGAAACTTTCAGAAGAGTTTGGTAATGCATCGAGCTGCCAGCTTCTCCCATCCAGAGGACGCACAGCGGGGAACTGGAAGAGGCGCAGCCCGGGCTAGCAAGCAGCGGGAGAGGACCACCCGACACCGTCACCATGCCTGCATGCGCTCCCAACCAGGGGCGGAGTGGTCCTGCGGAGTCGTGAGTCCTGGCAAGACTCACGTCCCCTCAGGAGGGGACATTTCCTACCAGTCCTTCCCTGGAGTTTGAGTCAAATTAGAATGCAGGAAATACTGAATTTCCCAAGCCATCCCATTTTACCAACAATTTCTTTTTCACTTTTCCATCGGAAAGAGTTGATGACCAGTCTCTTCAAAAGGAGAGAACATTGGTGCTGTGAGTTTAATCTCGCGGCTATCACTTATTAGCCACTCTTGGCCTCAATATCCTCATGTATAACATACATCATAATAAACTATGTAATACATAGTTATATGTATTATTAAATCGTATTAATCATTAAATATCTGTATTTAGAGATCTGTTCCACAACAATGTGAATATACTTAACGCTACTGAACACTTAAAAATGGTTAAGATGGTAAATATTATAATCATATAAAACACATAATAATAATAAGCCTGCTTCTAAAACTGATGTGAATAGAAATAAGAAGACATAAAGCTGATAACACACTCTCTGACCTATAGTAAGTACTTAATGCAGATTTATTATTATTGGGTTTTTTTTGTTGTTGTGTTTTTTTTTTTTTTTTTTTTGCTTTTTGCTTTAAGAGACATGGTCTTGCTCTGTCACCCAGGCTAAAGTGCAGTGGTACAATCGTAGCTCACTGCAGCACAGAACACCTGGGCTCAAGTGTTGCTCCCATCTCAGCCTCCAGAATAGCTAGGACTACAGGTGCAGGCCACTACACCTTGCTAAGTTTTTATTTTATTTTCATAGGGACAGGGGTCTCGCTATGTTGCCAAGGCTGGTCTCTAACTCCTGGCCTCAAGTGAGCCTCTCACCTTGGCCTCCATAAGTTCTGGGATTACAGGCATGAATCACCATGCCTGCCCTGCTATTATTGTTTTTATTAGTATTTGTTATCATTATCATCTCTTCCTCCCTAGTCCCTGGTTCTTCCAACCTAGCAGGGATTTACCCTTGGACTGATGCCTCCCTCTTGGAGTGCGCCCTTCTCTCCTGGGAAGATATATGTGATCTGAATCCCAGTTCTGCATTTGGGAACACCACTAGAAGTGTTAATTCTAGTGGTGGCTAAAACTGTTTGTGATGGTCAATTTTATGTGTCCATTTAACTGGGCCATGGTGTTCGCAGATATCTGGTTAAACATGATCTCTTGATGTGTCTTTGAGGGTGTTTCCAGAATAAGTGAGCATCTGAATTGGTGGGCTGAGTAAGGTAGATTGCCTTCCCTACCCTGACGACCATGTGGGTGAGCACCATTCAATCCATTGAGGGCCTGAAAAAACAAAGAGTTGGGAGAAGTTTGAATTCTCTCTCTGCCTGACTGCTTGAGTGGGGCATCCATCTTCTCCTGCCTTCCAACTAGCACTTACACCATTGGCTCTCCAGGTTGTCAGGCCTTCAGAGTTGGACTAGAACTCACACCTTCGGTTCTTCTATTTCCAGACCTTTGGACTCAGACTGGAACTATACCATTGACTTTCCTGGGTTTTCAGCTTACAGATGGCAGAACGCAGGACTTCTCAGCCTCCATAATCATATGAACCATTTCCTTATAATAAATGTCTATATCTATGACTTTATCTATACCCTATTTGTTCTGTCTTTCTGGAGAACCTTGTCTAATAAGCTGTTGTTAAGCTTAGAGACACCACCACAATCATTAGCCCAGTACAGGTTGGGGCAGGTATGAAGAGATCATGATACTTACTCAATCACCTTATCCACATATGGCTCCATTTTTGGAATTTATTTGATTGTAAATAACAGACAGTAACAATGCCTTCATGCAAAGAGATGCCTCTGAGAATTCCATGACCATACACGGGGCATCCTGAGAGGGCAGAAAGATGATAATGCACCCTGCTGAGTGCAGGTAGACAGCTGTTTGTGGATGGGTGGTTCTCTGGGCCATGAGAGTGGAGTGGAGGAGTGGGGAGTGCAGGTGCTATTATTGATTCCTCTTCTTTGTGCTTTCCAACACAAAACAAACCTTCTGCATCCCTTACTTAGACTGTCCTTGACCTGGGGGTCCCCAGGCTGGGTAGGGAGAGGAGGTATAATGGCTTTCCTTTTACTCTTTTCCTCAACCCCAAATGTATAGCTCTCATTTATTTTATTTGTTCTTCTCTTTGGTCTGTAATGACAGGACTACAGTGATGTCTGGTATCTTAAAAAATCATTTGATTCATTTCCTGCTATTAGGAAACCATAAGTTCCTGCTTTTCAAATTAAACAAAAATTTAAATTAAATAAAAATTAACTTTTAAACACTTGCAATCTTTTTTACTGATGTGGACAATTTCATCATCAGTAACTTGGAAAACCAAATACAAAGTAAGCCATGGATGTCTGATAATCCACAGTAACTGGATCCCTCCTGTGGCAACACTGTGATGTGACATTTTTTGCACTCCAGAATACCTAGATATAATCAGACTCAGGGATTTTTCTCTCTTTTTACTTGTGTACTATGAAGAACTCTATGCCTCAGTTCTGATTGCAGAGAAAAAGCTGCTGATCATCAGACATGGCATCATAGAGATATTTTCCATTTGGGGATCTTTGTCTCAGTTACAGTGGGCAGTGGCCTTAGGAAACTAGGGGGTGCCATGATGGGTGCTTTGGAAAGGGCTTGCTGGTGATGAGTCAGGACTACAGCTTCTGAGTTAGAAAATCTGGGTTTGAATCTCAGCTGTGACCCTTTCTAGCAGTTAGCCTTGGAAAATTGTTAGCAAAACACCAGGGGTTCTGTCTAGGTCCTGCCACTTGCCACACAGAAAGCCAATCACTGAGACAACAAGTATTGCCAAGGAAGCAGCTTTAATCAGGTGCCACAGCCAAGATGGGACATCAGTCTCAAATCCATCTCCCTGACTGGCTAAATGTAACCATGTGTGGGAAAACAGGAATTAGGGAGGGGTAAGGAAGAGAAGTTGGTTCACAGGAAGCAGGTGGTCCATCAGGCAATCATGATGGGTTAAGGGGTCTGGCGTCTCATTGTCTGCATGAGGTGATCTGGCAAGTTTTAATTTCTTTTTTTTTTTTTTTTTATTATACTCTAAGTTTTAGGGTACATGTGCACATTGTGCAGGTTAGTTACATATGTATACATGTGCCATGCTGGTGCGCTGCACCCACTAATGTGTCATCTAGCATTAGGTATATCTCCCAATGCTATCCCTCCCCCCTCCCCCGACCCCATCACAGTCCCCAGAGTGTGATATTCCCCTTCCTGTGTCCATGTGATCTCATTGTTCAATTCCCACCTATGAGTGAGAATATGCGGTGTTTGGTTTTTTGTTCTTGCGATAGTTTACTGAGAATGATGGTTTCCAATTTCATCCATGTCCCTACAAAGGATATGAACTCATCATTTTTTATGGCTGCATAGTATTCCATGGTGTATATGTGCCACATTTTCTTAATCCAGTCTATCATTGTTGGACATTTGGGTTGGTTCCAAGTCTTTGCTATTGTGAATAGTGCCGCAATAAACATACGTGTGCATGTGTCTTTATAGCAGCATGATTTATAGTCCTTTGGGTATATACCCAGTAATGGGATGGCTGGGTCAAATGGTATTTCTAGTTCTAGATCCCTGAGGAATCGCCACACTGACTTCCACAATGGTTGAACTAGTTTACAGTCCCACCAACAGTGTAAAATTTTTCCTATTTCTCCACATCCTCTCCAGCACCTGTTGTTTCCTGACTTTTTAATGATTGCCATTCTAACTGGTGTGAGATGATATCTCATAGTGGTTTTGATTTGCATTTCTCTGATGGCCAGTGATGATGAGCATTTCTTCATGTGTTTTTTGGCTGCATAAATGTCTTCTTTTGAGAAGTGTCTGTTCATGTCCTTCGCCCACTTTTTGATGGGGTTGTTTGTTTTTTTCTTGTAAATTTGTTTGAGTTCATTGTAGATTCTGGATATTAGCACTTTGTCAGATGAGTAGGTTGCGAAAATTTTCTCCCATGTTGTAGGTTGCCTGTTCACTCTGATCGTAGTTTCTTTTGCTGTGCAGAAGCTCTTTAGTTTAATTAGATCCCATTTGTCAATTTTGGCTTTTGTTGCCATTGCTTTTGGTGTTTTGGACATGAAGTCCTTGCCCACGCCTATGTCCTGAATGGTAATGCCTAGGTTTTCTTCTAGGGTTTTTATGGTTTTAGGTCTAACGTTTAAATCTTTAATCCATCTTGAATTGATTTTTGTATAAGGTGTAAGGAAGGGATCCAGTTTCAGCTTTCTACATATGGCTAGCCAGTTTTCCCAGCACCATTTATTAAATAGGGAATCCTTTCCCCATTGCTTGTTTTTCTCAGGTTTGTCAAAGATCAGATAGTTGTAGATATGCGGCATTATTTCTGAGGGCTCTGTTCTGTTCCATTGATCTATATCTCTGTTTTGGTACCAGTACCATGCTGTTTTGGTTACTGTAGCCTTGTAGTATAGTTTGAAGTCAGGTAGTGTGATGCCTCCAGCTTTGTTCTTTTGGCTTAGGATTGACTTGGCAATGCGGGCTCTTTTTTGGTTCCATATGAACTTTAAAGTAGTTTTTTCCAATTCTGTGAAGAAAGTCATTGGTAGCTTGATGGGGATGGCATTGAATCTGTAAATTACCTTGGGGAGTATGGCCATTTTCACGATATTGATTCTTCCTACCCATGAGCATGGAATGTTCTTCCATTTGTTTGTGTCCTCTTTTATTTCCTTGAGCAGTGGTTTGTAGTTCTCCTTGAAGAGGTCCTTCACATCCCTTGTAAGTTGGATTCCTAGGTATTTTATTCTCTTTGAAGCAATTGTGAATGGGAGTTCACCCATGATTTGGCTCTCTGTTTGTCTGTTGTTGGTGTATAAGAATGCTTGTGATTTTTGTACATTGATTTTGTATCCTGAGACTTTGCTGAAGTTGCTTATCAGCTTAAGGAGATTTTGGGCTGAGACGATGGGGTTTTCTAGATAAACAATCATGTCGTCTGCAAACAGGGACAATTTGACTTCCTCTTTTCCTAATTGAATACCCTTTATTTCCTTCTCCTGCCTCATTGCCCTGGCCAGAACTTCCAACACTATGTTGAATAGGAGCGGTGAGAGAGGGCATCCCTGTCTTGTGCCAGTTTTCAAAGGGAATGCTTCCAGTTTTTGCCCATTCAGTATGATATTGGCTGTGGGTTTGTCATAGATAGCTCTTATTATTTTGAAATACGTCCCATCAATACCTAATTTATTGAGAGTTTTTAGCATGAAGGGTTGTTGAATTTTGTCAAAGGCTTTTTCTGCATCTATTGAGATAATCATGTGGTTTTTGTCTTTGGCTCTGTTTATATGCTGGATTACATTTATTGATTTGCGTATATTGAACCAGCCTTGCATCCCAGGGATGAAGCCCACTTGATCATGGTGGATAAGCTTTTTGATGTGCTGCTGGATTCGGTTTGCCAGTATTTTATTGAGGATTTTTGCATCAATGTTCATCAAGGATATTGGTCTAAAATTCTCTTTTTTGGTTGTGTCTCTGCCCGGCTTTGGTATCAGAATGATGCTGGCCTCATAAAATGAGTTAGGGAGGATTCCCTCTTTTTCTATTGATTGGAATAGTTTCAGAAGGAATGGTACCAGTTCCTCCTTGTACCTCTGGTAGAATTCGGCTGTGAATCCATCTGGTCCTGGACTCTTTTTGGTTGGTAAACTATTGATTATTGCCACAATTTCAGAGCCTGTTATTGGTCTATTCAGAGATTCAACTTCTTCCTGGTTTAGTCTTGGGAGAGTGTATGTGTTGAGGAATGTATCCATTTCTTCTAGATTTTCTAGTTTATTTGCGTAGAGGTGTTTGTAGTATTCTCTGATGGTAGTTTGTATTTCTGTGGGATTGGTGGTGATATCCCCTTTATCATTTTTTATTGTGTCTATTTGATTCTTCTCTCTTTTTTTCTTTATTAGTCTTGCTAGTGGTCTATCAATTTTGTTGATCCTCTCAAAAAACCAGCTCCTGGATTCATTGATTTTTTGAAGGGTTTTTTGTGTCTCTATTTCCTTCAGTTCTGCTCTGATTTTAGTTATTTCTTGCCTTCTGCTAGCTTTTGAATGTGTTTGCTCTTGCTTCTCTAGTTCTTTTAATTGTGATGTTAGGGTGTCAATTTTGGATCTTTCCTGCTTTCTCTTGTAGGCATTTAGTGCTATAAATTTCCCTCTACACACTGCTTTGAATGCGTCCCAGAGATTCTGGTATGTGGTGTCTTTGTTCTCGTTGGTTTCAAAGAACATCTTTATTTCTGCCTTCATTTCGTTATGTACCCAGTAGTCATTCAGGAGCAGGTTGTTCAGTTTCCATGTAGTTGAGCGGCTTTGAGTGAGATTCTTAATCCTGAGTTCTAGTTTGATTGCACTGTGGTCTGAGAGATAGTTTGTTATAATTTCTGTTCTTTTACATTTGCTGAGGAGAGCTTTACTTCCAACTATGTGGTCAATTTTGGAATAGGTGTGGTGTGGTGCTGAAAAAAATGTATATTCTGTTGATTTGGGGTGGAGAGTTCTGTAGATGTCTATTAGGTCCACTTGGTGCAGAGCTGAGTTCAATTCCTGGGTATCCTTGTTGACTTTCTGTCTCGTTGATCTGTCTAATGTTGACAGTGGGGTGTTAAAGTCTCCCATTATTAATGTGTGGGAGTCTAAGTCTCTTTGTAGGTCACTGAGGACTTGCTTTATGAATCTGGGTGCTCCTGTATTGGGTGCATAAATATTTAGGATAGTTAGCTCCTCTTGTTGAATTGATCCCTTTACCATTATGTAATGGCCTTCTTTGTCTCTTTTGATCTTTGTTGGTTTAAAGTCTGTTTTATCCGAGACTAGGATTGCAACCCCTGCCTTTTTTTGTTTTCCATTTGCTTGGTAGATCTTCCTCCATCCTTTTATTTTGAGCCTATGTGTGTCTGTGCACGTGAGATGGGTTTCCTGAATACAGCACACTGATGGGTCTTGACTCTTTATCCAACTTGCCAGTCTGTGTCTTTTAATTGCAGAATTTAGTCCATTTATATTTAAAGTTAATATTGTTATGTGTGAATTTGATCCTGTCATTATGATGTTAGCTGGTGATTTTGCTCATTAGTTGATGCAGTTTCTTCCTAGTCTCGATGGTCTTTACATTTTGGCATGATTTTGCAGCAGCTGGTACCGGTTGTTCCTTTCCATGTTTAGCGCTTCCTTCAGGAGCTCTTTTAGGGCAGGCCTGGTGGTGACAAAATCTCTCAGCATTTGCTTGTCTATAAAGTATTTTATTTCTCCTTCACTTATGAAGCTTAGTTTGGCTGGATATGAAATTCTGGGTTGAAAATTCTTTTCTTTAAGAATGTTGAATATTGGCCCCCACTCTCTTCTGGCTTGTAGGGTTTCTGCCGAGAGATCCGCTGTTAGTCTGATGGGCTTTCCTTTGAGGGTAACCCGACCTTTCTCTCTGGCTGCCCTTAACATTTTTTCCTTCATTTCAACTTTGGTGAATCTGACAATTATGTGTCTTGGAGTTGCTCTTCTCGAGGAGTATCTTTGTGGCGTTCTCTGTATTTCCTGAATCTGAACGTTGGCCTGCCTTGCTAGATTGGGGAAGTTCTCCTGGATAATATCCTGCAGAGTGTTTTCCAACTTGGTTCCATTCTCCACATCACTTTCAGGTACACCAATCAGACGTAGATTTGGTCTTTTCACATAGTCCCATATTTCTTGGAGGCTTTGCTCATTTCTTTTTATTCTTTTTTCTCTAAACTTCCCTTCTCACTTCATTTCATTCATTTCATCTTCCATTGCTGATACCCTTTCTTCCAGTTGATCGCATCGGCTCCTGAGGCTTCTGCATTCTTCACGTAGTTCTCGAGCCTTGGTTTTCAGCTCCATCAGCTCCTTTAAGCACTTCTCTGTTTGGTTATTCTAGTTATACATTCTTCTAAATTTTTTTCAAAGTTTTCAACTTCTTTGCCTTTGGTTTGAATGTCCTCCCGTAGCTCAG
The DNA here is from genome assembly GCF_000001405.40 of Homo sapiens. NCBI lineage: Eukaryota > Metazoa > Chordata > Mammalia > Primates > Hominidae > Homo > Homo sapiens. The sequence goes on along the minus strand of NC_000008.11, from coordinate 27,114,677 downwards.
AGTAATTTGATCGTCTGAAGCCTTCTTCTCTCAGCTCGTCAAAATCATTCTCCATCCAGCTTTGTTCCGTTGCTGGTGAGGAACTGCGTTCCTTTGGAGGAGGAGAGGCGCTCTGCGTTTTAGAGTTTCCAGTTTTTCTGTTCTGTTTTTTCCCCATCTTTGTGGTTTTATCTACTTTTGGTCTTTGATGATGGTGATGTACAGATGGGTTTTCGGTGTAGATGTCCTTTCTGGTTGTTAGTTTTCCTTCTAACAGACAGGACCCTCAGCTGCAGGTCTGTTGGAATACCCTGCCGTGTGAGGTGTCAGTGTGCCCCTGCTGGGGGGTGCCTCCCAGTTAGGCTGCTCGGGGGTCAGGGGTCAGGGACCCACTTGAGGAGGCAGTCTGCCCGTTCTCAGATCTCCAGCTGCGTGCTGGGAGAACCACTGCTCTCTTCAAAGCTGTCAGACAGGGACACTTAAGTCTCCAGAGGTTACTGCTGTCTTTTTGTTTGTCTGTGCCCTGCCCCCAGAGGTGGAGCCTACAGAGGCAGGCAGGCCTCCTTGAGCTGTGGTGGGCTCCACCCAGTTCGAGCTTCCCGGCTGCTTTGTTTACCTAAGTAAGCCTGGGCAATGGCGGGCGCCCCTCCCCCAGCCTCGTTGCCGCCTTGCAGTTTGATCTCAGACTGCTGTGCTAGCAATCAGCGAGATTCCGTGGGCGTTGGACCCTCTGAGCCAGGTGTGGGATATAGTCTCGTGGTGCGCCGTTTCTTAAGCCGGTCTGAAAAGCGCAATATTCGGGTGGGAGTGACCCGATTTTCCAGGTGCGTCCGTCACCCCTTTCTTTGACTCGGAAAGGGAACTCCCTGACCCCTTGCGCTTCCCAGGTGAGGCAATGCCTCGCCCTGCTTCGGCTCGCGCACGGTGCGCACACACACTGGCCTGCGCCCACTGTCTGGCACTCCCTAGTGAGATGAACCCGGTACCTCAGATGGAAATGCAGAAATCACCCGTCTTCTGCGTCGCTGACGCTGGGAGCTGTAGACCGGAGCTGTTCCTATTCGGCCATCTTGGCTCCTCTGTTTGTTTAAGTTTTAATTTCTTGATACTATCTGGGAGGCCTGCTGCTTGATTTCCTGAAAAAGGAACTCAGATAAGAGAAATGTAACTTTTTAAAGTTTTAAGACTGAAAAGGTCCATTTTAACTCATTTAAAGAAACCATAAACATTAGTTTTATGGGCCAGTTTCAAAACCAGTGGTGTTACTGGTGGAGGGTGTCTGGGTTCTTGGTGTCTTGAGCAAAGAATTGGACAAAACACACAAACAAAGCAAGAAAAGAGAGAAGCAACAAAAGCAGAGAAAATGAAAGTACACTGCACAGTGTGGGAGCGGACCCAAGCATAGGGGCTCATAGGCCCCATTACAGAATTTTTTGGGGTTTAAATACCCTCTAGAGGATTCCACTGGTTACTTGATATACGCCTTATGTAAATGAGAAGGAGTTAACAAAATCATTTACTGGGCTTATGCCCTATGAAGAAGGTATTTCCTGTCATAGCTGAAGTGTGAACTGGACTTATGTTCCCTGCCTCCAGACCCTTTTTCCTGCCTGAGTGGCATCAGCCTTACTTTCTTCTTATGCAAAATGAGGAGAGTACCCCAAATTAGGGCAGTATCCACTTCCACAGGATTGCTGTGACCATTAAATGACAAATTGAGGCAAACAGTTCCCAGCCTTCAATTTGTCAATAATTTGGAGGGAGAGTCCCTGCCCTGGCCTTGCACCATTTTTCAAAGTGTGTTTGTGCCCTCCCTCCCTCTGGCTAAGTCAAGAAGGAGAAGTCCACAGCGGCCTAGAGGAGGCAGAGCAACCCTGCAGCCTGGGCTTGCTGGGGGAAGGCAACCAGGGCTTCAGGCGACAAAAGTGTTGGCAGAGCTTGGAGTGTCCATGGAGACAGGAGCAAGGCCCATGGGCTCCCATTGTAAGTGCTGCAGCCTCCTCCCCAGAGCCCAGGCAGTGGGTATCCTGAGCAGGGTTGCTCTAGCCACCTCTTACCTCTTCACTCCACATTGGGCAACTTCCCTGCCCTCAAGACTTCGGCTCTCATTCCCAAGCTTATGCCTCAATGGGGTAGCCTCTACCCAACTGGAAATTACTCTGTGGGGATAAATTATGTTGTGTTTTGTTACTTTAGCTCTTTACAAATTTTAATTAATTAACAAGTGTCAGACGATTATTTATAATTTTTTAAAATAATGCATGTCTTTTTTTTCTGAATGCAAATGCATACTCATTGTAGAATATTTGGAAAACAATAAAGAAGGAAATGGAAACCACCCAAAGCTACAGTATATGGAGAAAAACCTGACTTCACCTGTTGTTACTGAACATTTCATAATACCCTTTACAGAATGGTCCTACGACACATGACCATTTTCTTGCAGTGCCTTCACCTTGTTCAGCACTGTCCTCTCTCCCCAATACTCTTTCCCCTGCTTTATCCAGTGGTGCTTTCTGATGTGTTTCTTCTTGTCCTCCTGTTGAACTCACATCATTGTCAGTTTTGTGTTTTTTTCAGTAAAGTATGGAGGTCTATATTATAATGTAAAGTTTTGATGTACCGGATTGAAGTCAGGTATTTATACTGGGTATCTATCCAGAGGAAAAGAAATCATTATACGAAAAGGATACTTGCACACGCATGTTTATGGCAGCACAATTCACAATTGCAAAAATGTGGAACCAGCCCAAATGCCCATCAATCAATGAGTGGATAAAGAAACTGTGGGGTGTGTGTGTGTATGTATATATATGTGTGTGTATATATATATATGCCACTGTTATCATATATATATCATATATATACACACATATATATGATACATATGATATATATGATACATATGCTATATATGATATATATCATATATGTGTGCATATATATGATATATATATGATAACAGTGGCATATACACACACACACACACACACACACACCACAGTTTCTTTATCCACTCATTGATTGATGGGCATTTGGGCTGGTTCCACATTTTTGCAATTGTGAATTGTGCTGCCATAAACATGCGTGTGCAAGTATCCTTTTCATGTATATATAAAAATACTACTCAGCCATAAAAAGGAATGAATTAATGGCATTCACAGAAACCTGGATGGGATTGGAGACTATTATTTAAGTGAAGTAACTCAGGAATGGAAAGGCAAACCTCGAATGTTCTCACTCACAAGTGGAGCTAAGCTATGAGGATGGAAAAGCATAAGAGTGATACAATGGACTTTGGGAACTTGGGTGGAAAGGATAGGAAAGGGATGAGGGATAAAAGACTCAAATTGGATTCAGTGTATACAAATTGATTCAGTGTATCCAGCTGATGGGTGCACCAAAATCTCACAAATCACCACTAAAGAACTTACTCATGTGACCAAATACCACCTGTTCCCCAAAAACCCATGGAAGTAAAAAAATTTTAAAAAAGGAATTTGAAAGTCAATAATTATTTTAGTTGCAGAGAACAGAAACCCGTTCACAGAAGTTCAAGGGAAACAAGACTTCTTTAAAAGAAGCATCCTGAGCTCAGTTGCTGGAAACACAGGTGGGCATCACAGGGGGCTCTTCTCAACTCTCTAAATCAGGTGCCTGGTGGCTTTGCCTCTCTGTTCCTCCCTGTGTGTCTGTTGCATTCTACTTTTACACACTTGTTCATCACCTTCTTTTCGTGGCTGTCCCCATGTGGTAGAAGGCCTGGCGGTCCTTCAGCTCAATTTCTTCCTTCTCTCTGTCTCTGTCTCTGTTTGTTCAGCCCAGTGGGATCAACATCTGTGGCTGGAACGGAGAGGGTAGGGACAGCTATTCCCTCCAGGAACGTGGATGGGATGGATTCTTTAAGAAGCAAGTATGAGCCAGGCACACACCCTAAACGAAGTCCATTAACAGTGTGGGAGAGAGAATAGATAGACCAGATAAAACAAGCATTTCAAAGCCAGCCAGATTCCTCCGAGACTCACACCAAACATCACGTCAGTGCAGCTTCGCTGACTCTCTCTGGGAAGCTAATACCTGTTCCTACCTGGAACTCCTTTCCTGCACTAGCAATAAAATAATGTTGTATTTTAATTCTCTCTCTACACGCCTTACTTTTCGGCATAGACGGTGAACTCCCACAAAGCAGAAACTATTTTCTCTCTATTTATCTCCACATTGACACTCCTATTCCAGTATCTAGCACACGATATTCTGCATCAATGTTTGTGGAATTCATGCGAAAAGAGTAGGAAGTGAAAAAGTAAATAAGAGAAAGAGTAAAAGCTGTAAGGAATTTCTAAATAGAGAAATTTCTTATAGGAACACACCTCTTCAGGAGAACATTGGTTGGTGCTATTTGAAGAACTAATCTGTCTCTGTTTAAAACAATAGTTCCTGTGTTGCCTAGCTTTGCTGGCACTCTTTCTGAAGGCTTTTAAGCAGGATGCACACTGCAAGTACGTGAGGGTTTTGAGCCTTACATGCTGTTTTTCAAAAGACTTGACCCTGAACTTTCAGGGCTTGGTGATGGCTCAAAGGCTGCCTGGGAATGGGATTAGGTTGAGTGTCTGATTAGACTGGACTGTCTTTCCCATTTGTGGTTAGATATCCTGGATACTTGGCAGGCTACAGAGCAAGGAAAACTAAAAATGTCCCCAGTGAGTGAGAGAGAAAGCTTGAGAACTTGGTGGAAATTTCAGGTTTCATGGATTTTTCTTTTTTAGATTTTGATATTATTTTCTCAGATGATTACAGTGGCTTGGCAGAGAGTCACATATCCAAGAATGATCATCAGAGAAATGGCTTATGTAAAATGCTGATGGGGATGAGGGGAGGGACCATGGTAACTTTCATGAACAGTCTTAGGAAGAGAACCCTGGAAATCAAGAGACTTGCACCCCATTTGGAATCTACCAGTCAGCTGTGGCATTTTGTTTGAGTCTCCTAAGTAAACTTAACACTACGTTCTAATATTAAGGGTAAAATCAGGGAAGGGAGTTGCCTAAAAGATTTGTATCATCCCCTTTTGCCCGGTTTGTACATCTCATACTCTACATTTGTAGAGATGACCATAGAACAAGTTGTAAGTTGTTGTAATTTGTTTTTGAAACCCATGCATCCATCTCAATGCCACATTCTTCTTCCCTAGTTCTCTCAGGTCTTTTTCTGTGGATCTTCACAATGCGTCTTCTCACCACACGTTCTAATCTGGTGGACTGAAGTTCCCATGATGGAAGTCCACCCAGACTAGCTCATTTTTAATGTTTCTCATGATCAAAAATTATTTCTTGTGCCCCATTTAGCCCTCATGAAATCCTCTGCTACCTCAGTTTACGTTATCTTAGGTACTAGAAGGCATTAAGTATACATGAACTAATTCACCATAAGGCATGCAGGACTGGTAGGCAGTTGTCCATGCTCTCAAGATGAATATGCTCTTTGATATGACTACATATGACAACTTAAAGAAATCTCTAGTTGGTATAAACACCAGTGAAGATGGAGTGAAGACGTCAGGCAGCATACTAGGTTTAAGAGGTTTTTGGAATAAAGATCTTTCCTGTGCCCCTTAAAATTTTACCATGCAGACAATCACCAATTCTGTGTCTACATATCCTTGGCTCAGATGAAGACTCAAAATCAGCTTCATATCAAAAGTGCAATCCTTCTTTGGCTTCAGTAATAACCTCTAAAATAACATGGATCTCACTCCTTAGTTACCACTATTATCTTCTTTCATAACCGATGTTCAGTAATCGAACCACTGCACGTTCAAGTATTCATTCCCCTGGAAATCCTGCCTGCTCCTGCAAATGAGGCTGCAGTTATCTGTTCTTTAAATAAGCCTAAATCTGGCAAACGGTAATCTTCTTGCTAATTGACCAATTCATTTCCAATTTTAAGTGCACTATTCATTTACCACTCTCTGCCACTCAACTACATGCTATTCATTTATTCAAAAGATGTGTTTTCAACTCGATTCTGCCCTCTTGACATTTGGCACATTAGTACATTCTCTCGGTAAGCTTTATAGGTGCCACAGATGATTTTTTTCTGTGTGAAGAGATAATTGCCTTTCAGTAATCTTGGTGCATTCTTTCCATTTCTTCACATACAATGTTAGTAATTAGGCTCTGAGAATGAATTGAATTGGGCACTGAGGAGTCAGAAAGAGCTTTTTAATGTTTAAATTTTACTAGACCTCTGTAATATGTTTGCTGGACTCCCAGAGGCTAGACAGTTTTATTCACTAACTCTTCAGGGTCCTGATGCCCTAGAGAGATGTTCTTTATAGCCTTCCCCAACAAATTAAGCAATTATTATTCGGTCCTGCATTTCCTGTCAGGGTGCATAGCAAATGTTTTATAGCTGATATTTTAATAAGGTTGATCCACAGTCATGAAGTGGCATGCCATCCACAGAATACTTTTCTGTTTAGCTATTTATTTGCGAGAGATGCCATTGACTGCATTCACTCAGACATATTTCAAGACTTTTCAGCTGCAAAGAAGGGAGGCTGCTTTTCTCCTTGAAGTTGGTGCTAGCAGAGCTCCAGTGGGAAATGTTGATGGGGCCTAAATGGCATTTTCTGATTATTGATTTGATGTGAACACCTGGGCCATGTCTACAAGACATCAAAATAGGTTATAATTGGTTTCTGAAGCACAGCGTATGTCTGGTAAATTATTGCACGTCTTTAGGTTCATTAACTCTTTCCTTCGGTGTGAATTCAATTTTATTATTAGCATTGCTCTGGCATGGAAATATTATCTTAAATCCATATAAAATTTCATGTTTTGAATAACAAAACAGGTTCTCTGTTCTGTTCTCTATTACTGCAATGTTGCTAGGTGACAATATAGGATTTTGTAAATTCTTTGTTCATATGCAATAACATGGTAGACACATGTAATAACTTTCAGAAATCTTAGAATCATATCATTCAGAGTGTAGAAGAAGATTAAACCAACAATTTTTTTTGGCCTCCTAAAAACAAGCCAAAATTGACACCTGTAAACATGTAAGGAGCCAGGCCCTGTGCTAAGTTCTTTATAGCTACTACGTCATTTAATATCACTGCCTCATGAGGAAAGTGATTGTCTTATCCTTCATTTTGGAGATTGAGACATTGAAGCAGAGAGAGATTAAATGGCTTGCCAGAGAAACAAGCTGTGGAGCCCAGGTCTGAGCAGAGAATTCAGATTGAGAACCTGAGCTCCTAATCATGACACTGCCTGGACTGTGCGTGAGGAGAGGTGCCTAATTAGCAGGGCACGGAGACTGAGAAAACACACCAGCTGCGAGGAAAGGAAAGGATCCAGGATGTCTTTTTTTTTTTTTTTTTGGTGACAGAGTCTTGCTCTGTCGCCCACGCTAGAGTGCAGTGGTGCGATCCTGGCTCACTGCAAGCTCCACCTCCCGGGTTCACGCCATACTCCTGCCTCAGTCTCCCGAGTAGCTGGGTCTACAGGCGCCCGCCACCACGCCCGGCTAATTTTTGTTATTTTAGTAGAGACGGGGTTTCACCGTGTTAGCCAGGATTGTCTCGATCTCCTGACCTCGTGATCCACCCGCCTCAGCCTCCTAAAGTGCTGGGATTACAGGCATGAGATAGCGCGCCCGGCCAGATCCAGGATGTCTTTAAAAACAACAGGGTAAAGAGACTGTGGTATATCCAGACAATGTGATATTATTCAGGACTAAAAAGAAAGGAGCTATCAAATCATGAAAAAACATGAAGAGAACTCAAATGCATATCGTTAAGTGAGAGAAGCCAATCTGAAAGGGCTACATACCATGTGATTCCAGCTGTAGGGCATTCTGGAAAAGGCAAACCTATGGATATAGTAAAAAGATCAGTGTTTGCCAGGGCTGGTGGAAAGGGAGGGATGAATAGGTGGAGCACAGAGGATTTTTAGGGTAGTGAAACTATCCTGTGTGATATTACAAAGATTGGTACATGTCATTATGCACTTGTCAGACCCACAGAATGTACAACACCAAGAGTGAATCTTATGTCCGTGACTTGCCATGAGTCCATGTAAACTGTGGACTTTGGCTGCAATGACACATTCATGGAGGCTCATCATGTATAACAAATGCACCACTCTGGTGCAAGATGGCGATAATGGGAGAGGCTGTGCATGTGTGGGGGTTAGGGGTATATGGGAACTTTCTGTACTTTCTGCTTAATTTTGCTGTGAACCTAAAACTGCTCTGAAAATAAAGTCTTTTTCCTTAAAGGAGTACAGTGCCTGGTACTTAGAAGACTATAAAAAGTTTTACAATAAAATACCTTTTTCTTTGTAACAGAAAAAAAGACAACAGGTTGAGAAGAAAAGCTGCAGGGCGGAGATGAACAAGAAGGGTTGGAAACCTAGGAAGCACTGGGAGGGAGAGGAGGCTGAACCCAAGAGCAGTAGAATGAGCTGTATCGGCCACATGTTATGGGCTGCCTCTGGTCCCTCGGCCTCCCCTATCTCCTGGTACCTTGGCCACTTTGATTATGGAGAACCCATGCTGCTGCTGTCACTGTAGCTTCAAACTCAGCTTTTTCTACCTCATCTACCCCCTCTGCCAGCAGCTCACCTTCCCCAGAGTAGGCCGAGGGTCTGCCAGGGCCTTTCGCATGCCCATCTCTCAGGAGGAGGCCAGCCGGACCAGAATCACAGGTGCTCCAGCTCCTTCCAGCACTGCCAGACCTGGGCATGGGACTGGTTTCTCTGGAGGATGCAGTAGGGACAGGAGAACACTCTGGAACTGCAGGGGAGTTAGGTCCTTGTATTAGTGGACATTAATACAGCCTAGGGCTGCTGTAACATGGTACCATACATTGGGTAGCTAAAAACAACAGAAATCTATTTTCTCACAGTTCTGGAGGCTGGAAATCCAAAAAAAAAAAAAAAAAAGCTTCCAGCATGCCCATTTTCCTTCTGAAGGTTCTAGGGAAGAACATTTTCTTACCTCTTTGTGGATGTTGGAGCCAGTCCCTGGAGTTCCTTGGCTTGTAGACACATCATACCAACCTCTGCCTCTGTTGACACACGACATACCTCCTGTATGTCTATGTCTCTGTTTTCTTTTTTATTTTTTTGAGACAGAGTCTCGCTCTGTCGCCCAGGCTGGAGTGCAGTGGCGCGATCCCGGCTCACTGCAAGCTCCGCCTCCCGGGTTCACGCCATTCTCCTGCCTCAGCCCCCCGAGTAGCTGGGACTACAGGCGCCCACCACCACGCCCAGCTAATTTTTTGTATTTTTTAGTAGAGACGGGGTTTCACCATGTTAGCCAGGATGGTCTCTATCTCCTGACCTTGTGATCCACCGCCTCGGCCTCCCAAAAATGTTTTCTTTTCTTATAAGGACCCCAGTCTCATTGGATTATGACCTCAACTTAATTATATTACATCTGCAAAGATCCTATTTCCATGTACAGTCACATTCATGGATACCAGAAGTTAGGACTTTAACACAATTTTGGGGAGAAAGGAGGACTCAGTTCAAGCCACAATAGTTGCTAAGGTGAATCTTAACCAAAGTCTCATTCTGTACCTCGTTCTGATGCTCCAGTAGTCTGAGGAACAATGAGGAGATAAATATAAGCCAACTTCAATTTTTTTCCTTGGGATTCACCTCCAAATAAGCCTACCTCTTTGTTGATGAGATAATTTTAATCAATTATTTGTTCTTTAACAGGTATTGTAAGCATTATATTGAAAGTGAGCCATTACTTTCATATCAATGGAAGCTTTTTTGTTTCTTTGTTAATTTAGGTTTCATCATTATAGTTAAAAATTTTGATAAAAACTGATCTGTATTAATGTCAATATTGTTGCATTTATATTTCACTGGTTTAAAAAATCTTTGAGCTAGAGTAAAAGTTATTCTTGCAATGTAAGCTTTCATTTGTTTGTTGTCATTGCCTTCCTTCTCTTGAGGATTGTCGTGGCATAGAAGAATGCTTTCTAAGTGAATGTACCTTTGTTCAATTCAAAATTTTATAGAAAAGAGTTTTGTTCAACAAGGATTTTCATAGAAGTTCTTTAACCTGTCAGCTTATAAACACAGATCCCCCCTGGGAACCATCCCAATCATTCCTCAGTGATGAAAAAGAAGACAAGTTTGCGTATTGAGGTTTACATGGGCTTGCACCTGGGCAGACTGGGAGAATGGAAGGTGTTTTGTGTTCTTCCTAAACTGAGAAATTGAATCATTGATCTTCATTTCAAATGAATGATCTTTATTTCAAAATTTCAGACTACCAAGATAACAGTATTACCATAATAGAAATACTGGTATTTATTGGTAATTTAAGTAAAATAGCATGGAAAACTCGATTACACAAATGACAGAAACTGTTATATCAATCACAAGCTGTAGGATCTGTGAAATGAGTTGGCAGTGTTTCTCCTTCCCCGGAGCCCCAACTTTTTACTGGTGGTATATTTTACCATGCAGAAATTTTTATTTTTATGAAATCTAATTTTTCAGTCTTTTCATTTATGGCTTCTGGGTTTAGTTCATGCTTTTGAAGACTTCTTCCATTCTTAGTTCATACAAATATTCTACTGTTTTCCTTTAGTACTGTAATGATTTTAACTTTTATGTTTCAATTTTTAATCCAGGTGGAATTATTTAATGAATGAGATAAGGATTCAACTGTATTTTTCTTCCTAGATGGATACTCACTTGTTCGGAAAATCTATTGAGCAATCTGTCCTTTCTTTACTGAGATGCTATGCCTGCTTTTTCATATGCTAATTATCCTCATGCATTTTTGTTTATTTTTGGATTTTTTCTTTTAATCTGTGTTCCTCTGCCCAGTAAGACAAATCCAGACATCTACCTATTTGTGTAAAGAAAGTTGCATTGGAACAGAGTCATGACTATTTACTTATGTGCTGTCTATGGCTGCTTTTGTACTACAATAACAGAATTGGATAATTGTAAGAGACTGCGTGGCCCGTAAATCAAAAATATTTACCACGGGGTTCTTTACAGAAGAAGTTTATCAATTCCTTTACTAATCCATTGATCAGTACTGCACTGTTTCAATCATGGTAGTTTTATAATATATTTAAATGTCTTCTAGAGTTACTCATTTATCATCCCTCTTCTTTCTCACAATTTTCCTGGGTCTTCTTACTTTTTTCACATATGAATTTAGTATCAGGTAATCTATTATGTGTACATTCTTGTTGATATTATTTTTGGTGTGTAGGTTACCTTGAATTTATAAGTTTATTTAGAGAGATTTAGTTTATTTATTTATTTATTTTTGAGATAGGGTCTTGCTCTGTCTCCCAGGTTGGACTGCAGTGGCACAATCTTGGCTCACTGCAGTCCCTGTCTCCCAGGCTCAAGAGATCCTACTGCTTCAGCCCCCCAAGTAGCTGGGATCACAGGCACATGCCATGATGCCTGGCTAATGTTTTGGATTTTTTGGTAGAGATGGGGTCTCACTATGCTGCCCAGGCTGGTCGCAACTCCTGAGCTCAAGCAATCCACACATCTCAGCCTCCCAGTGCTGGGATTATAGGCGTGACCCACCATGCCTAGCCAATTTCATTTATTTATGGAGCTAATTGTTTCTATACAAGAAAAGGACATGCCTCTCAATTTGTTTACATTTGATCTTTCACATATTTTTAAAATTAAGTAATTTTTGCACATGTGTTATATTTCTTATGATTTTATTTGGTAGTCAGTATAAATATTATATTTTCTTATATATTTTAAAACTGTTTTTACTTAATAAATAACAGGAATATTCATGATTAATTCTATCTTTGGTTCCAGCCAACTTACTGATTTATTTATTTATTTATTTATTTTTGAGACAAGGTTTCACTAGGTTGCCCAGACTGGAGTGCTGTGGCATGATCATGGCTTACTGCAGCCTTTGACCTCTAGGTTTAGGTGATCCTCCTACCTCAGCCTCCCAGGTACTTGGAACTACAGGTGTTCGCCACCATGGCACGCTATTTTTAAACATTTTTTGTAGAGACAGAGTCTCATTATTTTGCCCAGGCTGGTCTCAAACTCCCGGGCACAAGTTGGGATCCTCCTGCTTCGGCCCCTCAAAGTGTTGGGATTACCAGTGTGACCCACTGAACCCAGCCTGAATTTTATTTCTTTTTCAGCTTAGTGTCTTGGATTTTTCACATATCTAATTACACACCTGTAATCCCAGGTATGCTGGAGGCTGAGGCAGAAGAATCACGAACCCGGGAGGCGGAGGTTGCAGTGAGCAGAGATCACACCACTGCACTCCAGCCTGGTGACAGAGTGAGACTCTGTCTAAAAAAAAAAAAAAAATTGCAGTATTTCTGGATCAATGGGTGGAACACATTTGTTAAATAGAAATGACAAATCCACACTTCTAGAAATCAGATCCTCACTTCTAGAAATACAATTTACTAGTAAGATTCACATTTATATGATAGTCATTTATAAAACACTTTCCTAAGAATTATAATCCTTTCAGACTGCCATTTGAATTATTGTATAATCACTTAAAAATATAAACAAAGCCAAAAGAGGAAAAAAAATGCAAAATTATGGTAGAAGAAAGACAAAAGAAATCCTATGCTGATTCCGGATTACTCAAGTGGATTTGTTAACAATAACAAAAGCACAAAAATTACTCTACCTACAAATAGAATAAAATGAAAGCACTTGACTTACAGAATGTATGTTTAAATCATCTACAATTGTAACACATTATCCTAAGAGTTATAATCCCACCACACTCCCATTTAACCAAAAGACTACTTTTAAAATAAAATTTGGCACTTCCATAAATTGTGGACTTTGGGACTACTAGTTTCACATACTGTAGTCATCTGGAAAATTATGCCAAGTCATTGGAAGAACCTCAAGATCACAGGATACAGGAACCTTAGGTTGGCCTTGGTATCTGGAATCCCTACTTCTTATTTATTTATTTATTTATTTTACTTTAAGCTCTGGGATACAAGTGCAGAACGTGCAGGTTTGTTACATAGGTGTACATGTGCCATGGTGGTTTGCTGCACCTATCAACTCGTCATATAGGTTTTAAACCCTGCATGCATTAGGTATTTGTCCTAATGCTCTCCCTCCCTTTGCCCCTCACCCCCGGACAAGCCCCAGTGTGTGTTGCTCCCTTCTCTGTGTCCATTTGTTCTCACTGTTCAACTCCCACTTACGAGTGAGAACAAGTGGTGTTTTGTTTTCTGTTCCTGTGTTAGTTTGGTGAGGATGATGGCTTCCAGCTTCATCCACGTCCCTGCAAAGGACAAGATCTCATTCTTTTTTATGGCTGCATAGTATTCCATGGTATCTACGTACCACATTTTCTTTATCCAGCCTATCATTGATGGGCATTTGGGTTGGTTCCATGTCTTTGCTATTGTAAATAGTGCTGTAATAAACATATGTGTGCATGTGTCTTTGTAGCAGAATGATTTATATTCCTTCATGGAATCCCTACTTCTCTAGAGGACAGGATTCACTACACATGATCAGCAGAGATGGAAATGGTAGATATCGCTTATTTTATTTCAAAGGAATGTGTCATTTAAAAAATCATTTTTTTCCAGCAATGGACTACTTTGATCCTAAAGCATTGAGATACATCTGATATTCTGTATTTTAAAAATTTAACATAACATTTTAGAAGGCAAGGTTGTTTTTCTAGCTGTCATTGGCAAATAGCAGGTGTAGAATTAGTAACATCCAATCCTCATGATTCATTACATGAAGACAGTTGTACATTTAACTCGGGTGGGCCGGGTAAAAGGAGGTACATGATCCTTGAACTTCTTTTAAAATAATACAACAAAAAACAAGGCAAAGAAATTGTGGTGTTTATTTACTAGTGGAGTCCACAGTACAACAGTAGGAATGCCATTAGACTTTGCACATCAATTGTAAAACAAGTAGGTATCCACAAAAGGCCAGTTTGAACTGAAAAGCACTCTTTGCTTTCACTTTTTCCTCCAAGAAACCATTCTAATAACCCCAGTCAACGGTGTTCTTTTCCTTCCCTGAACCCTATTCATACGTTAGTGAGACCCTTATCTTACACTGCCTTGTAATATAATTCATTGTTGGCAGTGCTCAATTGTTTAGCTCCTCTTAAGTACCAGGCTTCTTTACTCAAATAATGTTTCAAAGTTCTTTGGAGCAGGAACTAATTTTTTTATCGTCCATAGTAAGGAGTAAGTTATATTGCCTAAAAAGAAACTCTATAAATTATAATTTATTTAAATTCATTCTAATGTCTTCCATTCTTATTTTCCTAGGCTATCAAGACCCAAACACATTTTTATTAAGCCAATTGTTAATTCAGGCAGTATATATGTTTATTTTTAAGAGGTCTGCCTTTGGGCAAGACAGTTTCTGCCTGCTGCCTTTCACTGAACGTATTGCCAAATGCATTCTGATTCATATTTAATTTATATGATTGTTCCACATGCATCAATTTTGTCTCCCAATTTTATTATCAACTCATTAAAGAAAGGATTATTTATTTTACTATAGCTGCACAACAATGTGATTTGGCGATTATTACATTTACACCTGCCAAAATACTTTCAGTTAAATCTGCTTTGGATTGTTTAGTATGGTGTTTTGGAGTAAAGAACAACCATATTTTTTTCTGACATTTAACAAAGATTTGTTTGGTAACTACCATGTACCAGGCAATGTTGGAATTGTTGGGCACACAAAAATTAAAACCAGAATTCCTGCTCTTGAGGAATTTATGGTCTACAGGAAAGATTGTGTATAAAACTAACAACTACTGGGCAAAATTATTTATTCATCCAACAAAGATTTACTGAGTGTCTACTATGTCCCAGCCACTGTTCTAGGAATTAGGGAGCCCTCAGGGAACAAAGCCAAGATCCTACCCTCATGGAGTTAACATGCTGGTAGAGGGAGAATTTCAATAAACAAATAAGCAAATTAATTCTAATATAATGACAGATTGGTGACAAATATTATGAAAAATGAAGAAATATAAGGGATAGATAATGATGATAAGGGTACTACTTTAGGTAAGATGCTCAGGGAAGACCTCACTAATGGAATGACATTTGAGCAGAGATCTGAATAAAGTGAGGGAGAAAACCATGCAGAATCCGGAGGAAGAGTGTTTAGGCAATGGGAACAGCTAGTGCCAAGGATTTGAGCCAAGTGCATGCTTGGCATATTTGGTGAACACTAGGGAAGGCATGGGGTCTAAAGTGGAGTGAAGGGAAGACATGAAAAATGTGGTGAAGAGGAACCAAAGGCTTGATGATGTAGACCAAGGAAAGGGCTTTGCGTTTTATTCTAAATATTTTGGAAATCCACCACAGGATTTAGTGTAGGGGTGTGATCTATCTTATGTTGGCTATATGGAGAATCGGCAATAGAGGACAAACATAGAGACAGTGAGGTAACTTAGGAGATTCAAAAGTCCAGGCTGATGATGATGGTGACTTGGATTATGGTGTTAGCAGTGGGGAGTTAAAATGTCCAGATTCTAGTTCTGTCTTAAAGATAAAACCAATAGGATTTATGATAAATTGGATGAGGAAAGTGATAGAGAAAAATTAAGGATAAATGTCGAGAAAGTGCCATGACATATAAATACTTTGAATGTTAAGCCAAAGGAATTTAGAAATTGCTTCCCCATGAGAGTATTTACAAGTGTTTCTTGTGCTTATTTTCCTCAAAAAACAAAATAAAGCCTGAAGATGTCTTCCACCAGCAGCATAAATTTAAACAAAACATTTTTTACTTCGCCTTCAAATCTCATTTTTAAACTATTTATTAACCTGGGTTAAGCAACATCAGGTATTTGGTCAAAATGTAGTCTTAATGATAAATTATCACTTCTATTTTCTGGTAATATGGTAAATCAGAGAGCCCAAATATATTCCCAGTATGAAACATCTAGAAATTATACAGGATGTAACAAAAATAATTTTCATTGTAAACCTGCAAGAAGAATGGGAATATCCAGCAGCCAAAATGAAGAGGAATTGAAAACTAGAATAATGAGTTTGAGCTAACAGTACAGAACTATAGGCATGTTGGTAACTTGGTAAACAAGAACACGGGATTTTAATAGACAGAAAGGAACAGGAAATACATGATTGGGTCTTCATGAAGAGGTTATAACCTTCAGTAGACGTGTTGAATAGGAAAAAAACACCCTATATATAGGCATAAAGGGATGATAATTAACTTTTCCATCTATGTCTAATTTGTGGTATAGAAAAAGTGCTCCCCTAAGACATGTAACTATAGGCTTATCTTCTTACAAGGTTAGGAGGGAGTCAATGTGCAATTCCTGCTCAGTTCAAGAAGCTCCAAGCTAGTAATAGCAAGATCCATCATTTTTACTACCCTTTGGGTTTTTAAGTAGCAGACACAACATTCAGTACAAAGTGATACAACATCTTCCCAGGTCAAACAAGTTTCCGATAATGAAGAACTAACTGATGATAAACTCACAATCCAAAACTACAAAACACTAATAAATAACCCACCATGAACAAAAGCAGAGGAAACAGTCTCCTTTGGGGATTGAACTACAAAGGACTTGAAATAATAGAATCATCAGAAAATGACAATAAAACAAATATGTTTAAAATGAATAAACACAGAAATTAAAAAATAAAAAATATGAGTAAAGATTGAGGCACTATGCAATAATGACCAGAAGATTTGAAAAATGACCAAATGGAACTTCCAGAAATAAAAATGAAAAATGCAATATATGAATGTAATATTGAATAATTGGGTTAAACATTATATTAGGTACAGCTGATATGATTAATAAATGAAAAGAGAGATCTGAGCATATTATCTGGTGACAGCATAGAAGCGTAAAAATAAGAAAACGACTTAAGGGAATCTAAAATACATGAAGATGGAATCAACCTAAATGCCCATCAATGATAGACTGGATAAAGAAAATGTGGTACATGGCCGGGCATGGTAGCTCATACCTGTAATCTCAGCACTTTGGGAGGCCAAGGCAGGTGGATCACTTGAGGTCAGGAGTTCAAGATCAGCCTGGCTAACATGGAGAAACCCCATCTCTACTAAAAATATGAAAATTAGCTGGATGTGGTGTCATGAGCCTGTAATCCCAGCTACTTGGGAGGCTGAGGCAGGATAATTTGAACCCAAGAGGCAGAGGCTGCAGTGAGCCGAGAAATCTTGCCACTGTGCTTCAGCCTGGGTGACAGAGTGAGACTCTGTCTCAAGGAAAAGAAAAAAAGAAAATGTGGTACATATACACCATGAAATACTATGTAGCTATACAAAGGAATGAGGTAATATCCTTTGCAGGGACATGGGTGCAGTTGGAAGCCATTATCCTCAGCAAACTAATGCAGGAACAGAAAACCAAATACCACATGTTCTCACTTATAAGGGGGAGCTGAATGATGAGAACACAGGGACACATGGGAGGAACAACAATACTGGGGCCTGTTGGAGAGGGGGCCTGGGGGGAGGGAGAGCCTCAGGAAGAACAGCTAATAGATGCTGGGCTTAATACCTAGGTGAGGAGATGATGATCTGTGCAGCAAAGCCTCATGGCACATGTTTACCTAGGTAACAAACCTGCACATCTTGCACATGTATCCCTGAACTTAAAATAAAATTTGAAGAAAATTAAATTAATTTAAATACATGAAGAGATACTCCACTGCATTCTGTCACATAGGATGCAGCATAATTGTTTATCCAGATTGCTATGATGAACAGTTAGATTGCTATGATTATCTGTTAAGATTCTCAGAGAACCTCTGAGAATTGTTGTGTATGTGTGTGTGTGTGTGTGTGTGTGGTGCATGTGTGTGTGTAATTATAGCTATGGTGTAAATATTTGTGTTCCCCAAATTCCTATGTAAAAACCTGATCACAGTGTAAAGGTATTAGGAGATACGGCCTTTGTGGGGTGATTAGGTCATGAGGACTGTACTCATGAATGGGATGAGTAGATTAGTGCCCTTATAAACCTTATAAAATAGCCCCAGAGAGCAGCCTTGCCCCTTCCACCATGTGAGGACACAGTAAGAAGGTGCCGTCTATGACAAAGCAGGCCCTCATCAAACACCAATCTACCAGTGCCTTGACCTTGGACTTTCCAGCCTCCAGAACAGTGAGAAATAAATGTTTGTTATTTATAAGTTACCCAGTCTACGATATTTAATTAGAAGAGCCCAGACAGACCAAGACAGATATATAAAAGGAGATTTGTTATAGGAATTGGATCACATGATTATGAAAGCCAAGAATTCCTACAATCTTCTGCCTGCAAGCTGGAGAACAAGAGAAGGCAGTGGTATAATTCTGCCCAAGTCCAAAGGCCTGGGAGTCAGAGAGTAATAGTGTAAATCTAGGTCTGAGTTCAAAAGCCTGAGAATCAGGAACATGGATGTCCAAGGGCAGGAGAACATGGATGTCACAGCTCAAGCACAGAGAATGAGCTAGCCCTTTCTCCACCTTCTTGTTCTATGCAGACCCTCAATAGGTTGAATGACGCACACCCTTACTGGGGAGAACCATCGGCTTTACTCAGTTCACCAATGCAAATCCTGATATTTTCTAGAAACATCCTGATGGACACACTCACAAATATGGTTTTACCAGGTACCTAGGTGTCCTGTTGAAGTGGTGTTGTTCGTCTGGAGTAATACTCAAGGTTTATTGTCCCGTGTCAAGGAAATCAAGGACATGGACACATAAGGAATAAGGTTGAGAATGGGGGTTTAACAGGTGAAAGAAAGAGAAAAGTTCTCTCCTGCAGAGAGATGGGGGTCCTGAATGGGTCCTCCGGTCCGATGTTAAGTGCAGGAGGTTTTACAGATGAGGTTGAGGAGGCAGTGTCTGATTTACATAGGGCATGAAAGGTTGGTGGGACCAGGTGTGCCATTTGAATAGTGCTCAAAGAACTGGTTAGGACTAGGTGTGCTGTTTGCATAGTGCACGAAGAAGCTGGCTGCCCCACCCTAATTTTTTTTTTTTGAGACAACTCTCACTCTGTCACCAGGCTGGAGTGCAGTGGCGTAATCTCTGCTCACTGCAACCCCCGCCTCCCAGGTTCAAGTGATTCCCTGCCTCAGCCTCCCAAGTAGCTGGGACTACAGGCGCGTGCCACCACACCCGTCTAATTTTTTTGTATTTTTAGTAGAGATGGGATTTCACTATGGCCAGGCTGGTCTCGAACTCCTGACCTCGTGATCTGCCTCCTCGACCTCCCAAAGTGCGGGGATTACAGTTGTGAGCCACGGTGCCTGGCCCACTCTAATCTTTTATTATGCAGATGGGTTCTCTGCCTGACTGGCACCATGTTGCCTGCCTCTTTACTGTACCTGTGGTGACAAAGAAAACGGATGATGGAGCTTCCATGTTGGATATGCCCAGCCCTCAGGTGGCCTTTTCCTATTGGTACAGCTGCTGGCATTCATCCACGCAAGTTTCCAGCTTGCATATCTATGTTTGCAGCTCGATTTTTCAGGCTGCTCTTTGTTAGAAAAAAGAAAAAATGATTTGGGGGCTGCTTTTTGTTAAAAGGGAAGCCTTGCCCAGGACTCCTTTACCCTCATTATCTCCCTAAGTAACTCCTTTCTAGCTCCTGTATCACTATAGGCCAGTCAAATTGATACATAAAATTAACCAATGCAGGTTGTTTCTAAAATTTTTTGGTTCTACAAAGAATTATGCAAAAAATAACATTGCACAAACATAATTTTACCTACGGGCATGAACATAATTTCACTAATTCAATGCATATTTATTTTTATATGTCAGGCACAATTTTAGGCACTTGTGTGTGGACACAGTAAAATAAATAAATAAAACCAATCCCTTGCCCTCGTGGAGCTGATACTCTAACTGATGAGACAGATAAACAACAAATAAAAAGTAAAATATCGTATGTCAAATAGCAGTAAGTTCTATTGAGAAAAATAAAGCAGGATGAGGGTGAGAGAATTTTGGTGGTAATGCCAGCTATTTTATGTAGGATTATAAAAAATATTCTTGAGAAGAAAAGTGAATAAGTCATGCAGATATATTGGTGAGTACTTTGCAGACAGAAACAACTGCAAAATCCCTAAGATGGACAGAAGAGAGCAAGGAAGGGAGTGACAGGAGGTGAAGTGAGGAGAGCAAGGTGATAAACCTCATGGAGCGTGGTAGGATTGTGCAAGCACTTTGACTTTTACTTTGAATGAGGAAAGAAGGTATTGGAAAGTTTCAAGCAGTATGATGATTTTCAAAGGTCATTCTATGAGTATATGTATATTGTGAATTCCTAGAAGTGAAATGGCTTGGTAAAGAGTATATGACCTTATAATTTTGAAATATATTGTCAAGTTGTTGTCCATATTAGTTGTAAAGCTTAAACTTCCACTGGAAATTTACAGCACATTTATCAACAAAATGTTGATTATTTTGTTGATAAACAAAAACTATTAACAACAAAAATAGAAAAAAACCTGACATAATGTTTTAAAAATACTAATAGGCAATAACAATCAAGTTTGAATTCTGTACCCAGCTGGAATGTCACTAAAGAATATCTGCAACATAAAAAATACTTTTAGACAAGGAAGTGCTAAGTATTTATTATTAACAAACAATCACTTTAAAAAGTTCCAAAATGTGCTTTAGAAAGAAGATTAAATCTAGGAGAAGAGAATTAAGGGATGCTGAACAAAGAAATAGTAAACACGTGAGTAAATTAAAAGAAGTATTTACACTAAGACAGTAATAATGGTGATAATGAGGATAGTAGTGATAATAAATATTTTGGAATTATAAAACCAAGTATTCATGAAATATTTTATAACAGTGTTCTGAAGAATGGTGAGGATAAATGCAAAGGGGGGAATTGAAATGGAAGTATTCTAAAATCCTTATGCTCACCGGGAAGGTAAAGATATAGACTAAAATTAAATGTTGAAAAGTTAAGTACATGGGAAAAATTAGATAACCAGTTAAAGAATAGAAATAGAACATCTAACATTCAAATCTGATGAAAAAAATGTGGATCAACCAAATAGAAGGAAAAAAAGAGAAAGCTGTAGCTTAGTGAATCATGGCTAATGGAAAGCCAAAGTAAGGTGATAGAAATACATCTAAATACAGAAAAAAACCCACAAGTACATCAGCTTTTTGAAGTATTGGCTTTTGATCATTCTGTAGTACTTAGCTTTCATCTACGCTGAGGGACCACTCTATGACTATAAGATTGCTGGTGTCTAATAATTCCATCTCAGATAACATGCACAGTACCACAGTTAGCAAGTTAATCATGAACTAGGTACACCTCTCAGGATCTTTTTAGTTCTTTATCTTCTTTAATTCCTGCAACACCCTTCATAATAGGATATTAGATGAGAATGCTGTGTCTCAGACAGTTTGGCTTATGCGATTTAAATTCAGAATAGCTCACCCTTAGTTCTCGCCAATATCCACAGCTGCCTTTCCTCTTTGACTCACTTCTCTAATATTTTTTATTTTAGTCAGCATTATTGTGCCAAGCTCTTTTTAGTCTGGTTCAGGTTTTTCACTGGAAAAAGCCTAAAAATTTAGGAGGCTAGGAAGGGTGATAATACTGAGCAGTTTTAAAAGGAAAGGTGATATCATTTGGCTCTGTGTCCCCACCCAAATCTCACCTTGAATTGTAATAATCCCCAAGTGTGAAGGGCAGGGCCAGGTGGAAATAATTGAATCATGGGCATGGACTCCCACATACTGTTCTTGTGATAGTGAGTGAGTTCTCACAAGATTTGATGGTTTTACAAGCTTCTGGCACTTTTCCTTTTGGCACTTCTTCTCTTGCCTGCTGCCACGTATAAGCCATGCCTTCCACCTTCCGCCATGATTGTGAGGCCTCCCCAGCCATGTGGAACTGTAAGTCCATTAAACCTCTCTGTCTCTCTCTTTTTTTTTTTAAATAAATTACCCAGCCTTGGGTATGTCTTTATTAGCAGCATGAGAACACACTAATACAAAAGGACTATCACAAATACAGAATAAGAATGACATTAGAATGATCTCATAACACTCTACTATTCTCACCTTTGCCTCTGATATCAGATGTTTGAGTAACCACTTCTTTGGAGAGAAACAGAATATATGGCCATATTTTATCTCCAGTATCTGAGTATTAAATTTTTTTATAGCTGTCAGTTTTCTACCCATTTCCAAACTCTCATCCCTGTTCTTTTGAGACCACCAAGACAGCAAATTCATTTGGCACAGAATTTCTAAGGATTCCAAGGGAGAGTGGAATCACTCATTGGCTCTATATCATTTGAGAGAGGCAACAACTAATTGTCCTTGGTCCATTCTTAATCAGGCACTTAAAGCATGAACCCAAAATATGATTTACAGCTAGGGTGAGCATATGTCCTGATTCATTCAGGAGAATCCTAGTTTGGATGAATTTTGTAGTAGTATGCTAATGGAGACTTGCCTTAATGGACTTAAATTAGTTTAAAATACAAGACCTTTCCTCCATTTCACAGACAAATAACTCTCAATTCCAAGTCTGAATCCCTAGAGATACTGTCTTGATTGATTTGGGGTAGGATTGAAATCTATGAATCATCATAATTAAAAAAACGTTCCTTAAAATTCTAATGTATAGCCATAATTGAGAATGACCATACCAAGAATTCCAGCTATCAGACAACACTCAGTGAAGTCAAAATACTCCTCCTATGCACATATTCACAGATAGAGTTTGAATTCTTTCTGTTTAGGGCAACAGTGCCTTACAAATAAGGATATTGTCTTGATACGATCATGATTTTTAGTTACTTCCTTTTTATTTATAAATTACCATTGTTTAGCTCCAATATTAGTCACTTACTTTATTATTTCTATTTTGGTTATCCCTGTGATGCCTAGTGATGTTGATTTACATCTATAATTTGACTCAAACTTTCCCAATAACCACATGTTCAGACTGGGAGAAATTGATAACAATATACCCTAAAGGTACGTATAAAACAGGATTTAGATTAAATAATTTACTTTGTAGTCAACATTTATGGAGCACATATTATGGTGCAGTCACTTTGCTAGGTATTAAGATAAAGAGGTGCATGCAGTACAGTTTCTGCACTATAGGAGGGGAAGAGAGAAATGTGGACAATTCGGAACAATAAAGTGCTGTAGACTTTACCATAAACGTAGGCACATTGTGCCAAGAGAATGGCAAGAGGTCTGCCAGGAAATGCCTGACAAATCTTCATGGATGAAGAAACACTGGGCTGAATCCTGGATGCTGTCCAGCTGGACATGAGATAAAAGAAGGTCAGGGCAGAGTGCAGAGAAAAAAAAATTCTGGGCCAAGGGAACAGTGTGAGCAAGGGCACTCAGGGCAGAAACAAGACTGGCTTGGGAATGCTAGGGTTTGAATGTGTCCCCTCCAAAATTCAAGTAATGAAACTTAATGGCCAACGTGATGGTATTAAGAGGTGAGGCCTTGAAGATGTGATTAGGCCGTGATGGATCCTCTCTCATGAATGGAATTAAGAACCTTATAAAAGAGACTTCATGCAGCATTTGGCTTTTTTGCATTCTCACTCTTCACATGTGAAAACACAGCATTCCTTCCCTCTAAAAGATGTAGCATTCAGGGCACCATCTTGGAAGCAGAGAGCAGCCCTCACAAAACATCAAGCCTGCCAGGACCTTGATCTTGGACTTACCAGTCTCCAGAACTGTGAGAAATAAATTTCTGTGTTTTATGAATTACCAAGTCTTAGGTGTTTTGTTATAGAAGCACAAACAGACTAAGATAGAAACTGGTACCAAGAGTAGAATGTTGGCATAACAAAGACCTAAAAATGTGGAAGCAGCTTTGCAGCTGGGTAATGGGTACAGGCTGGAACTGTTTTCAAGTGAATGTTAGAAAAAGCTTGGATTACTGTGAACAGAGCATTAAGGATGATTCTGGGGGCTTGGAAGAAGAGGAGAGATGTAGAGAAAGCCTTAG
Organism: Homo sapiens; assembly: GCF_000001405.40. Taxonomy (NCBI): domain Eukaryota; kingdom Metazoa; phylum Chordata; class Mammalia; order Primates; family Hominidae; genus Homo; species Homo sapiens. Next base: position 27,090,653 of record NC_000008.11, on the reverse strand, counting down.
TCTTAGAGATGATCTAAGTGGCCATTACAGTGAAGACTATTTTGATAAGATCTCCAACAGAAATGAGAAACAAGATGGTGGAAACTGGAGGAAAAGTCATTCTTGTTGTAAAGTGGCAAACAACTTGCTGAATCATTCTATGTCTTAGAACGTTGTGGATGGCAAAACTCGAATGATGAACTAGACATTTGGCAGAAGAAATTTCTAAGCAGCAAAGTGTTCAGGGTGCTGCATGACTTTTCTTAACTACTGGTAGTAAAATGTAAGAAGACAGAAATGATTTAAAGGTAGAATTTATAATCAACAGGGAAGCAGAACACAAACGTTTGGAAAATTTTCTGTCTGATCATGTATAGAATAAAATGTGTTTAGGGGAGAAAACTAAGGGCGTGGCCAAGTGACTGTTTGATAAAGATACTGGTTTGGATAGAAGCAAGCCAGGTGCTATTCATCAAGACAATGGGAGAATGACCCTGAAGGCAATTTGGAAATCTTTAAGGCTGCCATAACTATCACAGGTTCAGAGTGCCAGGGCCTTAAAGGCAAAACGGTTTCAAGGGAGATGCCCATGGGACCTCAGGACTTACTGCCCAAGGTCATTTCAAGTCTCTGCTCCCTCCATTCTGGTGCTCCTTGGCTACTCCATCTGTGCTTAAGTGGGTCTAGGTATAGCTTGGGCTGCTGCTTCAGAGGACACAAGCAGTGAGCTTTGGTGGCATCCACATGGTGCTAGCTCTGCAGGTATGCAGAGGACAGGAGCTGTAGCAGTATGTCTACCTCCACCCAGATTCTTAAGAATACTGCAGAAAGCCCCAACTAGGGCAATGCCCAGCAGAGCCATGCGAGTGGGGACATCCCCAAGATTTCAGACTTACAGAGTCATCAGTGTGCAACTCTATCCTGGAAGAACTGCAGACACTGGACTTCAACCCATGAGAGCTGCAGCATGGACTGTGCCCAGCGAAGATATGGGGGTGGGGCCACCAGGACATTCAGGGACCTAACATTCACCCAAGTGTGTCCAGAAAGTGGGGCATGGGGTCAAACAAGATTATTCTCAAACCTCAATTCTTCATGTTTGCCCTATTTGATTTTGAATTTACTGGGAGCCTGTTACCCCTTTCTTCTTGCCTATTTCTCCCTTTTGGAGTAGAAATATCTATTCTGGAGTAGAAATATCCAAACACCACTGTGTTTTGGAAGCACATAACTTGTCGATTTTACAAGCTAACAGCTAGAGGAAAATTTGTTTCAGGATGAATCATACCCTGAGTCTCACTCACATGTTTAGATGACACTTTGGACTTAGACTTTAATTTCTATGCTGGAATGAGTTAAGACTTTTGGGGGCCATTGGAATGGAATGAATGTACTCTGTGTGTGAGAAGGACATGAATTTTTGGGGGCCATAGGAAGAATGCTATGGTTTGAAAGCTGTTCTCTCCAAAATCCATGTCACCAACATGATAATATTCAAAGGTAAGGACTTCGAGAAGTGATTAGGCCAAGAGGGCTCCTCCCTCTTGAATGGGATTAAGGCTTTTACAAATGAGATTCATGCAGTGTTTGGCTCATGCCCTACCACCTTCCTCCATGTGAGGACATAATGTTCCTCCCCTCCAAAGGGTACAGCAGCAAGGCACCATCTTGGAAGCAGAGAGCAGCCCTCACCAGCATGCAACCTTCTGGTGCCCTGATCTTAGAGTCCCCAGCCTCCAGAACAGTAAGAAAATACATTTATGTCATTTATAAATTACCCAGTCTCAGGTATTTTGTTATAGCAGAGCAAACAAACTAAGACAGGGACATTAAAGGATAGTGAATATGCTATTGATTCACCATTGTTGCTACAGGCTTGGTGACGCACATATCTACTATTTAAATTAACTTATTTTATATATGTGCATGATGTTTGTTTCTTATCATCAATGTCTGTTATTTTGCATACATTATTATTATTTTTATTTTTAGACGGAGTCTCGCTGTGTCGCCGAGGCTGGAGTGCAGTGGCATGATCTCAGCTCACCGCAACCTCTGCCTCCCAGGTTCAAGTTATTCTCATGCCTCAGCCTCCTGAGTAGCTGGCATGTGCCGCCATGCCTGGCTAATTTTGTATTTTTAGTAAAGACAATGTTTCTCCATGTGGTCAGGCTGGTCTCAAACTTCTGACCTCAGGTGATTTACCCGCCTTGTTCCCCCAAAGTGCTGGGATTACAGGCATGAGCCACCGTGCCCAGCCACATTTTATTTTTATTAAACAATTCAATAGTACTTTTTCTCTTTTCAGGACTTTGAGAATTAATATAAAGAGTGGAATCACTCATTGGCTCTAAATCTTTTGAGGCAGGCAACAACAAATTGTCCTTGATCCATTGTTGACCATGCATTCAAAGCATAAACCCCAACATATGATTCACAACTAGGGTTAACATACATCCTGGTTCATGCATGAGAATCCTAGTTTGGATGAAAATTTATGGTGGTATACTAGTAGAGAGTTGCCTTAATGGACTCTTAAGGGACTTAATGACTTAATGAACTAATATAAAAATGTAGAAAATATGGCTTCAAAAAAAAGGAAACTAAAAACTCCTACCATTTTTCCACAGAGACCACTAGAAACTTTTTTCTTCACATGTGCTCTGGTGTTATATGTATCAAAGTTTTTGTTTACAACAATATATCTTGAACTTTATTCTGGGCCATTAATAGTCTTCTACAGTCTCAGTTGTCCTTACTTTTTTATTATGTAAGCAATACATGTTCATTATTTTAAAAAATAGAAAATATAGATAACCATAAAGAAAATAATAAAAATTGCCTAGCATTTTATGACCCAGAAATAATATTTTGGGGTCCATTCTTCAAGATATTGAAGAACGCATATACAGTTTTATTACTTGTTTTTTAACATGTTTTTATGTTAATATACCACAAACATATACATTTTCTAGAAAGCTATTGTTTAATATCATTTTTCCATTAATTAAAAACAATAGCCAATTGAGTACCTTTTCTGTCCTATTAACTCTGCTAGGATTTTGCATTTGTTATTATGCTTTTCTTTTTCCACAAAATTAGAATAAGGTTGGCATTATGGTCTCTGTTTCACAGATGAGGAATCTGAAGCCCGAAAAAGTTCAGTGGTTTATCCAGGGTCTCACAACCCATATATAACAAGTCAAGATTCAAACCCAGGTCCTCGTACACACAGGTCATCTTTTTCAAATAAATGGCAAATGTAAGGACAGTGGAGTTAGTGAATGCACAGTCCCAACGTACAGAGGCCTCTCACTAGCTAGGAGCTCACTCCTCCTTCCCTAAAAGAGAGCAGAACAAACTGAGTCCAGGTTCTCTCTCCTTTGGTAGCTTCCCAAGAGGCTGATGTTTTCTTCTCCTTCCTTTACAGTTTTGCAAATACTTGCTTTTGGCATCAGCGTACAGTTTGGCATCTGCTTTGGAAATATTCTTGCAACTAAAGGCAGAAAAGACATCTTTTGTGAAAGGTAAACCACAGGTATATTTTGGCTGCAGCAGTCAGGGGAATAAATACAAAAAGAGAATAATGGCTTTGTCATTGGTTTTCCGTGCTTAAGAAGCAGGTGTTCCTCTGGTGCCCGCAGGAGCAGCCACCCCTGCTTGGGTGAGTGCAGGACGCCTCTCCAAGGTGGCTGCACACAGCAGGTGAACTGCTCACTCAGAAAGGGTCATGGGCGGACTGGATCTGCAACCTGCCGAGAACGCACCAGGCGGGTCCCTGAGCTGAAGGCTTGTCAACAGTACTTACCACAAACAACTCTTTCGGCTCAACTCTTTCACATTTGTGATCATCTCACCCTGAAACATCCCCAAAGTTAGCCAATCTGCTCTCTCTCACCAACTTTCTTACTTTACTCCTACTATTTCTTACGGGAATGGGCTGTTCCCTTAGACTTGAGGGGCAGAGGGATGAAGTTTAGAAACAAAGCATTATTTATTCTTTTTTTTTTGACATGGAGTTTCGCTCTGTCTCCCAGGCTGGAGTGCCAGTGGCACGATCTCAGCTGACTGCAAGCTCCGTCTCCTGGGAGCTGCCTCAACCTCCTGTGTAGCTGGGACTCCAAGCACCCGCCACCACGCCCGGCTAATTTTTTGTATTTTTAGTAGAGACGGGATTTCACCGTGTTAGCCAGGATGGTCTTGATCTCCTGACCTCATGATCCGCCCGCCTCCACCTCACAAAGTGCTGGGATTACAGGGGTAAGCCTCCGCGCCTGGCCCAAAGCAACATTTATTCTAATCTGAGAGTGTTTAATGGCAGATCAGTCTGTGGAAATAATTCTGCATATAAGTAAGGCAAAGAGGAGGGAAAGGAAGGCACTGGCATACCTTAACCACTGAGATAAGTGGGATGCTTTCACATCCATCGTGTTGGTGAATGTCCACAGTACCCCCAGGTGGTAGGAATCACTGGTCCCAATTCACAGACTGGGAGATTGAGGTGCAGACAGATCGGCTTGTCCCAAAGTTGGTAAGTGGCACAACAGTATTTTAATTCCGACTCTTTATGATTCCAAAGCCTCTCCCCAGATATTTCTGTTGGAAAACACTCAGAGGACAGACATTAATATTTAAGGAACACATTTTCATTATCTATTTACATTATGAATGTGACAGAAGGGTTTATTGGTCTGCTGAACAGATCAACAAGTCATTTTTGTTTTGTTTTGTTATTTGAGCTGGCTTTTGCCAGGCAATATAATTTTTTAATCACTTTATTGAGGTATAGTTGATGTACAATAGGACTGCACATGTTTAATGTATACAATTTGACAATTGGATAAGTTGGACGTATCAAATCTGTATGATGTCACAATCAAGGTAATAGATGTATCCATCACCTTCAGAAGTTTCCTTATGTCTCTTTCTGGGCTTTTGTTTGTTTGTCATCTTCTTCTTCTTCTTTTTTTTTTTTTTTTGAGATAATAACCCTGAGATCCTCCTTCTTAACAAATTTTGAAATGTGCAATACCATATTGTTTACCATAGGCATAATGTTGTAGAGCAGGTTGCTAGAACTTTTTTATCTTGCACAACTGAGACATTTGCCCATTGAATAACATCTCTCCACTTCCCTTTCCCTCCAGCTCCTGGCAAGCACCACTCTATTCTCTGCTTCTATCAGTTTGAATCTTTTAGTTTTTACATATAAGCAGAACCATTCAGTATTTGTCCTTCTTCTGGCTTACTTCACTGAGTATAATGCCCTCCATGTTTTAATAGTCCTTCAAGGTCCCAAATTCCTGGATGTGTCTTTGCAGGTGACCACAAGGAGGTGCCCAAGCACAGAATACTGGTTTTCCCAGGAATTTTAATCTCTGGCATTAAAAAATAAAAACATCTTTGAGTTGCTGTTTGTTTCAAGTTGCTATCTGGGACTTTCCATGGACTAGCAGTTCTTAAATTGCTGGGTGATTAGTGTGACACTAGGAGTTAAAGGTTCAGGAATGGGGAATTTTAAGGGGATTGCGTATAAGTGAAGAGCCTAGCACAGTATCTAGGACACAGCAGGACCTCCATAAATGTGTGTTTTCCTTTTCTTCTTCCTTCTTCTTCCCTGCCTTTCTCTGCCTCCACCCCACTATTTCTTACTCACTGTCTTTTCTTATCGTTTCTTTTCATTGAGTCAAGAAACCTCCTAAGGAATCAAATTACACAAATTTCAGAGTAAAGGAAATTCCGCCAGTCAACCGAGGACTAAACCACGTTCCATGCCTCTGGGGTAGCACACACATAGCCCAGACCAGTCTTTTTAGGAAGCTCGTGCCGCATCCTGAAGGAAAAAGAAGTAGACTTCAGTGTTAGATTTCAGTTCAAATCCCAGCTCAACACAAAGTCATTAGCTGTGTGGCAAAGGCACTTTTGCACACCCTGCCTGATCTTCAGTCTCCTTTTTCACAAAGCAAGGGCAATCCCTGCCTCATAGGAGGACGGCAAGGATTGCATGAGGAAACATGGGAAAGCACCACCAATAGTCCTTTGCATCTTGTAAGCATTGATAAACTCTCTAGTTAAAACAAAAATTTAAAAAGAAAGCCCTCCGCTGGCCTTTATGGGGGAGGCTTAGGGGTGAGAAGCAAAAACTTGACGTCTCAGTAATGCTCAACTCCTGTGGCCCTACGTTTCCCTGAGGGATGGCCCAGCCTGCACAGGATGCCTTGCTCTGTGTGGCGGGCCCCTCAAGCTCAGAAAGAACAAGTCCCATGGGGCTCAGAGAGGGAGAGGGGACAGCATGCACATCAACTCTGTTTACCTTTGGGGCCACAGACTTGCCACTACTTCCCACGGAAATTCATTTATGAGAAAAATCTCCTGGTTGGACTGATTGGGCATAAGGGGCTTAACTTTATATAAATATGTAGAACGTGTGTGTGTGCATGTGTGCAAGGGTAAAGGACAGGCAAGGGACTTCTTTGCCTCTCTATTGTATAAATCATGAACTATAAATAAGTAATTTAACAGAAAGCTCCCCCAAATCGTGCCCTTCTAAACTGGAGTGTGTGCATGCAGAATCACATCGGAAATGAAGAAGATGGTAATTCCAGTATCAGGGTAGCCAGAACAGAAAACATGTAAAGTTTATTGATGATCTTGGGGGGCTAATAAGGTTGGTTTATGCCTAACGCCTACCAAAACATAGATGCTTAATAGCTTAGCTGGGTGACTATGTTGAATCGTCCTTGTCACAGGGTCTTTGACAGAGCCAGGATTTCCTGCAAAAATACGAAGAGCTAGACTTGGCAATACAGACCTGGGAGTCAGCTCCATAAGGGTTACCTCACTGCAGCCTTCAGGCCAGCAGATTCCCACACAGAAAGGAGATGTTGCTATGACAAGCCAGGCTTGTTCCCAGCTTGGACTCATGCCAGCCATACCCCTTGCCTGGAATGCTCTTACCTCAGGTCTAGGGACCAACTTCTGTGGCTAATTCAGTTCTCAGATTAAATGTCACCTCCTTAGACTGCCTTTCCCTGATTGTTCTCATTCTAGAGTGGTCCAATGCAGCCTCTCCATCACGCCTCTCTTTGACTTTCTTTAGAACATTTACCACGCCCTGAAATTTTCTTGTTTATTTGCTTAGTGCTTATGTCCCCTTCACTAGAATTTAAGCTCAATGAGAATAGCAGCTTTGTCTTTCTATTTCTCTCATTAGCTCCTGGCACAATGTCCTGTAGTAATAGAATAATAGGAACTCAACAAATATTTGCAGAATGTTGAAGGAAGATATTATGCTTTCTTTCACCATAAAGACCAAAGTGCTCTACTTAACTTTTAAAGAGGAAATGGTAGCCACTTAAACAAAAAGGCAACAGAAAAAAGCAACTGAATAAAAGCACATACTTAAAAAATCTTGCTTGTGTTTTAAATTTTTGCAAAAGGAGACATAATTAAAGTGTTTCAGTCTCCCCCTGGACCTCTGACAGCAGAATTAGCATGAAGGAGAACAGTACATAATAGAAAGTGAAGGTAAGCATTAAAGTGTTGTTTGTCTCATGCAAATTGCACAATCTAATTCTGATTCACGATGGAGGAAAAAAAAAAACCTCTTTTCTCCTGAAGTCTTAGAATTGATCAATGTCAGCTGAAATGCTTCAGAAATGCCTTAACTTTGGGTGTAGACTTTATGTAAAGGAGTATTTATTGGACACTTCCGAAATGCTGTCAACTACCCTAGGCACTGTTGTAACAATGATAAAAAGACCAAGTCTTCTCTCTCCATCTCCCAAGGAGTTCACAGTCTATAGGGTGGTAGAGGTAAGCAAAACAACAGTGTGAGAAGTGGTATAAATATGGGGTGTCACACAAGCACAAGGAATTGCTGGTGGTTTCATGAAAAATGTGGCTTTGCAGTAATGAAGTTGAGGAAAATTTAACAGTCTTCAAAGATGTGCCTTAATGGTAACAGCAGCTGATGGATAAATGAGAAATGTACAGAAATCAAGTTTAACAGTGGACTTTGAGCAGATGTGATGAGTCAATCACCATGCTTTTACTGAGTGCTGCCCCTGTACCAGAACTCTCCTGGCTGTTGTGCGTTCATCTTTCAAGACACTCACAGCTTACCACCCTGCTGGGTCAGTGAAGGTGTCCAAAATGCGCATAAGATTGTTTTCTTTCTTCACCGGACTTTGGATCTCAGTGGCCCACAAGAAGAGTGTCTGTTGGCACTGACGAAGCCATCAGAGTGCCTTTATTTTGCCCCACTGGCATGCAGACCTTCTGACCAGACCCTCAAAGGAGGTTGAAATGGGAAGGGAGTCTGTCAGATAAACTCAAAGGCCATCTGTAGGCTCTGGGAATTTACTCCAAATCCTTTGGGAAAATACATGTCCTCACTCCTGTTGCTGTTGCAGCAAATATCTTCCCTTCTGAAAAGCTATTCATCTCTTTCTGTTTTGTATGTATCTCCTGGATCGGGCCCAAGTTCTGTTGAGATGGGTGGGCTAATTTGATTTATGACAGCAGAGAAATAGGCTTTCAGTTATTTTTTGAGTCAGAAACATCTTAGAACTCCAAAATAAATGGTGACAGGAAGTATAGTCCATGCCAAATGCCCTGCATCGTGTTGAGTTAGGGTGTCAGATTTAAAGAGAATGTTGATAGCATTTGCTCATTAAGAAGTTTGCTACTTCCTTGTTCAGAAAGGCATGAGATTGAATCCTCCAAAACGTTTACCCTCTTCCCCATTCTGGTTTCTTTGCTCAAACCTGGCTCCTTCTTGAATTTCTTCTTCCTGTCACTACGGTTTCGGATCAAGTGATTTCATGGAGAATGACGTAGCCAGGATAATGCTGCTGTTTCTGCCTCTGCACAGCCTGGCTGCTGGTCACTGCAGCTCTTCCTAGCAGTGCCTGGTTGGGCGTGTGAGTGGGGGTGATGGTGAGAGCAAGGCCACTGACACCCCTGGTAGAGATGGGGGAAGCAGACAACTGAGCTGACTGGAAGACTCCAGTTGGCACACTGCCATCACACATACACCTAGCAGTGAGTACACACCGACCCTGCCTCTGTAAGTCCCTGGAAGGGTATCTGATTGTAGTTCAGCCAGTAACCCAAAGACAGAGCTCCACGTTCCCGGGGTTAGCAGTCCCAGAGATGAAAACCAACATTTCCTGTGTACTTACAGGCAGAAAACATTAAGAATGCCTTACCCCGACAAGCAGAAAATATCAGTGAATTCAGTCAGGGTTTAAATACAGTGCCTAACCTTATTAAGAAGAGATTGGAGATATTTGGGCCATGTCACCAAAGCTTTTAAATCAACATTATGGGAAGTAACTCCCACAGATCTTGCCAAAGACAGATATATGGGTTGCAGTTTTGATATATACTGTGGCATTTGGGAATGTACTTATGTCTAAAGGGTCCCAGAATGTTAATTATTTCTTTTTAGTTAGAGTGAATTATTACACATATTTAAATGAAAAGTTGAAGACAATAGCAGTGGAAATAAACAGTAAAGAACCACCCCTTTTCCCTTCCATATACACATTGCTTCAACTACCACCATCACCATCGCAACCACGGATAACTGGCATAACTGGCACCATCATGGACCCAACACCAGGAAGTCTATTTACAGACATGATCTTGTTTAACTATTAGAGAAAAACCTACAAAGAAAATATTATTATCATTTCCATTCTACAGATGGAAAAGTAGAATTTTCAAAGGGTTGTAAACTGACCCATAGTTGGTAAATTGCAGAGTCTGTCTTAACAAGCTTTGTGATTTCAAAGACCTTGCTCTCTGACATAATACAACTTTCTTTTAATGAGAAGTGGCTATGAGAAGTGGGATGTTCCACTTTCCCTCCAATACGTATTTCCCATGCTTCGGTTTGACCTCTCATCGGGATCATGCATTTCCAGCTTTCAACTAATGGTTTATTCTTACATGTATCATCTGGCCTTTCTTAAAACATAAACCCATCCACAAAACAAATGCCACTAAACAAATACCAGATCAAGATAGTATCTTTAAGTTTTGCCCTTAAAAAATTCCTTCCAAAAGAATGATAAATTACACTGCTTAGTGTAATGCTAACTTCCTCCCCTTCAGTTATTTGCTTATGTGATCCACTCTTCTCTGTTCCTGTCCTTTCTGTAAACCCTGATGAGGTTGACTTGAAACCTGGCAATTTGGAGGCTTTTTCACTTCTTCCTTAGGAACAGCTAGCAGTGATTTATTTCCTACCTGTGAGCTGTATAGACCACACCTCTCCCTTGCAGCCTTAGGAGCAAGGAGTCAATCTTGACTTAGGCCCAGACACGTTTTCCTAATTTGCTGATGAACTCAGTCAGTTTTCTGCTGGCCTCTGGCTCTTTCCTGCCAGCATTATCTGCATTGGGGTTTGCCAGATGCTTCCATTGGGCCTTGTTTATCCAGGTTAAATTTTTAATGCTGCTGCACCTCTGCTCTTCCCACCAGACTATGATTCCATGGCAGGGACAAATTTGCATTCACTTTTGTAGTTCTGGTTCCTGGGGTGGGCCAGGCATGATGGGTAGGACTGTGGTATAAAACTGGAAAGAAGGAAGGAAGGAGGGAAGGAAGTAAGGAAGGAAGGGAGGGAGGGAGGGAGGGAGGGAGGGGAAAAGAGAGAAAGGAGGGGAGGAAGAAAGGAGAAAGAAGGAAAGAAGGAAGATGGAGAAGGAGGAAGAAAGGAAGACATGGAGTTATTATTATTGTCATTGAGTTTCTCTTTGTATGATTTACTTTCCGGTGAAGTTACTTGAAGCAGAGAGAGGATGGAGAAGAAGAGGCTGATATTCTCCACCTGACCTCTCGGACTTCTCCAAAAGATGGGATTTAATAGGAAGTTAAGAGCACCAATTCAGAAATGAGATTGTTGGGGTTCAGAATCGCAGGTCTGCAACTCACTACTTGGATGACTATGGGCAAGTTTCTTAACCTCTCTGTTCCTCATTTCCCTCCTCTGTAAACATGGAGAAAATGAAAGTATCTGTTCCATAGGAGTTTAGTGAGGAATATGTGAGTAAACATATAAATGACTGGGAGAAGTGCCAACACATAGAAAGAATGAGTTTACAATTGTTGTTATGAGAAAGCATTTAGCTGTAAAAATTTAGGGACTTATCTCCAGGAAAAATATTCATTCATTTGTTCTCTAAACATTCATTAGACACCTAATTTCTCCCATGCATTGTGCTAGGTGTTAGGGAAGAGGCCTAATTAAGATACGGATGCTGTAAAGTTTGTATCATTAATTAGGCATCAAATCATTTTTACAAAGGAAAAGAGCAGAGTGTTCGGAGGGTGAAGAAGGTGGAGGTGGGGCAGGGGATGTTGCCCACTCTGAGGGCTGGGGAGAGAAGTCTACTTTGGGGTCGGCAAGCGAGCAGAGCAGAGCTGGTGACACTCCTGGCTTCAAAGTCCACATATGCTGCCTGTCTCCTCCTGGCCAACTCTTTCATTTCTGCTCCGGAGCCACTGGGGGCACTTCAAAGATCAGCAGCTCTGAGCATGGGGAGGTGGTGCTGTTGGACATCATTACCAGACTTTCCAAATGCCTGTTCCAAACGGTACAGTGCGGAGGTTCTCCAAGGCAGCGCTGTCGGTAGGAGATATCAGCAGGCATGCAACAGGGCTAAGGCGGGCACCAGTGGAGCTGAACCAGTCATATGGGAACACTAGCGGGGCGTCTCCCTGAAGATGCCAGGGGGTGAAGCCCTGCCTTGGTTGGGGAAGGCTTGGAGCTGATTCCATTTGGACATTCATGTTGCATGTCCTTACTTGCATGCACTTGAAGCCTGCTGATGTCCGGGGCCGTTTGGGTTACACAAATAAATAAGCATTGTGCAAGTTTTTCTGTTGACTGTGGCCGTTTTCATAAAAGCTTCAATTTCTTCCATCTATGCCTAAAATCTATAGAGAGTTAAAGCATAAACCAGTCCTTGGACCCTTTCCCATTTGTTTTTTCCTCGAAGTGTGTAACATCTGATAATTGCCTTTTTTCCCCTCAGTATATTATTAAGAATTGATTACTGTGTTTTTCATTTTTAGCATGTATTTTGTGTTTCTGGCCTAAAATTGTTATGATACTATATATTTCTGGAGAAGGATTCATTTTTAAATCTAGCCTCTGGAAATATGAGACCTTTTTGGTATTTTGGGGTCTTTATATGAACAAGATGTCAAATTCTTGATTTCATTATATCATTGAAGGCCTGGGAATGGCTGGCTTTGTGAGCCATAATAAAGATCTGGTTTTCTTTAAAAAGGAAAGACAGAAGAACCAGAAATTATTCTTATGCAGTTTTACATGAGACTTCTGATTTCTTCCATATTTGAAATTTACCAGATATTCTCAGCAAAAATGTGCTCTATTTACGAGAACGAGGCTGATGAACTTGGAGAGATAATATTACCTTATTTATAGAAGTCAGCTCTGATTGTATCAATTTTACTGATGTGTGTGTTTATATATATATTATACTTAATAATGTTTCATATAATATATTATTGCAGGAAGCAAATTTTCTAATTTTATTTACTATGTATAAAGACTATTGAATACTATAGTGTATAATAAAATATTATAGTATATAATATAGTCAACATTTTTACAATATATATTTACTACATTATTCACTGTGTATAGTATATATAAATTGGCTATATATGTTATTTATTACATACAAGAATATTATAATATTTAACACATGTATAATACTTATTACATATTAAATAAAATGGGGGGGGGGTGTTATTCCTGGAAAAGAAAATTTAAACCACTACCCAGATACTGTGATTAATTAGTGATTTTCCTCTTGCCTTTAATCTTGAACAGTTACTATGTGTGTTCATGTGAAAATGGCCAAGTCATGGACTATTAATATAGGCAAATAATATGACTTGTGGAAAAGGTGCATTTAAGGAATACTGTTTCTGGAGCGATACAAGCTGATGCAAGCAGAGTTAACGTTCAGGGTTGTCCTCAAATACCAGGTGACATGACCTGATCATGCCCTCCCACCTTCTCATCCGGGATGGCCACTGGCTGGTAACCTGCTCTACCCATGGGCTCTTCTGCCTCTCGCTAGCTGCTCCTGATGGGAGGATCCCCTGCCCCCGAGCAGCCCCACTATGAAGCCAACATTTTAGAAAGATCAGAAACGACCTCGTATGACAACGGCTCAGATGCAGCACAATCTTTCAAGGTGGATGGCAGATGTGTCTTCTACATAAACATTCCCATTCCCTCTAACGAGGTGTGTCTTCCTTGTGTCCTAGCTCTATGTCAGGTTGCTTTTATTTTTCTCATGGCACTTAGGATTGGTGAGCTTTTGAAGAGTAGAAAATTAATTATCTTTGAAAAGTAATTCCTCACCACCTACCCCCGCAATGCCCTGCCAGGTAATACAGAAGTGGTTTTGAATGAATTAATGGAACAAAGTGTCAAGTAGGATCTGTGGGGTTTTTTTGTTTTTTGTTTTGTTTGGTTTCTTAATCATGCATTACCTGAGCACCACTTTGGTGGATAAAAGTTCTCTTCTGCGTCTTTGTCAAGGGGACAAGCCACAATACTGGGAACTGATCTTGTAATTTGATGCTGGTTTTTCTCTCTGAAGGATACTATTATCATTGATGTTTATTCTTCTTCCTCCTCCTTCTCCCCATCCTTGTTCTTCCTTCTCTCTCTCTCTCTCTGTCTGTCTCCTCTCTCTTTCTCTCTTCCTTCTTCTCTCCCTCCCTCTCGGGTTGCCAGATAAAATTCAGGACCCTCAATTACATTTTAATTTCAGATAAACAACGAATATTTTCTTACTATAAGCATGTACCAAATATTGCATAGGACATACATATACTAAAAATATTCATTGTTTAATGAAAATTAAATTTAACTGCATATTCTTTATTTTTACTTGCTAAATCTGGCAATCCTACCTCTTTGAACTTTTTTCGGTACCTTAAAGAATAGAAAAAACGACTCTATGGAAACCTTCCTGCCTTTGGCCCTATTATCAAAGCCCCAAATCTACCATATTCTTAAAAGTTCCTGAGAAAAGAAGGCACACATTGTAAATAACACTGGGCAATGAAATCAGAGGTCTTCTAGTTCTAACATCAGGAACATAACACACACACCACGCTCTTTTTTTTTTTCTTTGCATTTTAAAAGGGAGAATTACACAGCTGAAAGAGAAGCAAGGTAGCATTAACTTTCCTAAGAAGGACTGTGTGGCACCCAGTTTAGAAAAATAGTCAGTAAGAGAAATTCAATAGGGAGGCATTTTTCTTGCAGTTGATAATTTTTCTCAGGCACCCTGTGGATGGCACCCAGGAGAATTTGGAAGATTTAGAGTTACTATACAAGGGCCATCTCGAGGATGGTATTTGACCTTTCTTCTTTTGTTATCATTGCAAGGACAGCTTTATCTTTTAAAAATATTTTTACTTTTTTTAATTTTCAGAGACAGGGTCTTGCTCTGTCACCCAGGCTGGAGTGCAGTGATCATAGCTCACTGTAACCTTGAATTCCTTGGCTCAAGTGATTCTCCCACCTCAGCCTCCCAAGTAGCTGGGACTATAGGTGCACACCATCACACCCAACTTAAATTCTCCTTTGTAGATGCAGGTTCTCGCTTTGTTGCCCAGGCTGGTCTCAAACCCCCTTCGCCTCAAGAGATCCTCTGGTCTCCACCTCCCAAAGTGCTGGAATTACAAGCATGAGCCACCACACTAGCCAGCCTTATCTTAATATGAGAAAAACTGAAACTATAACAGTGCCATGTTTTCATATTTGTCATGTTGATTTTTAAAAGGTGTGCATTTCTAGAATGCTGTCTCACTTTGGGCAGATAGAGGACAGCATTTAAGCTTTTCATCCAGCAAAGAGAACAGAAAGGAGGCTTCCCTGGAGCCAGAAATTCAGCGTTCCAGCTCAGCAGTGCTGCTAACTGGTTGCGAGATCTTAAATGTAACAGGCAGTGTCTCTGATCCCTACAAGGGAGTCAGTATGAGATCTCTCAGGTCTTTTCTTGTTCACAGTCCTATGATTTCCAGAATGATTCAGAAACATTCATGGCATGTGTCCTTCATGAAATACTCCCTTCCATGTTGCTGGGGTTCCTGGCTTATTTCCTATCTCATCTGCGTCTCTCCCCTTTGCTCTGCATATTCAACAGTAGGGAAAAGTTCTGTGGAAAGCCCCTGAAATAGCAACAGCCAAGGAGCCGACATGGAGTCCACTCGGCTCCACTGGGCCCAGACCCTGCCAAATACTTGTCGTCAAGTCACCAGTCGTACATGGGAAGGGACCAGTGCTCAGCGGCTGTGGCTTAGACTTGTAAGTGATGTTATTAGCCTCCTCAGAGAACCAGTGCCAATGAGGAAGTTGCTCAGAGAGCCCCTAGGAAACCAAAACACTAGCTAAAGAAAAAGGCTGGCTTGGCCAGCAGCCGATTAACCGCTTGTGTTCTGGCTGGGGTGCGGGTGGAAGGGTGCGTGGCGGTGCCCTCTCCATCCTGATTCCCAGAGCCCTCCAGCTCCCATGGCAACTCTTAGGGGTCCTTGAAAGAACTCTTAGCCTGGACAATTTGTATCAATTTTGTGCCCAGAATCAGTGTTGGGCACCACCCCAAATTCAAAAGGTGGTAGAATTCTAGACCTTGAACATTGACGGCTGGTGTCCAGAAGTAAACTTTTGATGAAAATCCTGTGATTGGCTTTACATTCCGGGCCTTGAAATCACGGTACTGAACATGGAATAAATGAACCCTTAGTAGAGGACTTGCTCAAGAAGAAAGTGGTTTCTGGTGATTGGTATCTAGGAATAGGAGTTCATGGTAACTGTTTCCAGCTTTATCAGTCACTGGACAGAAACCCTTGGAAATAAAGGTGGTTCTTCCTCTATATGATGGTGGTTTGTAACTTTTTATGAATCCAGTTTTGTAAAAGTCCTAATGGGGACAAATATTCTTTGAAATACAGAATTATATATTACCCTGAATTCACTGTATTAAGTCTCTTAAAACTAACCTTACATACACTTTTTTCTAACACTAAAATCTGGGATGTAAATGTGTTCTGAAATATGGGCTGCAGTTTCCATGAAGAGATAAAAAAATTCACATCTTCAAAGATATGCCATCTGCAATAAAAATCACAAGGTCACCACATTTAGGAATGCAATGCTACTGTAATTTCAGTTAAAGGAGGAAAATAATATAGCCATTCTTTCTCATGGTGCTTGCAGTTTACAGAGGGCTCTTCCTTGTATCAGTTTATTTTAAGTCTGCTAACATATCTAAAAACCTGTGATCCTCCAAACTTTGCACCCGGCATAGAAAATATGAAGGTGACTAAGAAAACTCATCAAAGTGGGTTATTGTCCTTTGGGATGGACAATACAACATGAACAGATAATTAAAATACAGTGCCCTAGATGAGAGCTATGTGTGCTGTGCAGAGAAAAAAGCAAGAGGAACCCCTAATCTAGGTGGGGTGGGGCTAAGACTTTCTGAGGAGATTATTCCATTGAGAACTTATAATAATGCTAATATTCCTTATTTATTTAATTTATTTTTTAGGGCAGGGTCTCACTCTGTTGCTGGGGCTAGAGTGCAGTGGTGCCATCATGGCTCACTACAGACTCAACCTCCTAGGCTCAAGTGATCCTCTCACTTCAGCCTCCCAAGTAGCTGGGACTACAGGCACAAACTTTCACATCTGGCTAATTTTTTGATGTTTTGTTGAGACAGGGTCTCGCTATGAGGCCCAAGCTGGTCTCAAACTCCTGAGCTCAAGCCATCCTTCCTCTTCAGCTTCTCAAAGTGCTGGGATAACAGGTGTGAGCCACCACGCCCAGCTATAATCCTAATATTTCTATTAAACAGAGAAGAAAATCAAAGTTGAGAAATTCACCGGAGTATTTCTTACAAAGAGCAGAGCCAACACTTGAATCCATATCAACGCCAAGTTCCTGCTCTTTCCACTGTATTGGTAACAAATGTTTTTCTCTTTACTGTTTCTAAAAAAAATTACTAATTCAATAAACTCAATCACGTTTTAAAAAGCGGAAATGCATTTCTTTTCTCTTAAGCTTCTCTTCCATAAATGTTCTCATCTTGACAGCATACTCTAGATTTAAAAATCTTACACGTCAAGAAAACTTTATAGTTGAAACATCTAACAATGTTAGCTTTTTTCTATATTCCATCAGCATATAAATTTCTTGAGTTTTTTTTCTTCTGGAAACAGCAGGCTTGAGTCTGAAAATTAGAAGTGACTTAATGCTAAAGCCAGGCTGTTGAGGAATCAGGGTGTGGACTGCATATAGAGAATAAGATCTGAGCTGAATGTTGAGGTCAATACATTATTGCAGAAATCGGAGTCTTTAAGGAGAAAATTCTTCACGTTGGAAAACAAGACTAAATACAAGGACGTTAGTGAGTTATAGTCTGAATTTTCTTTTCCATGCACATGAGTGTGGAAGGTGGGGAAAAGTAGAGAAGTTCCTCCCATACGCTGATGAGGCAGGAGATGAATGAGAAGGATTCCAAGTAAAAGCCCAGAAACTGTATGAGTCCTTGCAGCCAGATCATATCATACCTGGAGTATTGAGCATGGAGTAAGGCTTGTAAGAAATGAGAAACCTGTACCAAACGTAGGCTAGCATTTTCCATATAGTGGCTTGTAAATATTGCTGCTCCAAAATCCACAAGGGAAACAGGGCATAAATTACAAACAAGAGGCAGAATTTACGCGTGAATGGTGATTTGAGCACTAATGTTGGAAATACGCTACAATCTTGGGGGAATTTCTATTGGATGTAGAGCAGCAGGGTCCAAACTGAAGAAAGACACTCTCAGTGACTGTGGAAACCATCAGTGTTTCAGTTCTTGCAAATGTTAAAGAAAGGGGAGGATTGGTATCTACTGTCGAAGCAGTTTTAACCAGTATCCCTTGGATTACCAACAAGATTACATTTTTTAATGTTTTAATTCATATTTCATATTTATTATGCTTATTTTTTATAAATAGCTTATTCATTCCCTTTGTCAATTTTTATATTGGAGTGCTTAGCTTTTTTTTGTTTAAGATAAATCTGAAGAGTTTTTGTTTTTTATTTTTAAATGAAAGATATTTACCCACTTGCTTGTTAAAACATATCGAATTTTTCCTTGGGGATATAATTATTCTGTTTTACATATTGTTAATTACATGCCCCAACACCATTTATGGACTAATCCATGCTTTTTCAAACTATTTTAATTTCTACAATATCATTAAAATAAGAGACTTTCTACTTTGTTTTATTTTTCAGAAATGTCATGCTTAGTTTTCTAAGTAAGTTTTAAATATTTTCTAAGCAGTCAAATTTGATTGGGGCAGTATTTATAAGTTAATTTGGGAAAATTATCTCTATTCTATTTTGGCTCTTTATATCCAAATGCTCAATATTTATAAATTACATTCTTTTACTTTTATAGCCTGGCAATTTTGTCTATTATGCATTTTTTGTTGCTTATTTCTGGGAATATATTTTTCATATTATTAAAAATGCTTATAATACATATAAATAGTGGTTTGGATAAATGAAAAATTCTAGGTTAGAAATTCTTTTCTTCAACATTTCAAAATATAACACTCTGAGAATTTCTGGCCATCCATTGTTTCATTTGAGATAACTCAGGTTAATCTTTTTTTTTTTTCCTTCACAGGTAAGCTACTCTTTTTCATTAGAAGCTCTTAAAATTTTCTCTTTCACTCTCTATTCTTAAATATTACTATAATGATCTAGATATGGATTCCTCTTAAACATTTTGCCCATTTTGAGGCTTTATAAGCTGAGATTTTTGTCTTTCTTAAATTATGGCACATTCTTGATTATTATTTCTTTAAATATTTCTTTCTTCCTTGTTTTTTTTTCTCTTTTCTGGAACCCCTATTATGTGGAGATTGATACTCTGCTTCTAATCTCCAAACCTTGTAACTTTTGTTCTATATTTCCCATATCCTTATTCCTTCCCAGTACTTTCTGGGAGATTTACTCAATTGAACTTCCAATTTACTAATTCCTTCTTTGACTCTATCCATTAAGCAATGTATCTAATCTACTGAGGTCTTAATTCAATACTTATCGTCTTGATACCCAGTATTTTTTTTGTTTTTTTTGAGATGGAGTTTCACTCTTGTTGCCCAGGCTGGAATGCAGTAGTGCCATCACTGCTCACTGCAACCTCTGTCTCCCAGGTTCAAGTGACTGTCCTGCCTCAGCCTCCTAAGTAGCTGGGATTACAGGTGCCTGCCACCATGCCCGGCTAATTTTTGTATTTTTCTTTTTTCAATAGAGATGGGGTTTCAGCGTGTTGGCTAGGCTGGTCTTGAACTCCTGACCTCAGGTGATCTGCCTGCCTCAGCCTCCCAAAGTACTGGTATTACAGGCATGAGCCACTATACCCAGCCCCCAATATTTTCACTTAGTTCTTTTTAGTAACTGTTCTTGTCTGCTTCTTCTTACCAATATTCTGAATTACCTCTTTAAAGATATTTATTATGCTTCTTTTTAATTATTGATAGTTCTGCTTTCATAAATCTGGTCCATCCAGATTATGTTCTCTAGTTGGATGATTATTTTTTTAATGCCAAATATGCTCATAATTTTACTCCTGATTTTTTTCTATAAACCCATTTTACCTCTGTAGCCTCAGCTCTCTCAGCTAAGATTATTTATGGGGTAGAGGAGTGGAGGCCAAGGTCATAACATGTGCTGCTCCTGGTGGGTCTATGGCAGGAAAGGCATACACTGATTCAGAGAGCCAGAGCATCGCCAGCTGCACTTGACCACCTTTATTTGTTTTTTCCTCTCTAGGGATTCCTGCTTTTCTGGGAATTAATAATTTTGTCTCAGGAATTTCTTTATTCAAAGACCTTTCCTCTCTTGGCTTTAATTTCTTAACTTTGAAGTACAAGGAAGACAGGGAGTGAAGGGTAGCTCAGGGACTGACCAGTCATTCAGTTCTTGTTAACTTCCCCTGTTACCATCCTGCTCCTTTTTTGCAGACTGGAGCAGCCCACTTTTGCACTTTGCTTTTTGGTGGCCGGGGCTGTCACTATTACATTTCTGTCCTGCAGTGGTGAGGAGGCAAGAGAAGAGTCTGCACCCAAAGCCATGAGTGAAAGTAAAAATTCAAAATCTTTACCCGTTCCTAATTTGATTTCCCTTTTTACTCCAATCTCATCAGGCTGTTACTATTTTCACACTGGTTCACACATGACCCTCTCTTCCCAGAAGTTTCTTCACAGTCATGCTTTCGCTCTTCATATCCATACCCTTTGTTTTTTGCTCTGTGACATTTCCATTGCTAGGATGGGGGAGAGAGCCAAAAGCCAATGCTGTTTTGCCATCTTTTTGGGACTTCCAATATATATTTAATTATTGCCGACATATAGCAAAGCCATTGATTTTGAAATATTTATTTCGTAAGATGCATCCTTATGAAAACTTTTAATTCAAAGTATTTTCCTCTCTAGGCTCTAGTTCTTAACTTTGAAGTACAGAAACTAGCTCTCTGCCCCAGTGTATGCCTTTCCTTCCATAGACCCACCAGGAGCAGCACATGCTAAGAGCTTGGCCTCCACTCCTCTACCCTCTAAATAATTTGTGCCAAGACAGCTGAGGTTACTAAGGTAAAATGAGTTCATGGACAAAAATAAGGAATCAAGTGATGAGCGTATTTGGCATTAAAAAATAATATGCCTACAAAATGGTTTAATGGCTATCATCTTTTTTTCTGCTTCTGTACTATTCACATATGCAGAACACACTTTTTTCTTAATCAATAGACTTTAGTTTTTAGAGTAGTCTTAGGTTTACAGAAAATTGACCAGATGGTACAGATATTTCTCATATATCCCTGTTTCCTGCTCACTTTCCATATTATTAACATCTTGCATTAGTGTGGTACATATGTTACAATTGATGAGCCAATATTGATATATTATTGTTAATTAAAATCATAGTTTACTAAATTAATTACATGATTAACTAAAACATAGTTTGCATCAGAGTTCAACTTTTTGTGTTGTACATTCTATGGGTTTTGACAAATAAATAATGCCATGTATCCATCATTATAGTATCATTCAGAATAGTTACATTGTCCTAAAAACTCCTTGTGGATTACCTATTCATTCCTCCCTGCAACCCCAAACCTTTGGCAATCACTGATATTTTTACTGTCTCTATAGTTTTTCTTTTCTAGAATGTCAGGTAGTTGGAATCATACAATATGTTGCCTTTACAGATTTTTTTTTTCACTTAGTAATATGCACTTCAGCTTCCTGGCTTTTCTTTACATGGATTGACAGATAGCTTTTTTTTTATTGCTGAATAATATTCTATTGTATGGACATACCACAGTTTGTTCATCCATTCACCTATTGAAGGGCATTCTGCTTTGGTTATTTATGCTTTTGAGTTCTTATTCAAGAAATCATTGTTCAGACCAAAGTCCTGAAGCATTGGGAAAACATTTTCCCAATGTTTTATTTTAGTAGTTTCATAGTTTCAGGTCTTACATTTAAAGGATTAATCCATTTTGATTTTATTTTTGTGTATGGTAAGAGATAGGGGTCCAGTTTCTTTCTTCTGCATATGGATATCCGGTTTTTCCAGAATCATTTATTTAAGAGACTGTCCTTTCCCCATTGTACATTCTTGGTGCCTTTGTCAAAAATGAGTTGACTATAGATATATGGATTTATTTCTTGGTTCTCTATTCTGTTCCATTGGTCTATGTGTCTGTTTTTATGTCAGTACCATGATGTTCTGGTTATTATAGCTTTATAGTGAGTGTGTGTGTGTGTGTGTGTGTGTGTGTGTGTGTGTGTGTGTTTAGAGGTGGAGTCTTTCCCTGTTTCCCTGTCATCCAGGCTGGAGTCCAGTGGCATGATCATTGCTCACTGCAGCCCTGAACTCCTGGGCTCAAGTTTTCCTCCCAACTCAGCCCCCAAGTATCTGGGACTATAGGTCCAAGCCACCACACCCAGCTTGTAGTATAACTTGAGGTCAGGTAATATGATGAAAATGAAAGATCAGTAGCATTTTGAATACAAAAATTGGTAGTATTTTTATATGCCAACAGCAAACAAGAACAGCCTCCTGCTTTTTTCTTTCTGCTCAGGATTTCTTCAGTTATTCAGGACCTTTTGTGGTTCCATATGAATTTCAGGATTGTTTGTCCTATTTCCATGATGAATGTCACTGGTATTTTGATAGGGATTGCATTGATTCTGTAGATTGCTTTGAGTAGTATTGATATTTTAACAATATTGATTCTTCCAATCTGTGGACATGGGATATCTTTCCATTTTTTGTGTGCCCTCTTCAATTTCTTTCATCAGTGTTTTATAGTTTTCCTTGTAAAGATCTTTCACTTCTTTGGTTAAGTCTACTCCTAAGTACTTTTTTTCTATAGCTATTGTAAACAGGATTGCTTTCTTGATTTTGTTTTCAGATCATTTGCTGTTGGCATATTAAAATGCTACTGATTTTCATACGTTGACTTTGTATCCTGCAACTTCACTGAATTCATTTATCAGTTCTAATAGTTTTGTGGTGGAGTCTTTAGGTTTTCCTAAATATAAGATTATACTGCCTGCAAAGAAAGACAATTTTACTTCTTCCTTAAAAGCTCTGCACAGCAAAGAAATCAATCAACAAAGCAAAGAGACAACCTACAGAATAGGAGAATATTTGCACACTATTTAACTGCCAAGGGATTGATAACTAGAATACATAAGAAACTGAAACAACTCAATAGCAGAAACACAAATAATTCAATTAAAAATGGCAAAAGATTTGAATAGATATTTCTAAAAAGAAGACATACAAATGGACAACACGTATATGAAAAAATGCTCAAAATCACTAATCGTCAGGGAAATGCAAATCAAAACCACAAATAAGTATCACTCACCCAAGTTAAAATGGCTATTATCAAAAAGACAGAAAATAACAAATACTAATGAGGATGCGGAGAAAGGGAAATATTCATATATTGTGGGCAGAAATGCAAATTAGTACAGCCACTAAAGTATGGAGATTTCTCCAAAACTAAAACTAGAACTACCAGGTAATTCAGCAATTCCACCATTGGTTATACATCCAAAAGAAAGGATATCAACATATCGAAGAGATATCTGAACTCCCATGTTTTTTGTAGCACTTTTCACAATAGCCAAGATATGAAATCAACCTAAGTGTCCATCAGAGATGATGGGATAAAGAAAATATGGTATATACACACAACGGACTATTGTCCCACCATAAAAAAAAATAAAATCCTGTACTTTGCAAAACATAGATGAAACTAAAGGACATTATGTGAAGTGAAATAAGTCAGGCACACAAAGATAAATGTCACATATTCTGACTCATATGTGGGAGCTAAAAAATTGATCTCATGAAGGTAGTGAAAAGAATGGCTGTTACCAGAGGCTGAGAAGCTTAGTGGGCAGAGAGATATAATAGGTATAAAATTACAGGGAGATACGAGGAATAAATTCTAGTGTCCTATAGCACAGTAGGTCAACTACAGTTAACAATAATTTATTGTGTGTTTTAAAATAATTATGAGTAAATTTGGTACATTCCCAACATAAAGAAATGATATATATTTGAGGCATTAGATATTACCAGATTTGATAATTAGATATTGTGTGCATGTTTTAAAATAGTACATGTATCCCATAAATATGTACAAGTATTACATCTCCATAAAAATTCAAAATAAAAAAAATTTAAAGGTACTCTGCTTGCTTCTAAGTCTTGGCAATTATGAATAAAAGCTGTTATAAATACTGTGCACAGGTCTTTGTGAAGACAAAAGTTTTCAGCTTATTTGGTTACGTATCAAGGAGCACAATTGCTGGACTGTATGGTAAGACTATGTTTAGCTTTGTAAGAAACTGCCACAGTGTCTTTCAAAGTGACTCTGCTATTTTTCATTTTCACCAGCAATGACTAGGAGTTCCTGTTGCTCCACATCCTCATCAGCATTGGGTGTTGTCAGTGTTTTGGGTTTTAGCCATTCTAACACATGCGCAGTGGTATCTCATCATTTTAATTTGCAATTTCCTATTGACATATGCTACTGAATAGCTTTTCACATACGCTTAGTTGCCATTTATGTATATTATTTGGTTATGTGTCTGTTTAGATCATTTGCCTATTTTGAAATTGGGTTTTTTGTTTTCTTATGTTGAGTTTTAAGAGTTGTTTTGTTTTTACCTATTTTGGATACAAGTTATTTATCAGATATGTGTTTTGCAAATATTTTCTCCAAGCCTCCAGGTTGTGGCTTTTCATTCTCTTCACAGTGCCTTTTGCAGAGCAGAAATTTTAATTTTAAAATAAAAATAAAATAAAAAATTTTAAAATTTTAAAATAATTTTAAAATAAAAATTACCAATTTTTCTTTCATTGAGTGTACTTGTACTGTTTCTTATATAAACAAACTAAAGATGGCCACTGTTTACTGACTTTAAACACCCCCAAGTTGTTATCTCTTCATATCAGCCTAGGATTGTTAGCTGAAATCCCACAGGCACTAAGCTCAAATTCTTACACATCCAGTTGCTTTAAATATAGTCAAAATAAACATATTTTCAAAAAGTCTGTCTACTTTGCATACCCCGTAAAACTGCATTCAACATCTGCTAACCGTAATTAAGACCTACCTTGTAGGTATAAAATACTATAAACCACTGCTGTTTTTTGGAGCTCTCTTACTCAAAACTCCCCACCTTATTGCTACAGGACATGGCCTAGAAACATATCCCCCTCTTAAATATCCCCTTTTTCTTCCAGTGAGTTC
Organism: Homo sapiens; assembly: GCF_000001405.40. Lineage (NCBI taxonomy): Eukaryota > Metazoa > Chordata > Mammalia > Primates > Hominidae > Homo > Homo sapiens. Next base: position 27,065,766 of record NC_000008.11, on the reverse strand, counting down.
CTTGCCCTATTCCCTTTCTGGATGGTGCCCTTTTTAATAGTGTTTGTCTTCTCTGAGAAGTCTCTTGCTGGGAGGAGCTTCTCCTCCCATGCAATTCTGCTTAAGAGCTGCTCAGTAAAGCTTGTTGCATGTTACTGCTTCTCCTGTTCCTGCCTCTTCCTTAATCAACAGCCGAATTATTGAATTTACTGCAGTGTTTATCTCAAAACTCGTTGCCAAAACCAAAGTCACCTAGATTGTCTTCTATGTTATCTTCTAGAACTTTATAGGCTTTCATTTTACAATTAGATATATAACCTATCATTTAAGTTAATTTTTGTGAAAGTTGTAGGGTGTCTAGATTTGTGGTTTGTTTCCTTGTTTTTGCATGTGGCTGTCCAGTTGTTCTAACATGCATTGAGATGTTAAACTGGCTTACTATACACTTTGTAAAAATGACTCCAGAAGAGTAACAAACTGAAATCTTTGAGATCACACAGGTTGGAAATATGTACATAATTGCATAAGGTGTCAATTCTGCTCTACAGTGCAGTTTTAGTTGCATAGGTTTCCATTGTATTTATAGTCTGTTTATGCTAAATCTGGCCAAAGGTGAGCATTGTCCACCACTAAAATGCCTCTGCCACTTTGAATTCTGTGCTAATTTTGTGGCCAGAATGAAGTGATCAAAATGCTCCATCTTTTTACAGTGGCATAGGAAGACGGCAAAAATTTCCTAAAGTGCAATAGATTTTCAAGTGTATTGTGCCTTGTTCTAAAACTTTTATTAAGTAGGTGCACTTGACAGTATTGAGGTCATTTGTTATGGTGCTATTTCAGTTAGTCTAAGTTTAAGCCCTTGTACATTTTGCCCAAAACTTTTTACAAAGTACTTCTTTTATTGCACATTCAGAGAATTTTATATATATGTCTTGTGTGCGTGTCCTTAAACTTCCAATCTTACTTTGTCTCTTGGAGATTGTTTAACACAGCTTTTCTAGGAAGGGGATGGGACTAGATTCTAAAATTTATCTGGGACCATGGGAATGATAGTTGGGAAGAAAACTATTTGCACATGACAGATTTCTAGATAATTTTTGCTGCTAGTTTTATGTAATAATTTTTGAACATTTTGGCAATTATTTATTTTTGTAAGCCTAAAAGTGATTCTTTGAAAGTTTAAAGAAACTTGACCAAAACACAGTATAAAAACACTGGCACTTGAATGTTGAATGTCACCATATGCGTGAAATTATATATTTCGGGGTAGTGTGAGCTTTTAATGTTAAGTCATATTAAACTCTTAAGTCAAATTAAGCAGACCCGGCCTTGGCAGTGTAGCCATAACTTTCTGATGTTAGTAAAAACATAATTGGTGACTTGAAATTAAATCATGCCAAGGTTTTGATACACTTGTCTTAAGATGTTAATGAAACATTTCAAAACACTGATGTGAAGTGTCCAGATTCTCAGATGTTTGTTGTGTGAATTTTGTTTAGTTGTGATTTTTTTTTTTCAGTGAATGTCTGGCACATTGCAATCCTCAAACGTGGTTATCTTGTTGTATTGGCATAATTAGTGACTTGTACCTTCAGCAACAGCATTTGAGCAAGTTTTTATCAGCAAGCAATATTTTCAGTTAATAAGGTTTCAAAAATCATGTAAGAATTTAAACTTGCTGAATGTAAAGATTGAACCTCAAGTCACTGTGGCTTTAGTAATTGCTTATTGTATTAGCTTAGATGCTAGAACTGCATGTGCTGTGCATATTCTGATTACATTAAAATAAAAAATTGGCTTGGTTCCAAGATGGCCGCATAGAAACAGCTCCAGTCTACAGCTCCCAGGGTGAGTGACGCAGAAGATGGGTGATTTCTGCATTTTCAACTGAGGTACCGGGTTGATCTCACTGGGGATCATCGGACAGTGGGGGCAGGACAGTGGGTGCAGCCCACCGAGTGTGAGCCGAAGCAGGGCAGGCATCGCCTCACCCAGGAAGTGCAAGGGGTCAGGGAATTCCCTTTCCTAGCCAAGGGAAGGGGTGACAGATGGCACTTGGAAAATCAGGTCACTCCCACCCTAATACTGCACTTTTCCAATGGTCTTAGCAAATGGCACACCAGGAGATTATATCCTGTGACTGGCTCAGAGGGTCCCACGCCCATGGAGCCTCACTCATTGCTAGCACAGCAGTCTGAGATCAGACTGCAAGGCAGCAGTGAGAATGGGGGAGGGGCGCCTGCCATTGCCGAGGCTTGAGTGGGTAAACAAAGTGGCCAGGAAGCTCGAACTGGGTGGAACCCACCACAGCTCAAGGAGGCCTGCCTGCCTCTGTAGGCTCCACCTCTGGGGGCAGGGCACAGATAAACAAAAGGCAGCAGTAACCTCTGCAGACTTAAATGTCCCTGTCTGACAGCTTTGAAGAGAGTAGTGTTTCTCCCAGCACACAGCTTGAGATCTGAGAATGGGCAGACTGCCTCCTCAAGTGGGTCCCTGATCCCCAAGTAGCCTAACTGGGAAGCACCCCCCAGGTAGGGGCAGACTGACACTTCACATGGCCGGGTACTCCTCTGAGACAAAACTTCCAGAGGAACAATCAGGCAGCAGCATTTGCAGTTCACCAATATCCGCTGTTCTGGAGCCACTGCTGCTGATACCCAGGAAAACAGGGGTCTGGAGTGGACCTCCAGCAAACTCCAACAGACCTGCAGCTGAGGGTCCTGACTGTTAGAAGGAAAACTAACAAAGAAAAAGGACATCCATACCAAAAACCCATCTGTACATCACCATCATCAAAGACCAAAGGTAGATAAAACCACAAAGATGGGGAAAAAACAGAGCAGAAAAGCTGAAAATTCTAAAAATCAGAGCACCTCTCCCCCTCCAATGGAACGCAGCTCCTTGCCAGCAATGGAACAAAGCTGGACGGAGAATGACTTTGACAAGTTGAGAGAAGAAGGCTTCAGATGATCAAACTTCTCCAAACTAAAGGAGGAAGTTCAAACCCATTGCAAAGAAGCTAAAAACCTTGAAAAAAGATTAGACGAATGGCTAACTAGAATAACCAGTGTAGAGAAGTCTTTAAAGGACCTGATGGAGCTGAAAACCATGGCACGAGAACTACGTGACGAATGCACAAGCCTCAGTAGCCGATTCGATCAACCGGAAGAAAGGGTATCAGTGATTGAAGATCAAATGAATGAAACGAAGCGAGAAGAGAAGTTTAGAGAAAAAAGAGTAAAAAGAAATGAACAAAGCCTCCAAGAAATATGGGACTATGTGAAAAGACCAAATCTACATCTGATTGATGTACCTTAAAGTGACGGACAGAATGGAACCAAGTTGGAAAACACTCTTCAGGACATTATCCAGGAGAACTTCTCCAACCTAGCAAGGCAGGCCAACATTCAAATTCAGGGAATACAGAGAATGCCACAAAGATACTCCTCGAGAAGAGCAACTCCAAGACACATAATTGTCAGATTCACCAAAGTTGAAATGAAGGAAAAAATGTTAAGGGCAGCCAGAGAGAAAGGTCGGGTTACCCACAAAGGGAAGCCCATCAGACTAACAGCTGATCTCTCGGCAGAAACTCCACAAGCCAGAAGAGAGTGGGGGCCAACATTCAACATTCTTAAAGAAAAGAATTTTCAATCCAGAATTTCATATTCAGCCAAACTAAGCTTCATAAGTGAAGGAGAAATAAAATCCTTTACAGACAAGCAAATGCTGAGAGATTTTGTCACCACCAGGCCTGCCCTACAAGACCTCCTGAAGGAAGCACTAAACATGGAAAAGAACAACCGGTACCAGCCGCTGCAAAAACATGCCAAATTGTAAAGACCATCGATGCTAGGAAGAAACTGCATCAACTAACGAGCAAAATAACCAGTTAACATCATAATGACAGGATCAAATTCACACATAACAATATTAACCTTAAATGTAAATGGGCTAAATGCTCCGATTAAAAGACACAGACTGGCAAATTGGATAAAGAGTCAAGACCCATCAGTGTGCTGTATTCAGGAGACCCATCTCACATGCAGAGACACACATAGGTTCAAAATAAAGGGATGGAGGAAGATCTAACAAGCAAATGGAAAACAAAAAAAGGCAGGGGTTGCAATCCTGTCTCCGATAAACAGGCTTTAAACCAACAAAGATCAAAAGAGACAAAGAAGGCCATTACATAATGGTAAAGGGATCAATTCAACAAGAAGAGCTAACTATCCTAAATATATATGCACCCAATATAGGAGCACCCAGATTCATAAAACAAGTCCTTAGTGACCTACAAAGAGACTTAGACTCCCACACAATAATAATGGGAGACTTTAACACCCCACTGTCAACATTAGACAGATCAGTGAGACAGAAAGTTAACAAGGATATCCAGGAATTGAACTCAGCTCTGCACCAAGCGGACCTAATAGACATCTACAGAACTCTCCACCCCAAATCAACAGAATATACATTCTTCTCAGCACCACATCACACTTATTCCAAAATTGACCACATAGTTGGAAGTAAAGCACTCTTCAGCAAATGTAAAAGAACAGAAATCATATCAGGCTGTCTCTCAGACCACAGTGCAATCAAACTAGAACTCAGGATTAAGAAACTCACTCAAAACCACTCAACTACATGGAAACTGAACAACCTACTCCTGAATGACTACTGGGTACACAATGAAATGAAGGCAGAAATAAAGATGTTCTTTGAAACCAATGAGAACAAAGGCACAACATACCAGAATCTCTGGGACACATTTAAAGCAGTGTGTAGAGGGAAATTTATAGCAGTAAATGCCCACAAGAGAAAGCAGAAAATATCTAAAATGGACACCCTAACATCACAATTAAAAGAACTAGAGAAGCAAGAGCAAACACATTCAAAAGCTAGCAGAAGGCAAGAAAGAACTAAGATCAGAGCAGAACTGAAGGAGATAGAGACACAAAAAACCCTTCAAAAAATCAATGAATCCAGGAGCTGGTTTTTTGAAAAGATCAACAAAATTGATAGACCGCCAGCAAGACTAATAAAGAAGAAAGGAGAGAAGAATCAAATAGATGCAATAAAAAATGATAAAGGGGATATCACCACCAATCCCACAGAAATACAAACTACCATCAGAGAATACTATAAACACCTCTATGCAAATAAACTAGAAAATATAGAAGAAATGGATAAATTCCTGGACACATACACTCTCCCAAGACTAAACCAGGAAGAAGTTGAATCCCTGAATAGACCAATAACAGGCTCTGAAATTGAGGCAATAATTAATGGCCTACCAACCAAAAAACATCCAGGACCGGACGGATTCACAGCTGAATTCTACCAGAGGTATAAGGAGGAGCTGGTACCATTCCTTCTGAAACTATTCCAATCAATAGAAAAAGAGAGAATCCTCCCCAACTCATTCTATGAGGCCAGAATCACCCTGATACCAAAGCCTGGCAGAGACACAACAAAAAAAGAGAATTTTACACCAATATGCCTGATGAACACCGATGCAAAAATCCTCAATAAAATACTGGAAAACTGAATCCAGCAGCACATCAAAATGCTTATCCACCATGATCAAGTGGGCTTCATCCCTGGGATGCAAGGCTGGTTCAACGTATGCAAATCAATAAATGTAATCCAGCATATAAACAGAACCAAAGACAAAAACCACATGATTATCTCAATAGATGCAGAAAAGGCCTTTGACAAAATTCAACAGTACTGCATGCTAAAAACTCTCAATAAATTAGGTATTGATGGGACATATCTCAAAATAATAAGAGCTATCTATGACAAACCCACAGCCAATATCATACTAAATGGGCAAAAACTGGAAGCATTCCCTTTGAAAACTGGCACAAGACAGGGATGCCCTCTCTCACCACTCCTATTCAACATAGTGTTGGAAGTTCTGGCCAGGGCAATCAGGTAGAAGAAATAAATAAAGGGTATCCAATTAGGAAAAGAGGAAGTCAAATTGTCCCTGTTTGGAGATGACTTAATTGTATATTTAGAAAACCCAGTCTTCTCAGCCCAAAATCTCCTTAAGCTGATAAGCAACTTCAGCGAAGTTTCAGGATATGAAATCAATGTGCAAAAATCACAAGCATTCTTATACACCAATAACAGACAAACAGAGAGCCAAATCATGAATGAACTCCCATTCACAATTGCTTCAAAGAGAATAAAACACCTAGGAATCCAACTTACAAGGGATGTGAAGGACCTCTTCAAGGAGAACTACAAACCACTGCTCAATGAAATAAAAGAGGATACAAACAAATGGAAGAACATTCCATGTTCATGGATAGGAAGAATCAATATCGATAAAATGGCCATACTGCCCAAGGTAATTTATCCATTCAATGCCATCCCCATCAAGCTACCAATGACTTTCTTCACAGAATTGGAAAAAACTACTTTAAAGTTCATACGGAACCAAAAAAGAGCCTGCATTGCCAAGACAATCCTAAGCCAAAAGAACAAAGCTGGAGGCATCACACTACCTGACTTCAAGCTATACTACAAGGCTACAGTAACCAAAACAGCATGGTACTGGTACCAAAACAGAGATATAGACCAATGGAACAGAACACAGCCCTCAGAAATAATACCATACATCTACAACCATCTGATCTTTGACAAACCTGACAAAAACAAGAAATGGGGAAAGGATTCCCTATTTAATAAATGGTGCTGGGAAAATTGGCTAGCCATATGTAAAAAGCTGAAACTGGATCCCTTCCTTACACCTTATACAAAAATTAATTCAAGATGGATTAACTTAAATGTTAGACCTAAAACCATAAAAACCCTAGAAGAAAACCTAGGCAATACCATTCAGGACATAGGCAAGTGCAAGGACTTCATGTCTAAAACACCAAAAGCAACGGCAACAAAAGCCAAAATTGACAAATGGATCTAATTAAACTAAAGAGCTTCTGCACAGCAAAAGAAACTACCATCAGAGTGAACAGGCAACCTACAGAATGGGAGAAAATTTTTGCAATCTACTCGTCTGACAAAGGGCTAATATCCAGAATCTATAAAGAACTCAAACAAATTTACAAGAAAAAAACAAACAACACCATCAACAAGTGGGCAAAGGATATGAACAGACACTTCTCAAAAGAAGACATTTATGGAGCCAACAGACACACGAAAAAATGCTCATCATCACTGGCCATCAGAGAAATGCAAATCAAAACCACAATGAGATACCATCTCACACCAGTTAGAATGGCGATCATTAAAAAGTCAGGAAACAACAGGTGCTGGAGAGGATGTGGAGAAATAGGAAAAATTTTACACTGTTGGTGGGACTGTAAACTAGTTCAACCATTGTGGAAGACAGTGTGGCGATTCCTCAAGGATGTAGAACTAGAAATACCATTTGACTCAGCCAACCCATTACTGGGTATATACCCAAAGGATTATAAATCATGCTGCTATAAAGACACATGCACACGTATATTTATTGCAGCACTATTCACAATAGCAAAGACTTAGAACCAACCCAAATGTCCAACAATGATAGACTGGATTAAGAAAATGTGGCACATATACACCAGGGAATACTATCCAGCCATAAAAAAGGTGAGTTCATGTCCTTTGTAGGGACATGGAAGAAGCTGGAAACCATCATTTTCAGCAAACTATTGCAAGAACAAAAAACAAAACACCCCATGTTCTCACTTATAGGTGGAAATTGAACAATGAGAACAGCTGGACACAGGAAAGGGAACATCACACACCAGGGCCTGTTGTGGGGTGGAGGGAAGGGAGAGGGAAAGCATTAGGGGATATACCTAATGTAAATGATGAGTTAATGGGTGCAGCACACCAACATGGCACATGTATACATGTGTAACAAATCTGCACGTTGTGCACATGTACCCTAGAACTTAAAGTATAATAAAAAAATTGAACTGCACACAAGAAAAGACTACTCTTTCCCCATTGAATTACTTTTGCTCCTTAATCAAAGACCAGTTGATTATATTTGTGTGGGTTTATTTCCAGACTCTCTCCTCTGTTTCATTGATCTCTTAGTCTGTCCTTTCACTAAGACCACACTGTCTTCATTATTATAGACGTACAGTAAGTTTTGAATTCCAGTAGTATCAGTCCTCTGACTTTGTTCTTTTTCAGTATTGGGTTGGTTTTTCTGTCTTTTGCTTTTCCATTAAAACTTTAGGATAAGTTTGTTGATATCCACAAAATAACTTACTTGGATTGCAGTATACTTTTTTTTTCTTTTTTTTTAAGAAACAGCATCTGGCTACATTGCCCAGGCTGGACTGTAGTGGCTATTCACAGATGCAGTCTTAGCTCATTGCAGCCTCAAACTCCTGGGCTCAAGCAATCCTCCTGCCTCAGTCTCCTGAGTAGCTGGGACCACAGGTGCACATTACCATGTCCAGTTTGCAGTACACTTTTATCAGAATCATCTCTTATAGCATTCTCTTTTTTTTTTTTTTGAGACGGAGTCTCGCTCTGTTGCCCAGGCTGGAGTGCTGTGGCGCAATCTCGGCTCACTGCAAGCTCCGCCTCTTGGGTTCATGCCATTCTCCTGCCTCAGCTTCCCGAGTACCTGGGTCTACCAAGCCATCACTGTTCTAGTTAGATCTAATAGTTTCCTAGTTAATTCTCTTAGATTTTTCTGTCTCCTCCTTTCTCATATTAATTACTCTCATTTCAATTTCATTGTATTGGCTAGCCCTTTGGAGCAATATTAAATAAAAACTGTATTTGTAGGCATCTTACCTTGTTTCTCTATTTGATAATAATAGGGATGTGTTTATTATTTCACCTGTAGGCTTGACATTGCTGTTAGTTTAAGATAAATTTTGTATCCTGTATTGTCAGTAACTTTCTCTCTGTGATATCCTGAAAACTTTTTTTTAAACTCATCTAATAGATGTTGCCTTTTATCAAGTATGCTTTTTGCATCTCTCAAAATGACTGCTTATGTATCTTGTCATATTAATATAATCATATATATCAAGCTATTACTTCAACTTGAACCCTCCTTGAATTCCTAGTTTAAGTTTTTCTTCAATTTATGTGGGGAATTATTTATTTTACTATACCCAGGCTTTAAGTTGTTAATGTCGTCTTTAATATTTTTGTACGTATATTCATAAACGAGATTAGCTTTAGTTTTATTTTTTAATAATCTTTGTCTTCACTATACTGTCAAGCAATCTAAACATAAGAATTATCTGTTCCCTGACAGTTTGAAAAATGTTATCTATAAGCCTGTCTGAATCTGCTGCTTTCATAGAGAGTTATTCTTTGATAAAACTCCTGCAATTTATTCTCTGATGAATGTCTAGCCAGGCTTTTACAAAATGTGTTTGTATTCGACTTTAAGCATTTGTATTTCCTGAGAAGATTACCAATTTCAGTGATATTTTTAATACTGAGGCTGTATGTAAAATTATCTCATAGTTAAGAAAATGTCCGCTGATCTGTTTTTGTGTTCCCTTATTTAACTTTCTATTGCTGTGATTTGTCTCTTTTCTTGATTAAATTTCCCAAGAACCAGGTTTTGAATTTGCTTTATTTGAAATCAATTTTTCTATTTTTAAAAGTTTATATTAATTATTATCAATGTTTCCTCCTGCATCACCAGGTTCCTGTTTTATTTACTTTGATTTCTTGAGTTGAATGCCCAATTAACTTGCATTTATTAGTTCATGTTTAATTAGAAAAGTAGAAAAAGTTGTCAAGTTTTTTTCTGAATACAACTTATCCACAGCATTTAATTTTTCATATATGATATTCTCATTGTGATTTTTTTCATAATATGTGAGAAGAGGGGTATTCTTTTTAGAAAAATGAGAATAAAAATCAAGCCAAAAAATCACCTGTAATTCCACCAGATGAAACATCTGTTATTTAGTTTTGACAACAATTTTTTAAAAATTCTATATTTCAAAACCCATAATGAACAAGACTTAAAGAGAAAACTGGGAAAAATATCTGCAACATATATGAGAATATTAGTATTTTTAAAATAAAAACATCTCCTGTAATGCTTTAAGAAAGAGTAGAAGGCTCCAATGAAAGAGCAGACACACAAAAAGCTGTGTTGGCCAAAAAGCGTATTTTTAAAAAAATCTGTTTCACCTTGCAAACAAGTAAATGTGAACTAAAGACATGGTGAGAACCTTGTTTTACTTTTAAATTAGCAAAGGTTTTCTTCTTTAGTTATAAGTTCAAGGTTGGCACAGTTTTAAGGAAACAGGCTCTCTCACCATCTTTTGATAACATCGAAAATAAGTAATGAAAGCCATAAAAATGGTATACAGGAAAATAACTATATGTGCCAAAGATTTAGCTAAAAGGTATTTACTATAGCTACAAATAATAAACAACCTGAATGTGAAATAAATGGGGATTGGCTGATTTAATTATGCTAAAGTAAATTAATGGGTTAGACAGCTATTACAAATGATACTGCAGAAAATATTTATGGAAAAGGAAAGGACATAATGACATATTGATACGTAAGAAGACAGGTTACAGGCCAGGCACTGTGGCTCACGCCTGTAATCCCAGCACTTTGGGAGGCCAAGGCGGGTGGATCAGAGGTCAGGAGATCGAAACCATTCTGGCTAACACGGTGAAACCCCGTCTCTACTAAAAATACAAAAAATTAGCCGGGCATGGTGGCGGACGCCTGTAGTCCCAGCTACACGGGAGGCTGAGGCAGGAGAATGGCGTGAACCTGGGGGGCTGAGCTTGCAGTGAGCCGAGATCACGCCACTGCACTCCATCCAGCCTGGGTGACAGAGAGAGACTCTGTCTCAAAAACAAACAAAAAGACAGGTTACAAATGTATTTATTGTACGATCTCATTTTGGAAAGACAAAATAAATACGTGACCTATCTGAATTTGAAAAAGCTTATGCATACGTATATTATGGATAATTTTCTCCTCCTCCTTCTCCTTCCAACACTTCATCCTCTTTCTTTGCTTGTTATAAAGTTGGGGACGAAGCAAAAATTAGGACATATAAAAAGTGCCCATAATTTCTTCAGGAAAATGCTTTCATAAATATTCCAGGCTTTTTCACATAACATCATTATATCTTCAGATTTGGCTATTAGAAGGTCACCATGGTTATTTCTACCAGAGATATTTCAGAAGAATGGAGAGAGTAGAAGTCTATTGGAAGTGAGTGGAGGACTGAACACACAAGGGTATAGGATGATCCAAGAGCAGACAACTGTTTGAAAAGTTTAATAAGAAAGCATAAAGACACAAAGGACAGAATCATTGGTGGAGAGGACCTCCTTCAGGGCAGAAATAATACTCCTTTGTTACCTAGTGCAATTTGGGGCATATTAAATGTTGAATTTGTTTAAATTTAATTCATAAACACCTTTTTTTTTCTTTTTTTTTTTTTTGAGACAGAGTCTCGCTCTGTTGCCCAGGCTGGAATGCAGTGGCTTGATCTCGGCTTACTGCAACCTCTGCCTCCTGAGTTCAAGTGATTCTGTTGCCTCAGCCTCCTGCGTAGCTGGCATTACAGGCATGTGCCACCCGCTCGGCTAATTTTTTGTATTTCTAGTAGAGACAGGGTTTCGCCATGTTGCCCAGGCTGGTCTTGAACTCCTGAGTGCAGGCAATCTGCTCACCTCAAACTCCCAAAGTGCTGGGATTACAGGCCTCGGCCACTGCGCCTGACACAAACACTTGTTTCTAAAGACTTAAGCTAGCAGATGGCAGACAACCTTTTAATTTTATTTATATTCTCCCAAAATATCTACCATATTTTAATAAGCACTTTTATTTTTAATTGAATTTTTTATTGAGAAACTGTAGATCACCAGAATGGGAAGAAATCACACAAAAATCACACTTTATCCAGTTTCTGCAATGGTAACATTTTGCAAACCCATATCACCACCAGGATATTGACTTTGACACAATTTGCTGATCTTATTTAGGTTTCCCTAGTTTAACTTGCACTTATTTGTGCATATGTGTATTCTATACAGTTTTACCATAAATTTAGTTTTGTGTATTCACAACCACAGTCAAAATAGTAAACCATCACCAAGAGGATTCCTCACCCTGCTCTTTTTTGACAACATCCACCTCCCTTCTGCCAACACCCACTCCTGGTCCCGTATGCTTAGAAACCAGTAATCCATTCTCCATTTCTAAAATGTCATCATTTCAAAAATGTTATATAAATGGAATCACACAGTATTTTACCTTTTTGGATAGGCTTTCCCTCAGCATAATACCCTGGAGATTTTGTAAGTGGCCATGTATCTCAATAGTTCATTCTGTTTATTGTTGAGTAGTATTTTATGGTATGGATATACCACAGTGTGTTTTTTTTAACAGTTATTTACTGAAGTACATCTGGACTGATTCCAGTTTTTGGTGATTATGAATAAGCTGCTATGAACATTTATGTAAACAGGTTTTGTGTAAACTTACATTTTCATTTCTCTGGGATAAAAGTTCCAAGACTGCCATTGCTGCGTAATACGGTAATTTCATTTTCAGTCTTGTAAGAAACTGCCAAACTGTTTTCTGTAACTGTTCCATTTTTACATAATATATTTCCATCAGCAATGTATAAGTGATCCGTCTTTTCCACATTCTCACCAGCATTTGATATCACTATTTTTTTACTCAAACCCTTCTGATAAGTATGTAATGACACCTAGTTATAGTCTAAAGTTGCATTTCCTTGATGAGTAGTGATGTTGGACATTATGTTATGTGCATGTTCACCAACTGTATATCCTCTTTAGTGTTCATGTGCTTTGGCCACTTTCCAATTGGATTGATTTTTCTTTTTACTGTTGGTTTTGAAAGTTTTAGAAATATATTCTAAATACTTGTCCTTTTTTGGAATCGTTTGCAAATATTTTCTCCTAGGATGTAGCTAGTCTTTTCGTCCTCTTCACTGAGCTTTTGCACAGCAAGTTAAATTTTGATTAAGTAAAATTTGTCAACTTTTTCTCTTATGGATCGTGCTTTTTTTGTCAAGTCGAAGGCTTTTTGGGTAATTGTAGGTCCTGTCTTCTACTTTTTCCCAAGAGCTTTAAAACTGTACATTTTACATTTTGTCCCTGATCCATTTTGAGTGAATATTTGTACGATGTGTGACGTTTAGGTTGAAGTTCATGTTGTTTGCCTTTGGATGGTCAGTTGTTCCAATGCCATTTGTTGAAAAAGCTATCCTTTCTCCATTGAACTGCTTTGGATCTATGTCAAAAATTAGGTGAGCATATCTGTATGAGTCTGGATCCTGGATTTTTTTTTTCTTTTCCACTGATCTATGTGTCTGCCCCTTTGCCAATACTATGGTGTCTTGATTGTCTCGATTACTCTAGCCATACAGTTACATGTTAATAATCAGCAGAGTAATTCCTATATTTTATTCTTGTTTGTCAAGATTACTTTAGCTATCGTAGGGTCTCAAACTTTTCATATAAATTCTAGAGTAAGCTTGTCTTTCGCAACGAAAACTTTGCTGGGATTTTGATAGAAATTGCATTAAGCATATAGAGAATTTGGCCAGAACTGACATCTTTACTATGTTGAGTCTTAAACTCGGTATGTTTTTCCATTTAGCTCCTTGATTTCTTTCATTTAATCTTTAATTTTTGACAATTTAACTATGATGTATCATGGTGTCTCTTTGGATTTGTCATCTTTTATGTCTTATGGGTTTCCGGGATCTGGCTTTCTAATGTCTTCCTGAGACTTCGGAAGTGTTCTGCCGTCATTTCCTTGATTATGTTTTATATCCCTTTCTCTGTTTCTTTTCCCTGTGGCACACCAATAATGCATAATTTGTTCTGCTTAATGGTGTCCCATTGGTCTCTTCATCTATAATTACCTCTTTTTATTCTTTTTTGTTTTTGCTTCTCAGACTGAATGATTTCCAGTGATCTGTCTTCAGGTTCACAATTTTTCCCCCTGATTGTTCTAGTTTGTTATTGAACCCCGCTATTGAATTTTTTAATTCAGTTATAGCATTCTTCAGATCTATGATTTCCATGTGATACTTTTTTATACTGTATCTTTGTTGAAGTTCTCAGCTTGTTCTTGGATTGCTGTCTTGACATCTATGAGTAACCTTATGGCCATTATTTAGAATTTTCTGTCAGGTAAATCACAAAACTCCACTTCATTCAAGTATGTTTTTGGAGATTTATCTTGTTACTGTTTGTTTTGTTTGTTTGTCTTATTGTTTGTTTGTTTTGTTCCTATTTCTTTCTTTTCCTTGATTTTCAGTATTGGTTTTTTTACATTAGGTAGAAACCTACTTCTTAGTAGACTGAGATTGCATAGAAGGTTTCTACCAGTCCGTTTGACTAGAGATTTTAAGGTGCCCCTCTTATTTCGGTGTTTGTTCAGACTGCTGTGCCTATACCAGAAGGTCTATGACATCTTATAGTACTAGAAGTCTTATCATGACATTTTTGTTAAAAACTTAGAAATTGATTTCTGAAAAGATTTTACAAATGTAGTGAGGTATTTTCTGTATTTTATCATACTAAATAATCTCCAAATAATCTGATAAATGAGCATAGTGTTCAGAAAAAACCTCTTTTAATGTGATGAATCTTTTATAGATTTAGGCATATTTATGGCAAACCGACTATGCTGTATCAGTCCCCCTTCACACCCCCGAGGCTCAACTGAGATTTACCATTGGAATTAATTGTGAATGGCTTTGTCTCAGGACTATAACATATTCCAAGCTAGAGGTTTCAGGAACAAAGCGTCTGCATCTGTCTTTGTCTTTAGCCCTCACGTGAGGAGCCCATTTATTAGCCTTCTTTATTAATTTTTTATATGGAGAAGTGACTCAACATGTACTAGACAGCCAAATAAATTACTGATCATCTCCTTCTATGCACAGTTTCATATTACCAAAAACTATACGCATATATGAGTTAAACAATTTGGTAATATGTTAACAACATAATATCTAGAAGTATCTCACCACTTAAAACATACGTGCACAAACACACATATTCAATCTTGTTGGCTTTTATTTGTTTCAATACTATAATTCTATTTTTGATATCCCTTCAATTATAATTTAGTTTCCATTGTTATGATATATAAATATATTTGTGCATAGACTATTTGGATATTTTATATTTGCATTAACTAAAAATTTTCACCGCATTTTTGCATGCATAATTTTGTTCTATTTCTTTCTCAATTTTGCTTTAAAAAGTATCTTCATTTTGCAGATGTGCAAGCTGAACAGAGGATTAGAACTTATTTTTTCTAAAAATCTAACAGTTAACTTCTAGCAGCATTGAGACCAGAATATAGATCTTCTGACTCCAGGCTCTTTGCGGTAAACATCAATCCCTCTGTGGCTAATGTCCAAACACAAGATGAAAGAAAACGTGGAGCAGAATACAAAAGGAATTATTTCATGCTGCATTCAGAGGTGTCATTCATACCCAGGAAGCACTTTTAATTACCAATCTGGTGTTAATTTTCTTATCTGTGTCTCATCTGTGACTAAACATTATCCAGCCCAGGCTGATAAATTCTGATATGAATCAGATATTATTTCAAATTTATGCTTTAGCCATACCCATGTAAGCAGTCTCCTACCCCATATATCTCATTTACAGAGACTGTTTATTTGTAGTTAACTTTTAAAAATTCAGATTCATAGAATTACAACTATAAATTGCCAAACATGTATAGAATTATTATTATACAGAAAATAATATCAGTGTCATTATATCCAATTAATCTTTCATTCAGAATCTTGTGCAGAACAGATTAAATTGAGAACTTAATTTTTTACACATTCACGATTTAACCAGAGAATGTGGCTCTATTTTATATTAACAAATAATTTCTTTGTTTATTCAATAAGCAGTATTCATTGTATTATTAAAAAATGGTCTACTCATAAGGTTTTAAAACAATTGAGTCTATTTATTTCTTTTCCCCTCATGTGTTAATATTTTTTTTGCCTAGTGCTTTAGAAAATATATGACCTAGAAAGCAGCCTAATTCTTGTCACAGCTGCAACCTTACTGATGCAGAAAATTTGGCATTTATATACAATGAAGCTGTCTCTAATGCTTTGTCCACCTTCTAGAATCCCCTTTGTTTAATTACTATGTTTGGAGCCTCAAAAAGGGCCTGCTTTCAGGAATAAGTGGATGGGAATGAGGGGATGCTGATGTGTGAATAAAACGGTGATATAAAAGAAAATGGCTAATTCCCCCCTCTGGCTGAAGTCTGTGGAGGTTGTTCTGCCTGTCACTGATAGCTGTGTGAGTCAGTCTCCAATTTGGGAATTACAATCCTGACCCACCCCCACACCAGGATTGCCCCTGCTACACGTTTCCATGGTGCCAAACTTCCCTGTCCTAGCACGTGATGGCAATTGCTTCTGCTTTCCCTGATAGATGTGCAGGGTTGGGGACAATGCTTGCCTTCCCAGAGTCACATCAATATCTCGCACAGAGCTGGCACATGGCGGGCCCTTCATAAATGCTTGTTCAATGAAAGAATAAAGACAGTTTAAAATTTGAGCTCATTTCTGCCTTTTTCTTTTTAATAGCTTTATCAAAGTATAAATTGATAGACAGAAAAACCCCACATGTATTTCATGTGTACAATTTGATGAGCTTGGGTATACATATACACCCATGATATCATCACAATCAAAATGATAAACATATCCATCGCCTCCAAAAGTTTCCTCTGCCCCCTGCTTTTTGTGGCAAGTGTACCACAGAAAACTTGAAGCCAAACTTGTGATCCTTCGTTGTTCCATTTCCAAAGCTATTAGGTTGGTGCAAAAGTAATCGCGGTTTTTGTCATTACTTTAATTACTTTACGTTTCATTAATGACAAAAACCGCAATTACTTTTGCACCAACCTAATACTTGCTATCATCACTTCTTGTCTATTTTCCATTCCTCTTATAAATGTTGTACAAACTAAATCACACTTAAATAAAATAAATGGGAAATAAAGAAAAAGGAAAAAAGGATGAATGCAGGGAAAAAACACTGCCTGGGTCTGTCTTCTGTCATTCCCCAAAATAACAAGCACAAGCCCTGATATTCATATTCCCAGCATTCACCAGTTGCCCTTTTTTTTTTTTGAGATGGAGTTTCACTCTTGTCGCCCAGGCTACAGTGCAATGGCGTGATCTTGGCTCACTGCAACCTCCACCTCCCAGGTTCAAGCGATTCTCCAGCCTCAGCCTCTCGAGTAGCTGGGACTACAGGTGTGCACCACCATGCCTGACTAATTTTTGTATTTTTAGTAGAGATGGGGTTTTGCCATGTTGGCCAGGCTGGTCTCAAACTCCTGACCTCAGGTGATCCGCCAGCCTTGGCCTCCCCAGATCCTGGGGTTATAGGCGTAAGCCACCCTGCCCGGCCCAGCTGACTTTTATCTTGAGTGACAGTTTTAGAGAAAGGAGGAGGAGGAAATTAGTATATATGGCAGTAGTATGACATTTCATGATCTTAAAAATAGATTTCACCAACTGTAGAAGGTGTTCCCTAAACTAACTGCCTGTGTAGTCTTAATCTTCTCAACGTAACAACAGGTAGTCCATATTGTGGCAGGGTTGGGAGGTGGTGATGGAAAGGGGAGGTGTGAATTCCACAAGGTCTGAGACTGGGACAGGAAGTCTCCATTTTGGCAGTGCTGGTGGGGTAAGAAAGGGCTAATTAGAAGAAAATGCAGAAGCTGAAGTTGAAAGATCAGGCAAAGGCAAAATACTGGTCTAGTAGGAAGTCCAGATCATGGTCAAGTTGGATGGCTTCAGAGGGAGCTATTCAGATGGGCTCCAAAAGTGTCAGCGATCTTCTCTGATAAGCTACCCAAGCTCAGGGCAGGGATACTGATGCTCATTTTATGGTAAGAGCCAGCAAATGAGATGCACTGATTCCACGTTTGTGGATTCTAAACAGCATTTTGCCTTCCTTCTCTATAGTCCTCTTTGCAGCACTCCACGTTACCACCACGGGCATCCCAGATGTTCCTCCTTCATAAACACCTCTAGTTGTTCGCTTTCCCAACTCATCCCTTTTCCCAGCCTCAAGGAAGATAAATCAGTTTTGGGCATTAACTTCCATCCAGTGCACTGGGCTGAGGAATCAGCATGGCTGATTCTGCTATCACTTTCACGAAGCCTGGGGGCAAATGAGGGGAGTAGGGAGGGGTTGGGACCAGGGCACACACATATTGTGAATCTAGGAAGAATCTTAGGATTAAAGCTGTTGCATTTTCCACTTGTATTGAAGCCTTGGGGGTAATGGCTATCCCTTTACCACACTCTCCACCTGACTAAGCTCTCTTCAGCAGAACAATCAACCCAGGCTATGGCTGACTTCATCCAGGGAGACCTAAATTTTTCCATTTACTAGGACTTCTTGGACTTTTTTTTTTCTTTTAATAACCATATAGTCAGCTTTACCCACAATGCATCACCTCTTGTCATCCTCAGACACAACGTGAGACATAAGTTGCACTGACCAACTGAATCCTTCTAGTCTCATCCTCTCCTCTGAGATCTTCCTACTGCTTCTTTTACTATTAAGTCCTCTAGAATCCCTATGCTATGAAAAACACAATCCATACAATTTCACCCTGAACATCTCCACTTGGACACAATAGACATCTCAAACTTAACATATCAAAAACAGAACTCCTTTTTTTTTTCTTCTTTTTTTTTGATACAGGGTCTTACTCTGTCATCTAGGCTGGAGTGCAGTGGCGCAATCTCGGGTCACTGCAGCGTCCACTTCCCGGGCTCACGCGATTCTCTTGCCTCAGCCACTTCAGCAGCTGGGATTACAGGTGTGCACCACCATGCCCGGCTAACTATTGTATTTTTAGTAGAGATGGAGTCTTGCCATGTTGAGCAGGCTAGTCTCGGACTCCTCAAGCCATCTGCCCTCCTCAATCTCCCAAAGTGCTGGGATTACAGGCATGAGCCATTGTGCTGCCCTAGAATTCTTTATTCTATTCCAATCCTTTCCCCAATCTATTTCTGCTTCACTTGGCTTCCTATTATTGAACAGTTACACCATTCTTCCAGCTGCTCAGGCCAAAAACTTTGGAGTCATCTGTGCTATCTTTCTTATTTTCTAACCCACATCTAAGTCCTCAGCAAGTCCTGTTGACATTTCCTTGAAAAATACAGCTCAAGTTGAACTGCTTCTCATCACCTCCACAGCTACCCAGAGGAAGCTGACGTATGTTCTCCTAACTCAGCCCCACTTTTTCTGTTTTTGTTCACCTATGCTCTATTCTGTTCCCAGCTACTGAAATGATCCTTTTTTTTTGAGACAGAGTCTCGCTCTGTCGCCCAGTCTGGAGTGCAGTGGTGCAATCTTGGCTCACTGCAAGCTCCACCTCCCAGGTTCACGCCATTCTCCTGCCTCAGCCTCACGAGTAGCTGGGACTACAGGCACCTGCCACCATGCCAGGCTAATTTTTTGTATTTTTAGTAGAGACGGGGTTTCACTGTGTTAGCCAGGATGGTCTCGATCTCCTGACCTCGTGATCAGCCCACCTCAGCCTCCCAAAGTGCTGGGATTACAGGCGTGAGCCACTGCACCAGGCCGAAACAGAATTCAGAGCATCTTATTCTTCTGTTTTAAACCTCACAGCTTTCCATTTCACAATTAAAAATTTTTACACCCTTACTTTGATATATAAGGCCTGTCTAATCTGATTCCCAGCTATGTTTCTGACACATCTGTGTGATAATAAATGGGTAACACCTGGCTCCCCATATGCCATCCTGGCATGAATGTTGGTTGATATTTTCATACATGTTAACAAGTAAGACAAGAGTAAGAGAATAAAGGAGTGTGTTGGAATTTCCCCATGTGTCGACAACAAGAGGATGTTCTTTGCCAAACTGGATAACAGTTTTCAAATACTGGAAGAATATTTCCTCAATTTTTTGTGCTGTTCAAATGTAGCATGAAACTCTTCTACATTTAATCTGAATTATTAACATTTTCTCCACCTCTTCCTTAAGTCTAGGCAATCAACAAAAATTAAGGTATGCCTTGATTTGTACCATTTGTCCATTTCCATTGTGTAATTCTCCTACGGTGGCTGATTTCAAGCTAACAAGTCAACCACACTGAACTCGGAGCTGGGAAGAGATGCACAGGACTGAAGCATTATATAGTATTTCCACCTTACAGACACTCAGATATACATAACTTCAAGGGCATAGATAACAGTAAAAATGTAGCAAACTAATTAGGAAGTGGTGAGTTTTAGTTTTAATGTGATATGTTCAGTTATAAGTTTATATGATTTAATGTTTAAGAATGGCTGTGTTTAGCAACCGTCTGGCAAAATTCCTGAAAACTTAACAGTTGGCTCTGCAAACCAGTGTAGGCTGGCTCCTACATACCACTTACCACCGTTCACTGTGCCTCTGCTACCCTGTGCTCTTTGCTGTGCTTTGAACACACAGCACTTTCCCAACTCAGGGACTTTGCACTTTCTGTTCCCCATGCCTAGAATGCTCTACCTGCATGCCTTGCTCCTGTCTTCATACCTTTCATACCCTTCTCTGCTCAAGTATCACCTCCTCAGTAAGGTCATCTCCACCCATCCTGACTCCCCAACACCCGCCATCCCCTTCCCATGCTTCCACTGTTTCTCGTAGCACTGATTACTCCATGATGTTCTCTTATTTCCTTGTTTACATGTTTATTCCCTATCACACAAAAATAGAAGCCCCATAAGATTAGAGAGTTAGTTTTCACTGCAGCCCTAATGCCTAAAAGAGTTTCTGGCCTACCATAGAGATTCAACAGCTATCTGTCAAATGTTTTGGGACCAACTCAGTATTTTATTTATTTATTTATTTATTTTGAGGCAGAGTCTCATTCTGTCACCCAGGCTGGAGTGCAGTGGCATGATCTTGGCTCACTGCAACCTTCACCTCCCAGGTTTTAGCGATTCTTGTGCCTCAGCCTCCTGAGTAGCTGAGACCACAGGCGCCCACCACCATGCCCAGCTAATTTTTGTATTTTTAGTACAGACATGGTTTCATCATGTTGCCTAGGCTGGTCTTGAACTCCTGGCCTCAAGTGATCCACTCACCTTGGCCTCACAAAGTGCTGGGATTACAGGCATGAGCCACTGTGCCTGGCCAGGACTCAGTACTTCTTTCTCCTCCATGGCATAACTGAAATCTACCCTAGAGACCTTCACAGGTGGGATGCCATTCTTAGTCACAGAAGCCACTTGCACCAAAACCACTTACAGTGATAGAAATAAAACGGCTTCCAGGTTGGGAGATGGAGATAGTATTCTCCTCCCTTTCCCAAGTCTCTTCTGAACTCCTGCTTCTTTGAGAGTTAGGCCATTTCTCTCTGCCCCCCAGGGTCCACCACATCTTGTTTCCATAGGTCTGCTGGTCACTATCCCTCAAACACTGAAGGCTTTGCCTCCATATCTATGTGAATATCACCTTTTAAAAACAACAACCTCTAAGTTCCCTTGGATAGTACGAGCATCCAACTTAATGTCTCATATATACTAAACACTTGATAGATGTTTCTTAAGTAATTGAATTAATGACTTGTGACCAGTTCTCATCTTGCGAGTGAGCTAGTCATTCATGAATCAGACCAGGAGACCTTCTGGCTGGTGATTATACCAGCTAAGAATTATCTTCTGGACTGTGTAAGAGTAGGAAACAGCCACATTTATCTGTCAGAGGCATTTACCTGACACATGAGTTAAACAAAGTTTGTGTCTTTATAAGATTTTCAAGATTTTCAACCTAATATGAACTAAACACCCAAATAAACACAATAGTTCAATTCTGATTTTCCTGGTCCCCTGACTTTGTGTTTGTTTTTATGGTGCCAAAGAAGAATGTAGTCCTAAGTCAGTTTCTCAATATCCTTCTTTTTCATTCTGAAACTTGTCACACAATGATGAGCAGTCACTCTAGGATTCTGGTTTCATGCCTCTGACCTGGCATTTTTGGTTTGTTTGTTTTTTTCCTAAATTCAAATAGTCTCACTTGGCATTTGGAAGACTGACCCAAATGTCTCAGCATTCCCCAGGCAATAAAGATTTAAGTTAATTAAAAAACTCAAATAGAGCTGGTCTCCAAAAAAATAAAGCACCTAAGAATGCCAACAGGCAGTCATTTATGTTTTTATTACTACAGAGCTTTGCAAAATGTTTGACATTTTAATGCATTGAGTTAGCCAGTCACTAACACCTCCCCGAAAAAACACCTAGAGTAATGCCTGGCAATTAGTAGGCTTTTGATATTTTTGTTTGTTTATTTAGGTGGTGAACATAGGTTTGCAATCATTCTGCTCAACAGGAGCGGCACTGAAGACATAGAAAATGTGGTTTAATCTTTTTAGTTGTAGCAAAACAAAAATAAGAACCCCAAAATACAAACGCCTGTAAAAAGATGTGAAGAATCTTAGGGAGTATATTGACATTCTCAATGGAAAGTAGAGAAAATTAATTTGCACAGCTAGCAAGGGAAATCTAGATGGGATGAAAGAGATCTTGCCCAGAGAGAAAAGGAACAAAAGCAGAGGGGTCTCACCTTTTCATGGTGATAGGAGAAACACACTCCTTCCCAGAACAGGGGTGAGCACCAGCCTCTGTGGATACCTTCTGGGGCCAGAGCAGCACAGAGGAGACAAGGAATGCTGGGGATGAGGGGAAGGCAGGGTGGGTCCATTGTGCATCTCCTATGAAAGCAGCCTCAGCTTAAGGATATGGCAATCCACTGCCCTGAGTCAGTCTGGGATGATGGTGCCGGCCAGGCAACATCAACAGATGAGAAGGCAGGCTGAAGTGAAGGAGCAGTGGCCCAGCCTCAAGGCAAAAAGAGACTTGGTTCAGGTGCAACCTCTAGGAAAGATAGGCCACTAGATAATGAGTCATATTCACAGGGAAGGAGCCACGGAGAACACAAGAACTGGAGGCCTGGGTGAGTGGCAAGTTAACAATCAATAGCAGGAAGGAAATTTCTCGAGTCTCCATGGGTGCCTGACATAAGGTGGAATGACTTGAGGATTGTCTTAATCAGCTCCTGCTGCCATAACAAAATACCATAGACTGGGTGACTTGAATAATAAATGTTTATTTCTCATAGTTTTGGAGGCTGAAAGTTCAAGACCGAGAGGCCAATAGATTTGGTTCCTGGTGAGGGCTCTTTCCCTGGCTTGCAGATGGCCATCTTCTTGTTGTGAGTGCTGTGGGCTCCCATGGCAGACAGAAAACTATGGTGTATCTTCCTGCTTTTTATAAGGACACAAATTTCATCCTGGGACACCCAGTTTAATGAATTCATCTAAACCTAATCACCTCCCAAAGGCCCCATGTCCAAATACCATCACATTGGGGGTTAGAGCTTCAACATATAAATTTTGGGGGGACATAAACATTCAGTTCATAGCTGGGATTAAAGGAAGGAATTTGAATTCCCCTAGGTGAGTGATATGGTTTGGCTGTATCCCCACCCAAATCTCATCTTGAATTGTAGCTCCCAGAATTCCCATGTGTTATGGGAGGGGCCTGGTGGGAGATAATTGAATCATGGGGGCTGTTTCCCCTATACTGTTCTTGTGATGAATAAGTTTCATGAGATCTGATGGCTTTATAAGGGGAAACCCCTTTCACTTGGCTCTCATTCTGTCTAGCTGCCGCCATGTAAGAAGTACTTTTCGCCTTCACCCATGATTGTGAGGCCTCCCCAGCCATGTGGAACTGCGAGTCCATTAAACTTCTTTTTCTTTATAAATTACACAGTCTCGGTATGTCTTTATCAGCAGCATGACAACAGACTAATAGAGTAAGGATTCAGAGACAGGGGTATTCTAATTTCCTAAGTGACATGTCCTACAGTCCCTCTTGATTTTCCCTGTGGATGGCTCCGGGTGTCAGCTGATGTGCCCTTTTGACCTGCATGTCCCCTTCAACTGCAGGCAAAGCACTGAATCCCCCAGGATAGCTTGGCACTGAAGAGGGATGGTGTTGGAGTGGACATTCACTCATGCATCCTCCACTGTTTATGTGTCAGGTACCTGTATTAGTCTGTTCTCACACTGCTATAAAGAAGTACCTGAGACTGAGTAATTTATAAAGAAAAGAGGTTTAATTGGCTCACAGTACAGGCTGTACAGGAAGCATGGCTGGGGAGACCTCAGGAAACTTACAATCATGATGGAAGGTGAAGGGGAAGTAGACACATCTTCACGTGGCCAGAGCAGGAGGAAGTGTGGGGGACACTTTTAAATAACCAGATCTCATGAGAACTCTATCACGAGAATAGCACCAAAGGGATGGTGCTAGACCGTTTATGAAGGATCCACCCCCATGATCAAATTACCTCCCACCAGGCCTCACCTTCAACATTGAGAATTACAATTGAACATGAGATTTAGGTGGAGACACAGATCCAAGCCATATCAGTAGCCTTCAAGCTTATGGTGATACAGATGCAAACAAAAGAGGCCTAGTTCCTGCTCTCATGAAGCTTACACTCTAGAGAAGAAAAAGAAAATAGGCAAGTCAATTTATGTACGAACAAATGTTGAGGAACAACACACACTGTCAAGAAGCTAAAACTGGATGATCTGAGAGAGCGATTGGGTCGGAGTTGGGGGTGGCCTTTAGATTAGTAGTGAAGGACAGACTCAGACTCAGCGGAGGTAGTGCTTGAACTGAACCTACATAACAGAAGGATTCTGGTGGGTAAAGATCTAGAGGCAGGGTATTCCAGGCAAAGGGTACAAAGCATTTTGTAGCAGGGCAAGTCAAAGGTTTTGAGAAACAGAGAGAAGGTTAGTGTGGCTGGAGTCCAGTGCATGACAGTAGAAGCCAGGTTAAGTAGAGCCTTTAAATCCACCCATTTCTCACCATCTGCTATGAACTGAATGTGTGTGTCTCCCCAAAATTCCTATGTTGAAGCCCTAACTTCCAATGTGATGGTATTTGGAGAAGAGGCCATTAGAAGGTAATTGGAGTTAGATGAGGTCATGAAGATAGCGGCCTCATGATGGAATTAGTGTCCTTATAAGAAGAGATGCCAGAGAATTGAAACGCTCTCTCTCTTCACCATGTAAGGACACAGAGAGATGTAAGCTGTCTGCAAACCAGGAAGAGAGTCCTCACCAGATACTGAATCTGCCAGTTCCTTAATCTTGGACTTCCCAGCCTCCAGAATTGTTAGAAATCGATGTCTGTGGTCTAAGTCATTCAGTCTATGCTATGTTGTTATGGCAGCCTGAGCCGAATAAAATACAATCTGAGTAACCTTGGGCAAATTAGAGGCTAAGCCTTGGTTGTCTCCCCTGGGAAATGGAAATGTATGTGTCCACATCATGGTTTATTGGGATAATTAAATGAAATTATGCATTTAGAGTGTCAAATTCAATACCTGAGATATACTAAATACTAAACAATTCTGATATGATTAACAAATTCTGCAGGAATAAATGTCATTGATGACAACAATCACTGAAACTTTCTGAGGAGTTGTTGGGTTGTGTCTCAGCAAAATCATTCCTGGTGGTATCCCACAGAGCAGAGGGAAGATACTGCACGAGTCATGAAGTCATTGAGATACAGACCACACTATGGCTTTGGCAATGGGTCTGCACATGAAGTGCCAAGAATTACTCTGGAAAAGGAACAAATAGAATGATGATTTATTAAAAATGATTGTATGAGAAAGTTATCTGAAAAAAAGGACAGAGTTCAGAAAAAAAGATTTGTATGCTTTTCATTGCCTTTTACCGATTTGAATCTGACACTCAATCACAAGAAGTGGTAATTGCCGATCTGTTTGTTTCACTTAATCAGTGATTTGAGTTTACACCTAGTGGAAGAAAAATAGAAGTTCTTAGCGTTATATGGGGAGAGGTAAGCAGTCTAGTATAGGAACAAAGACATCACTTAGCAACAAAATTTCTACATACACTCGTGGATTCTCCTTTTTATAGTTCATAGTCCTGTATTGTAAGGAGGAAATAATCATGGCAATATTTCTAGAATAATATACTCTGCTGTTTAGACGTTCATCCAAAACAAAAAATCTTTTATGGGCTCTGCAATGTACCCAGCAGAGGTACCTTGCAATGTGTCTCTCCAAGAGGCAATCAGGCTCAGAATGAGGTCCCTGTCCTCAGGGCAGCAACTGCAGAAGGGCTTCTTATAGCAGCACACCCGAGGAGATGCAACTCCATCCTTATCCAGGGTTAAGCACAGGCCACTCAAGATAGCAATCAAGACTCCCCTTACCAATGATGTGGCGGGCAAATTATCCAGACTGACTCTCTTGCTGAAACCAAGGAAAAACCCTGAGTAGCATGAGAGCAATGCTTCTTCTGATAGTGTTGATGCCCTAGCAGGAAAGAGGCTGTGGTCTAAAATTTAAGTAAAGGTACCTACATAGATAGGCACACAGAGGACTGAGACGACCTTGGTTCGAAGGTTCTTTGCTGAACAAGATGGCCTTGGGATTTGATTTTCATGAACACACAGGCATGGGGGACTGGGACAAAATCCTTCAGCCATAAAACTGGGATTTCAAAGGGCACATCCGTGATGTGAAGATGAACCAGATGTAAGTCCATCAGTATGAGTACATGGAGGCAGTCCAGAGTGGAATATGGCTCAGATTCACGGATTGTCCAAGTTCCTATATCTGGTTGTTCTGCCATCACTAGAGTGGCACTTTTTGCACATTCCAGGATGTCATCACAAACATATTAAGTGGCAAGCGGGGGGATGAAGAGAGGAAAGGGTCTGCTCTTTAAGAACAAGACTAAGAGCTTGCACACATCACTTTCACTTACATTCCATTAGCCAGATCTTAGCACAAAGTGTTGAGAAACGCAGCTTTTTTCTGGAGGAGCATGGACCTTACTAAAAATTAGGGCTTTTACTTCTTTTTTAAAGAACATAAGTGTGAATATTGGAAAATACCTCTCTCAGACACATTATGAACCAAAATAAATTCCAATAAATTAAAATTCTGCTGTAGCTGGGTGCGGTGGCTCATGCCTGTAATCTCAGCACTTTGGTAGGCTAAGGCGGGTGGATCACTTGAGGTCAGGAGTTCAGCCTGGCCAACATGGAGAAACCCCATCTCTACTAAAGACGAGACCAGCCTGGCCAACGTGGAGAAACCGGAGAAACCCCGTCTCTACTGAAAATACAAAAATCAGCCTGGTGTGGTGGTGGGTGCCTGTAATCCCAGCTACTCGGGAGGCTGAGGCAGGAGAATGGTTTGACCCCGGGAGGTGGAGGTTGCAGTCAGCCAAGATCGTGCCACTGCACTCCAGCCTGGGTGACAAGCTGGGACTCAGTCTCAAAAAAAAAAAAAAAAAAAAAAAAAAAATGGAGCCAAAGCAATGCTGTGCATGAGACCCCTGAGACTTAGCAAAGGACTGAGGTATGTGCTTACTATACTTGGGAAGGAAAAACACACAATTAACAGCAATAGATACTATTTGCTGGTTATTGGAAGATGGTACATGTTGTTCTCAGGCATGCTAGTTATTTGAACATGAAGTCAGATATGATAAAAGATGAGGATATAAGAGTAGCCTCTATTTCTTAAGTATTTCCATTATTGAAGAACCCTGGTGTTGTGGAACCTTTAAAGGAGTGGTCATTTAAAATCATTTCTCTTTACCATAGAGAAGTCTTTTACATATACACACACTCACGTATGTATGTCACAGTGTTTTAGTGGTTGCATGTCAGACTTACTTTGCACATCTAGTTTTCCTGGCACTGCTGTTAAAATGAGTTTGCTTTTCCCCAACACAGCCCACTCATGGCATCTGCCAGGTGCCTGAATGAAGATAGATGACACAGATAATCGCTAGTAAATTGTTAGTCATACTCAGTACAGCCAGTCCCCAAGTTTTGTATCCCTGACTCACTTATTCCTGCACTGAGCCTCTGAGGGAAGCACAGAGGGGCCCCTCCAGGTAAATGTACACACCTTGTTACTTAGGCTCCTACCTGAACCTGGGATCTGATCTCTTGCTCTGGTGAATCTGGCTGAATAGTTTGGAAGTCATGGCTTTTGCTACTCCCTAGAGACAAGGAAGGTCCAGACAAATGTCGAAGCAGCCCTGTCTTCTGTTCTCTTGGTCCACCTGGTCTAGCTGGTCCTCTACATCATCCTTACCAAAGATGGGGACACCTAAGAGCTGGTGAGTCCTTGACCAGAGTGTGCTAAGGACACTCCTGCATGCTCCCATCCCCAAGCCTCATATTAGGGCTCCTTGGCTGTCAAAGAATGAGACAGTCCCAAACGAAGGACACTCAAATCTCCATTTCACCACATCTGCCTCATGAAGGAAAAAAAAATCACATCAGAGAATAAAACCAAGAATTGAAAGAGAATTACAATCTCCTTTGTCCCTCTACCAAAACTTTGATGGCTTCTGGTACTTGGGTAGTATTGTATATCTTTGAGGTTTCTATTTTGTCTTCAACGTGTGTTAGCGCCTCGTGTTGAAGACTTGAACTTCTAGAACAGGAATGCTTAACTCATTCCCAACCTGCAACCCATGTGGGAATCTGACAAAAACCATGGACTCTTTCCTCCAAAAAAAGACACACACACACACACACACACAGATTTTTAGTGCAATTCTAGAGGTTTCACAGGTTCCCTGAAAACCACCCATGAACATTCTATTACAATACTCATGTTATAGTCAGGTTGTATATGTTAAGAGTCTTGACCAAGCCACTGAACAACCTGTAATTGAATGAGTCATTTAATCGCTCCTGATTTGATTTGGGGTCTCTGCGAACATACAGGGATGGCCTTTTCTCCTTTTATATCTGTGGCCATATAATTTCTTCTTCTTCATTTTTATTTATTTATTTATCTTGCTATCAAAGAGGTTACTGCTTTGAAACAAGAAACAAGAGATTTCTTCTTTAAAAAATTATTTTGGAGCAAATGGGTTAGAACCAGTTTAGAGTAGCCCATGCCCTCCACAATGCTGGAGGGGAATGTAGCTGACAGATGGATAATTTTGGGTGGCCGCTGGCAGCAGATAATTCTCAGCAGACATAAACCCACTAGCAACCCCTCCTCAGAAAATCACCCGATGTTAGTCATAAACACAAGGCCGGGTTCTCTTGATTTTTTTCACCGTAGTGACAAGGAGACCAAGCAATCTACATCATTTTAATTTATTAAAGCGCCTCAGGGGAAGGGGTTGGTCTCGCTAACTGCACTGCAGGAAGACGTAATGGCCAAGCCCTCCCAGCAGTTGGCTGTGATCCATATTGACTTGGTAATAATCTGCTTCATGCAGCTGGCTGGAATAGATTAGAATGGCGAGCACGGACTGATTAATCAAGGAGACAGACACAGGCCACCCTATTAGGGCATCCTTCGGGACCGCCAGAGTCACATCTGTCATCCTGAATCCTGTTGTGCTCAGGGCTGCTTTATTTGCAGGTTAATTTATGTTTCCAAGGTGGCGTTTGACACAGCTAGAGAGACCTTATCTCACCGCTACAGACCTGCATTTCTCGATAAGGCACCTGATTGATTTAGGTATTCCAGGAGTCGGGGATCTGTGTTCTCTTCACCCATTTTGCGATAGAAAAGGAATGTGAATGTATTACCTGTGTCCTCCTGCCTGGAGTTTATCTGGCATGAGTATTGGCATATACAGAGGAGTTAGTTCACATTTTAAAAATGCAAATTCCAACAGTACTCATGGAGTCAGCGTTGATGAAGGCCATGAAAACTGACCAGTCACCTAGCCTAACAGCAAGAAAGATTATGGAGGGACACAAATCTAGAAAAGATAATAGAAATAATAATCCACAGAGTACAAACCCAATACATAAAGATACCACGTGAAAAGTTGCTGAAATTCACCAGTGGTAAGAGAAATGCAAATTAAAAGAATATTAAGATATCACCTTATACCCATCAAGCTGGCAACAGAACATCAAAAAGGGTTATAATATCTGTTGCTGGTGAGGATTTGGACAAAAGAATGTATTTTCCTCATGCCATTGCAGATGTAGTGTTATAGCCTTTTTGGAAAGTAATCTGGCCCCTGCTTATTCCAATTATAATTACCTATATCCTTTGACCCAACAGCCCCGCTTTGGGGGTTTATTTCATAAAAACATAATATATAAGAATGCTTACTGCGTGGTAGTGATGAAAAGCTGGAAACGACGTTAATCTATTGGTAAGAAAATGACTGAAAACAGGACTACATGGCACTAACAGCATATTTTGCAGTTGATAAAAAGAAGCATTTAGAACAGTGCCAGCTAATTTGGAGATAATTCCAGTTATTGATGAGAGAAAGGCAAACAGTAAAGTGTGTATCGTCTAATCCCATTTTTTGTAAAGCAAATGATGACAGGCACCCCACATATGTTTCTGTGTGGGTGTGTATATGACTCTATATATTTATGTGTGCATGGGGAAAAAACTATGGATAGAATCACATTTGTTATAAAAAATGCTTTAAAAAGCTTATTTGGTATAATCATATTAATGGATTTATGCAAAGGTACTTCTGTGAGTACACATATGAAAGTATTTATGCAAAAGTACTTATATGTTTAAACATGTAACTTAAAAATTTCTAATAAGGACAGGGACATGAAGAACATTCCTATTGCAAATGTCTCAAGGAAAACCACACTCAATAATAAAATATAATAACCAATTTGAGAGTGAGCTCTCCTGAAAGCAGATGGAAGCCAGAAAACCTGGGAGGTTCTAGGACATTTGCTGACATATTTAAATCTGATCGCATTACCTCCATCAGTTGATACCTTCATTGGCTCTTCATTATTCAAAAGAAGGAGTTCAGGTTTCTTAATATCACTTACCACTTTGAATAAGATGCTAGTCTCACTTTCCTCATCTCCCAACATACCAAATTTCTCACTGTTCCCTGAACAGATTTTACTCTCAAAACTCTCCCCTCCCTCCCAACATGAAAAAAACCTGTGTCCCTCAAGAGCCACATGAAATGTGGCCATCTGTACGAAGTCACCCGTGGGTTCCAGGCCTTATACTATGTGCATTTTAAATGCTGCTAACGTTTTAGAGTCTCTCTATTCTTTTAAGGGATAAGTCCATGAACAATACAGGTTTGTACTGCAGCGTCCACTTAGATACAGCTTTTTTTTTTTCAACCAAACACAGATGGAAAGTATCATATTGAAGGAATGTGCAACCTGAGTATGAAGAGGGCCGACTTCTCCTGTCCATGAGTTCTGCAAAGCCTAGTGCAGAACTTGGTATGTGCAGATTTAGGCATGCAAGGGCATTCCCAGAACCAGTGCCCTGCATATATGGACAGATGACTGCAATACATTATGAATGTCTTGGAAAAATATATAGGCCAATAGTGATAAACATTTTTAATCTTTTGCCTGGTATCTTTTTTTTTTTTTCTGAAATGGAGTCTCACTGTGTTGCCCAGGCTGGAGTGCAGTGGCGCGATCTTGGCTCATTGCAACCTCCGCCTCCCAGGTTCAAGCAATTCTCCTGCCTCAGCCTCCCAGGTAGCTGGGACTACAGAAGCATGCCACCACACCTGGCTAATTTTTTATTTTTAGTAGGGATGGGGTTTCTCCATGTTGGCCAGGCTGGTCTCGAACTCCTGACCTCAGGTGATCCACCCTCCTCAGCCTCCCAAAGTGCTGGGATTACAGGCGTGAGCCACCATGCCTACCCAGGTACCTTTTTTTTAATCCATGCATAGGCTTCTCAGAAAGTGGGATTATGTTCTAAGACCCCCAGTGAAACCTGAAACCATGGATAGTACCAAACTCCATATATACTATGTACAAATTAATTTTTCCTTCTACACAATTTCACAGATAGAATATTTGTTCTTATTATAGATCTTACAATCTCAGTTACAATTTTTTTTCTTTCCTTATTAAGTGGAGAAATTTTACCTTTTCACTTAAAGGAAGCACTTTATAGCTTGTCTTTGGCATATCTGAATTGCCAGCATCACTACTCTTTCACTTTGTGGACTTTATTAAGCATAATAAGGGTGCCTTAAAAATAAGCTCTGTGATACCTTGACAGTCAGTCTGATAACCTACACGACTGCTAAGTGACTAAAGGTGCATACACTGTAGACAGTGTGGTCACACTAGACAAAGGGATGATTCATTTCCTGGGTAAGAGGAAGCAGGATGGCCGAGACGTCATTATGCTACTCAGAATAGCTACCAATTTATAACTTAGGAATTGTTACAAATTTCTGGAAAAAAATTGTTGAAATT
This sequence comes from Homo sapiens, assembly GCF_000001405.40. Classification (NCBI taxonomy): domain Eukaryota; kingdom Metazoa; phylum Chordata; class Mammalia; order Primates; family Hominidae; genus Homo; species Homo sapiens. The sequence continues at coordinate 27,033,452 of NC_000008.11, read as the reverse complement.
TCTGGAATTTTCTATTTAATATGGACTGACATTGACCTCGGGTAACTGAAACCACCAAAATAAAAACTTTGGATAAGGGAGGGCTACTGTATACATATATCTTTGTAATTTTTTCACTCAGTTATGTACATTGAACATATTTCTTTACATCAAATATTTCTTTACAGCATAATATTTAATGACTATATAGTATTCCATTGTAGAGGTAAATTAACTCTACATAAAACATAAAATTATGTTTTATGTAAAGTTCTAAATAAACTTCCCCTCAATTCATATTAACCTACCCCTTTATTTGCATGCAATTGAAAGTGGGTATAAATATAATTGCAAGGAGCAGGACCATCCAATAAAAGATTGCTGTAGGCCAGCCTGGTGGCTCACGCCTATAATCCCAGCACTTTGAGAGGCCGAGCTGAGTTGATCACTTGAGGTCCAGAGTTCGAGACAGGCCTGGCCAACATGGTGAAACCCCATCTCTACTAAAAATACAAAAATTAGCTGGGTGTGGTGGTGCATGCCTATAATCCCAGCTACCCAGGAGGCTGAGGCCAGAGGATCACTTGAACCTGGGAGGTGGAGGAGATCATGCCACTGTGCTTCAGCCTGGGTGATAGAGCAAGATTGTCTCAAAAAAAAAAAAAAAAAAAAAGGATTGCTGTCCAACACTCTTGGCTTATTCTTGAATTCTTTCCTGGGCAAAGCCAAGAACCCTCCCTGACTAAGACACAATGTTGGGGCTCCTCTATGCTGCATCACTTGCAAGCCTCCTTTACTGGCTAAATATAAGTTCATATCTAAATGAGCTGGTAGCTAAATCTGTGCTACCAGCCCCTGGGACAGTTACATGGTTGAACCCCTCAGTGCTCACCAGATCACACTGGCTCTTCCTCCTAATTCCAATCCATCCACTTCACTCCCTCGCCCTTGCCACAAGTCTTGCTCCACCCAGCCATTGCCATACTTGGCCAAATGACCATGTGGCCTCCAGCTAATCTGCCCAATCCATTCTCTGCAGGGCAGCCGGGTGATTTTCTAAAAGACGCATCTAATCATATCACCCTTCTGCATCACTTAGGATAAAATCCAAAATTCTTCATGTGGTTGGCAAGGGCCTGCGTGATTTTTTTCTCACCTGCTTCTTAGCTTAATATGCCTTACCTCTCTTCCCTGTTTTCTAAGCTCCAGCAGTTTTGTCTTTCTCTTTTCTTTTCTTTTCTTTTCTAGTTGTCAGACATGCCAAGTTCCTTTCCACCTCCCAGGCTTCATATGCATATCCTCTACCTGAAACACTCTTCCTGCTGCCCTCCTCCCCTCCATAACGCCCACTCCGATGTGTGGTCTCAATCAACATGGCTCTTCCTTAGAAACACCCTCCCTCAAACTTCGTCAGTTAGATACTCCTATATAGCTTCTTGGCACCCTGTGCTTTCATTTTATGACACTTAGCAAAATGGTCACTGATTCATTGTGCGACTATTTATTTACATCTACATCATAAATTCCATGAGTGCAAAGACTCTCTCATTCTTTCCTTCCACCAGATGTTCCCAATACGTAACTCAATGCCTGGCACATAGTAGGCTGTCAATAAATATTTGCAAAGTGACTTAAGGGGCTGAAAATCTGTAAGTGGGGTAATGAATGCACAAAGCTATCTACTCTAAATTTACCCCTAGCATGAACACACAGTCAAGGCCTTCTCTAAGATTGAAAGACAATTTTAATGAGTTTAAAAATATTAAACTGTATCTGAAGTTTAATTTTCTTTTAGTTTATTTTACTCTGCAGCAAAGTAAAGGCCATTGAAAAAAGTATAGCTTTTCCACAATGTATATATTATTCTCTAAGTGATAAAAAAAGTATAGCTATAGATTTAGAAAGCAATATTTTATTGTGAGATATTATTTATATAGTGCTCTAAATCAGACATTTTACTTCTTTAAGACCAATTGCAAAGCTTGCAAACATCTAGTGGAAGCTTGAAATATTAGCAGTTGTTTCATTAGTCACTTAAAACCATTCTAGTCAGCCTAAATGCCAGTTGCTTTGCCCAACAAATAAGAAAGTAATGTCTCTTCCTACTGAAAATCATGGCTACAAATTTTAAAATTATTTCACAGTGTGTGGACAGCCAAGTTATGCTGCAGATATATGACTATGAAGACACAGGGTGCCTTAAACTATTCTCAAAACAAAGCACATTAAATCAGCTTCTGGATCTTTCTTGTGCTGTTTTGCTCCTGGCTCCTATTTCGAGCCTTACAAGGCTCTATCCCACACTGCTTGGATATTATGAAACCATTCTGTGAAACTGCAGGCCTTCTAACTCTTTATGGTGGCTGGACTCAATGGAAGGTCAATGGATTTACTTTGCATTTAAGTAAATAACATATCAAGTGGTGTATTAGTTTGTTTTCACACTGCTGATAAAGACATAGCCAAGACTGGGAAGAAAAAGAGGTTTAATGGACTTACAGTTCCACATGGCTGAAGAGTCCTCACAATCATGGTGGAAGGCAAGGAGGAGCAAGTCACATCTTACATGGATGGCAGCAAGCAAAGAGAGAGCTTGCACAGAGAAACTCCCCTTTAAAAACACATCAGCTCTTGTCAGACTTATTGACTATCACAAGAACAGCACAGGAAAGACCTGCCACAATAATTCAATTACCTCCCACCGGGTCCCTCCCACAACACATGGAAATTCAAGAAGAGATTTGGGTGGGGACACAGACAAACCATATTGAGTGGCCTTCTGTAAATCAAAATGTGATTCCTGCAATGACTCTGATCTTTTTCCAAAAATAAATAGGTTTAATGAGCTTTTAGTAAGAACATTGCTAAACTCTCAAACATAGCAACTATTCCAGCCCTTACCTTAGTGTGTCTGCATTCTCCCCTTTCTTTGGTTGTAATTTTGTATTTTTTCCTTTATTAAGTGTTATATTTATATCTTTAGCTTAAAAAGGCCTTAAGGTCTTTTTTTGGGAAAAAGTTAAATATAATCAATATAATATATTAAATTGTTTATCTTTTTTTTTAATTTTTGGAGACAGGGTCTTGCTTTGTTGCCCAGGCTGGAGTGCAGTGGCACAATCATAATCTTTGCTTTGTAGTGAGACTGCAGCTGCAAATTATCAGGCTTAAATGATCCTCCTACCTCAGCCTCCCAACTAGCTCGGACCACAGGCATGTACCACCACTCCCTGCTATTTTATTTTTAATTTAATTTTTTTGTAGAGGTAGGGTCTTGCTATGTTGCCCAGGCTGGTCTTAAACTCCTGGCCTCAAGTGATCCTCCTGCCTCAGTCTCCAAAAGTACTGGGATTACAGATGTAAGCCACAACACCCAGCCCTTAAAATGTTTGTTTTATGCTTGTACAGTATAATACTCTATGTGAGTTTTAAAAACACAAAAATAATGCTAAATGACACTTACAGAGGTATGCATATGAAATAAAGGTATAAGAATTCACATGAGAATGACACCATCTTTAGGATAGGAGAGACCTCCTGGAAAATAAAGAGTGGACCAATGGGCTAGTGATATTTAGCTTTAAAATTTGGAACATTCTAACGTTATACAAAAAGTGGTATTTGCAACACTGCAACCAAACATGTAGCCCAGTTTGGAAATGCTCTAGAGGTGAAAGTGAAATTGATAGAGTTGATTAATTAACTTAAAGATTGTCTAAAACCCCTGGAAACATCAGAAGATGGTAGGTGGGTGTGGGAGGGAATTGCAGTCCAGATTGAAAGAGGGCCAGGAGAGGGAGAAGGAGAGACAGAGATCTCAGTTGCATTATTTTCTTTCCCCAAATTAACCCAAGCAGAAAAGTCCAATCACCACTTGGAAGAAGAAAACCCTAATTACAAGCCTAGTGCTGGAGCCAGGAACAGGTGGCATCCAAGTGGAGCCTGACCCCAGCAGGTGTAAAAGAACAGGTTGCACATGTACCTCCCAAGGGAATTGACACCCTCTGGTAACATACACTTAGAGAGAAATATATCGAATGCCCAAAATTTAGCTGGAGAACCAACACGAGGCCAAGCACAAATCATCAATTTAAAGTAAACAAAAGAAATATTTTTCAAGAAGATATAGGTTGAGCATACCTAATTCAAAAATCTGAAATTCAAAATCCTTCAAAATCCGAAAGTTTTTAAGCATGAACACATGTCATAAGTAGAAAGTTTTACATCTGACATGTTTGCTTTCCAATGGTTTAGTGTACACAAACTTTGTTTCATGCACAAAATTATTCAAACTACTATATAAAATTATTTTTGAGGCTGTGTGTATAAGGTGTATATAAAACATAAACAATGTGTTTAGACTTGAGTCCCATCTCCAAGATATCTCATTATGTATACGCAAATATTTCAAAATTTGAAAAAATCCAAAATCTAAAACACTTCTTGTCCCAAGCATTTTGGATAAGGGATAATCAACTGGTTTTGGCAATTTAATGCAAGAACAAAGATTTATGAGGAAAAAGCAATGGGACGTTATCACTACGATAAGAAACTCAGGAGATACATTGAATATTAGAATGGATATAGCCAAAGATGAGCTAGCAAACTGAAAAAAACATGTAAAGGAATCCTTCTGGGAAACAATCAAGTATGTATTAAAAAGACCAAAATATAAAAGACATGTTAATAGGAAGAATAGAAGAAGCTTCAGAAGAAAATACAGTAAATGAAGAGGAGGCCAGGCACGGTGGCTCACACCTGTAATCCCAGCATTTTGGGAGGCCGAGGCAGGAGAATCACTGAGCCTATGAGTTTGAGACCAGCCTGGGCAACGTGGCAAAACCCCATCTCCACAAAAAATACAAAAATTAGTCAGGCATCGTGGTGTGTGCCTGTATTCCCAGCTACCTGAGAGGCTGAGGTGGGAGAATCGCTTAAGCCTAGGAGCTCAAGGCCGCAGTTGAGCCATGATCATGCCACTGTACTCCAGCCTGGGTGACAGAGTGAGACCCTGTCTTAAATAAACAAATGAATAGATAGATAAATAAATAAATGAATAAAGGGGAGAAAATATTTAAAGAAATAATGATTGAGAATTTTTTATTATAAAAGAAAGATCATGGAATGTGAAAGTAAGAGAATAGATAAGAAAAACCCACACTTTGCTAAATTTAAGACCATCAAAGTAAAAGAAGAGCTTCCTGAGAAAAAGAAACAAAAATCAAATTGATGTTAGACTTTTCACCAATGATATTGGATGACACTAGGCTAATATTTTTCAACATGCTGATGGAAAAAGTAAATTTGAACCTAGAATATTTTCATCCAGTTGAGCTTTTGTTTAAGTGCAATAAAAACATTCTCAAGTATACAATTGCCTCAGAAGGATGAACACACGGAATCTCTTTGAAATCACTCTTGGATGAAATATTCCAGCAAAAAAGAACGCATCCAGGAGGCACAAAGAAATCTACTGTATACAGGAAGTAAAGAAGAGTAAATAACCGAAGACTATTGGTGGTTTTCTAAATGAGTGTTGGCATACCAGATGAAGGCCAAGGTAGAATAATTTGGATAAGAATTGAAAATTACTAGAATGGCAAGAATCAGAAATGTTGCATTTCTATACTTTCAAAATACTTTTGTATTTTTGTCATGTATTTTCGTCAGGTTCATGATTCCCAAAACTTGAGTGGATTACATTGACTTGAAAGTGAGAATTCAATGGACAGGTGGATGCAAAAAAAGGGAAGAACAATGTGGGCTGGTGGCTGTGATTTAGTTTTAAAATGTGTACCACTTTGATAATTTGTAGATTTGTAAATCTAGAGAATAACTTTACACTTTCGCTGAAAACCATCACGTCAGGGGCCACAGTAGCTGGAATTGACATCGGCTATAGATGCCTGACTTACTTTCTCCCTTGCCTAAATTCTGAGCATAGTAAGTGCTGAAGAAACCTCCCAGTATTTCATCTTAACCCATTAGTATAAAGTAAAGGTTTGCATTGTAGAATTATCAATTTCCTCTGTGAGGATCATTCCTTAGAACATTGCAAGCTATCATCACACCTGATGATCAGATTTAATCACGTTTCAAACACAAGACATCAGTCCTAAGGTGAAAATGTCACACAGGCAGGGTCATCATAATATGGCTTCATCCTTCAGTTCTAAATTTTACGAGATAGGGGTGCCATTGGATATTTTTCTTCAAGCCAGAAAAATAATACATTTGTGCTATGTATTTATAATAAGCTTTCTGATGCCACAGAGAAATGCAACATGTAGTTTTAGTCCACTACACTGAAACAGAATATTTACATTGTCTATATAAGAGTTATTTTTTTAACTTCCAAAGTATTTTGAGGTTCAAGCCCATACTTACATTCTATTAACTATCATTTTAGACTATAGTTTATTACCTAAAAAAGAAACCCATACTTCATACGGAATACCTAGAAAATACAAGACTGGAAAAAAGCAAAAGTTAATGCTAACCATTCAACATTTTTCTTGATTCCCTTGAATTTTTTCATTAGTGCTGTCATTGAAAGCAATATTAAGTAGTGTAAGACTAGAGCTAAGATTCAGATTCTCTTCAGCAAATTTCTAGCCCAACACCTACTTCTGAGATCTTGGATGTGCCATCTGACTTCTCTAAGTCTTGGAGAGTTTATCTTTCAGAGGGTAATGATTATAATGTTACCTGCCTCATTAAATTGATGTGTGGATGAAGTGAGAAGAGGCAGTGAAGCATTTAACTCCATGTCTGGTGCTTAGAAATGTTCAGTTAATGCTTATTAACATTAATACAATTATTACTTAAACATAGATTCTTGATAAAAGTAAGAATTCCTGGCGATTGTGCCTCATAGCCCAGATTTCTCTTGAATCTTCTCACTAAACCTAAGTCAGTAACTATGGCCAAGTTTGTGTCAAAGACACTGTTGACATTAAAATATTATTTTTGTTTTCTGTTTCAAAGTAGAAATTTCGATATATCAACTTTGAAGACTACCAGAGAAGCAGAGTTACCTGAAACTGCATTTTAGGTCATTTAAATAGAATCTTAAAAAATTGAGATGTGGCCAGGCGCGGTGGCTCACGCCTGTAATCCCAGAACTTTGGGAGGCCGAGACAGGAGGATCACAAGGTCAGGAGTTTGAACCTAGCCTGACCAACATGGTGAAACCCCGTCTTTACTAAAAATACAAAAAAATTAGTTGGGTATGGTGGTGCGTGCCTGTGATCCCAGATACTCGGGAGGCTGAGGCAGGAGAATCACTTGAACCCGGCAGGTAGAGGTTGCAGTGAGCCGAGATTGTGCCACTGCACTCCAGCCTGGGTGACAGAGCAAGACTGTCTCAAAAAAAAAAAAAAAAATTGAGATGTGATTAACACACAATGAAAAGTACAGGTTTTAGATGTTCAGTTATTCAAAGAGTATTGACAATTGTGTATATCCAAGTAACAAGATATAGAACACTTCCACCCCCATAAAAAGTTCCCTGGTGTTTCTTTCAGTCGAATCCCTACACTGTGGAGCATTCATTGTGCAGATGTCAACCACTGCCTATGTTCCATCTACATGGCTTAATTTTGTCTGTATTTGGATTTCATATACATGGCTTTAGACAGTATATACTCTTCTGTGTGTCTGGCGTCTTTTGCTTAGCATAATGTTTTTGAGATTCATCAAATATCAAAATTAGATGTATCATCCATGATACTTTCAATTATTCAATGTTTAGCAAGCGGAGGGAGGAGGGTCAAAAAGGCACACGGCATAGATTGGAAAGACCTGAGTTGAAATTCTGACTCCTTTTAGTTGTGCAATCTTGAACAAATGATGCAATCTCAGTACTGGCTCTTTGGACAAATCGCTCTAAACCTCAAGTTCCTCCACTTAAAATGACTAAAAATACCACTTCATAAGGTTGTTGTCAAAATTAAGATAAAACAAGTGAGAGCAAGGCGCTAGACACATAACAGTTGTTCTGAAAAAGCTTTGTTCAATCTGAATACAGCAAGCCAAAGATATTGACTAATCACATCTCCTTGACCAACCACAGCAGAGATGAAAAGATGCAGAAACTGGTTTTCTCCATCAAACATGATGACATAAACCTTATTTTCTCCCCTGGAATATGGTTTCAAGGTTTTAAAGAGATTATGTTTAAGAATATATAATCTCAGAATTGAGACAAACAAACAAGCAATTAAACAGATAAAGCCAGAGGCAAGGCTCAGGCTGGGATTCCTGTGTACTTCGTTGTGGGAATCCTGACCATTTCCATTTGTCTTTCCTCAGGAAGGATGGAATTAATTTTAGAGGTTTAAAGATTAATTAATTCCTGCTACGTTAAAATCTCATGGTGTTCTTCGGCAAGATGTTATAACTCAAGCAAAAATCTTTTGCAAGAGAGTGAAGCAGAACCAGTGTATCTAGTGGTGTTAAAACAAAACGATAGACAAGGAAACATCATTTTTCTGCCTGCTTCAGTCAACTCACAGAAATTCTTCTTGTACACATCAATTATTTTACAGTGCGGGGAATTAAAGAATTTAACAATCATTTCCCATTATTTGTGCTGCTCTTTAAGAAATACGGGGCCTATCCTGGTCAATACAAGAAGATCCTATCTCCACAAAAAATTTAAAAATTAGCTAAGCGTGTGGGTGCATGCCTGTAGTCCCGGCTACTCGGAAGGCTGAAGTAGGGGTATCATTTGAGCCCAGGAGGCAAAGGTTGTGCGAGCCGAGGTCATGCCACTGCACTCCAGCCTGGGTGAGAGAGTGAGACCCTGTCTCAAAAAAAAAAAAAAAAAAAAGGTGGGGTGGTGGTTTTGGGCCACTGTAAAAGCTACTTTGGGAATGAAAGTGGTTTTTGGAAACATTGAACATTTAGACACCTTGGTGTACATGGAGATTTTGTTATCATCTGGTTTGATGTGACAGCTGCAGGTACCATTTATCTGAGACATTTCTCCATTGATAATGCTTGGACTAGGCAGCTTTTAGTGAAAAATAAAATTACTAAAGCAATCATCTTTCTTCTTGTGGTGAATTTTACATGAATAGAAACAGGTAATACAAGTCAGCTGCTTTCTTAATACTTCTAAATGGTGTTGACCTTATAGAAATCTAATTATAATTTACATTTATAAACCATAATGAACCTATTAGGAGGCTGTAGCATAGATAAAGACATGAAAGTATTTTCTCTCAAATAAGATGGGCAAAACTAAAGAAAATAAATATGCCCATGATTAAAATAATACTTTCATCTTTGTCATTTTTTAGATTTCATATATATTTTTCATTTATTTATAAAATAATTCTGTAATATAGGTAGAGTTTAAATTATGGTCTACACTATATGGAGAAACTTGGACTAAGACTTTTGGAATGACTAATATTAGAAGAAATGATTCTTTTTCCCAGATGTTACCACTATCTCAAATTTGTATGGTCCCTCATTGTTTATGAGGCACTTAGACAGATGTTACCTGCTAAGGCAGAAACTCAAACCAGTTTCATCCAAAAATAAGGGAATTCATTGATTCCCATAACTAGAAAAACCAGATGACAGAGTCCAAACTGAATCCGACTCCATGTAGCCTAGGTATTTTGCTTCTTTTACTTGGCTTAGCACCCCTGTTCTGGGTTCTCATTTCTTGCCTCTGCAGATGGGCTTCCTCCGTATGGCCAGGAAGGCATCACTTCCTTCCGGCACTCAGATGGCAGATGCCAGGGGCAATCTTACTCAGTTGCTCCAGCCGAAAACTCCCGAGGCCTTGTTTGGGTCACATGACAATTCTGGAGCCATTTCCTGAGACTTCAGGTGTAGGAAGTGCCAACTGGCTCATGTAGGCCCAACTGTCTCAATGTGCTAGTGGGGGACAGTGCACACGATTGGCCACATGTTTTGGGAGAGGATAATGACCTCAAGAAAATATTAAGGGTTGGCCGGGCACAGTGGCACACACCTGTAATCCCAGCACTTTGGGAGGCCAAGGCAGGTGGATCACTTGAGGTCATGAGTTTGAGACCAGCCTGGCCAACATGGCGAAACCCTGTCTCTACTAAAAATGCAAAAATTAGTCAGCTGTGGTGGTGCATGCCTGTAGTCCCAGCTACTCTGGAGGCTGAGGCAGGAGAATCGCTTGGACCTGGGAAGCAGAGGTTGCAGTGAGCCGAGTTCATGCCACTGCACTCCAGCTGGAGCAACAGACTGAGTAAAACTCTGTCTCAAAAAAAAAAAAAAAAAAAAAAGAAAGAAAAGAAAAGAAAATATTAAGGGTTATGTTGGCCAATGATAAAGGTTTCCTATATACTAGCATAGAAATAAAGACAGCCTGCTCAATGGGCCAGATTAGAACATCTAGAAATAGATGCATGTATATATAAAGATTTATTATAAGATTTTTCTGGAAATTCAGGTAAGTGGGAGAAAGGATGAACTATTTAATAGTAAATGTGAAAACTGTGTTGATGATGCAAAAACCTTAACCTGTGGGATCCAACACTATCTCCACATAGATAGTGTCACAATTGAGTTACATTTTAGGACATCGAGCTCCAGCGAGTCTGCTGGAGAATTAATTGTTCCATATGTGGGGAAACCCCCACACATCTAGTCACAGAGCAGTCTTGTATTGAATGTTGAGAGTATAGACGGAAAAAAATGAGCCAGTTGGTTTTTGTTTTTGCTTTGCCCCATCTCATATACCAACCTTCTTCATTTCCAAGCCTGAAATTTTTGAACCTCAGTTTCTTTTTGTCCAAAATGGCACTCAATATATAGTATGAGAAAATTAATGCCACCTTCAAACGTTAACTGTTGGCATTTCTTCTGTGTGGTTGAAAAGTGAATTGTTTTCATTTGTTTCTTTGTTTTTTATAAACTCTTTATAACTCATATATGTTAGTTTTGAAACAATCACAAAAATGAAAGTAATTTTATAAAATCTATTAAAAATGTGAAGAACTCTGCAAAAGGAAAAGACTACAGGGAAGAACCAACATCAAAAGTTGTAGTTAACTCTGGAAGATGAATATGTTTTTTAGTTGATCTCAGACATTTCTAACCCTTCCTGAGACTCCCCAGGAGGCCCTGACTTAACACTGCTCTGGGCTAAAGCTTGCAGAGTGGTAGACAGATGCCCTTTAGTGAGCAGAGCTCCGGCTGCCCACAGCTCTGCCTGTTCACTGAGGTCTAAGAATGGTGACCCCAAGGCCCTACCTGCTGTGTCGTCAGCCTTTCCTGGTGGCTGCATCAACTGGAAGATAAATTTTTGACTTTTTTTTTCTATTTTCAAAATAACGTATCTTCTAGTCCCCTCTTCCTTTCATCCTTGCCATCTGTTTCTCTTCCAAGGCAAGGCAGGAAATTCAAATATTAAGAAATAGGAACTATCGTCTTTTCTGGGAAGGGGATTCTTCTCCACCTTCTTTCACGTTGCTTCAAGCATAACAAAGTCAGTGATGGACTGGGCACAGTGTCTTATGGCTATAATCCCAGTATTTTGGGAGGCCAAGGTGCAAGGATCACTAAAGCCCAGGAGTTCAAGACCAGCCTGAGCAACATAGCAAATCAAAAAATTAAAAAAAAATTAGCCCGGTATGGTGGCAGGTGCCTGTAGTCCCAGCTACTCAGGAGGCTGAGGTGAGAGGATCACTTGAGTCCAGGAGTTTGAGATGGCAGTCCAGCCTCGGTGGCACAGTGAGAACATGTCTCAAAAAAAAAAAAAAAAAGAAAACAGACAATGATAACTGAGAAGTGCTTTTTTTTTTCTTCTTCTTCTTAAATCAAAATATTGGACATGCCATTTGGTATGTTGTCTGAAACAGTGTGGTTGTGGGCCTTATGTTTAAACATAAGACTTGCCTGAAATAAAAAATGAATGAACTCAGAAGTGAAGTCCAGTCTCCTGTGCTTTCCGCATGGTGTATACATGCCTGATGTTCGGAATCCAGGCTGTACTGCCACAGAGGAGAGATTGGTTTTTGTCCATTTTCTCATTATTCCTATAATGCAAAAAGAATCCTGATACTTTATGGCCTCCATTGTTTCCATGCCAAGCGAGGAAAAGACTTTATCTTAATTGTAGTTGTAATATTCAAGTGTGCCTGTCAGCCTGATATTATTCCATCAGATAGATTTTCTTCTGTAAGATCATCTGCTTTCACTTATCTACAGAGGATTAATTTTAGCGTAATCTTCTTGAAGGGAATATTAAAAGTCATTCACAAAAAAATGCAAAGAAATATCTATGTGTATGTAGTACTCAGATGGCAACATAAGAATAAAGAAAGAATTTATTGTACCCTAATTTTCTCAGTTTTCTTGTTGCTAAAGAAAGTAAACAGGTTTGAGCCCAATGTAAGCTCTTATTAGTTTAAAAATGTCCTTTTGGTTCTTATTAGGTTAAGAACCACAAGTTTTCACCCATTTCTTATTTTATGTTGAATTTCTCTTCACTGTTTCGGCCCACTGAAGTAGATGACAGCTTAAAGAAAACCAAAATAGATCCAAACAAGGTCCAGCAGCAACCTGTATCAAGTTTATTAAAATCTTTCTTTTTGCTAGCCTTACCTTCTCTCTCATAATCTGTAAGTGGGCCAAATGACCCTATAGGACAAACAGGCATTATGCTGTGGTATGTATAAGAGTGATCTGTATTTATACAGATGACCTACCATTCCCCACAGATGCGCTGAGAGTCTGGGTTAAAGGATTTTCCTAGCCTGACCTGTCAAGATTGCTTCATAGTTGATGACTTTTGGCCCCAAAGACTCCACTAGCTCTCACTTTTATGACACCAGAACAGCCTTCTAAAACATTATTTTTGACATAGTTTGACTTTTTAAAGGAATTGTAATACCTCAGGGTAAAGAGCATAGGCTTTGGGGTTAGACAAACATTATGAACTCAATTTTTGTTGAATGCAGTGGAATGAATGAATGAATGAACAAAGAGACTGGACTAGGAATTTCAGTTCTGCCACCTGCAGCTCTGGAGTGGTAGGATAATTACTTATCTCTCATGGCTTCCATTTTTATTAAACTGTTGGAGGATTAAATGAGATAAAGGTGTATAAAGCACTTGGTAAACTATATATTAGGGTTCAATAATTGCCTCGCATTGAGATGATGGTCCTAGTTCCTTCAGGCTCTATAAACACTGCAAGAAGAAATAGTCACTCTGCCTTGCAATGTCAGCCAAGATGCAATAATTTCTTCCCTGACTGGTGCCTTTTTCTTTTAGACTTGTGGCAAAAGTTCTCACACTCTATGAGTATGGCACTGTGATTGTTACAACACCAAAATGACACCAATAAAGGGAAAACTTTTTCTGCCAGAACAAAAGATGAGCCTCACTGAAGTTGGAGTTACAGATCGACTCCAACAAAGGAAGGTTATTTGTTGTGTTCCATATGCAGAGAATAAAAAAAGAAATCTAGGAGTTGGAATATAGGAAATATGATAGTTCACATTGTTTTCGCTTTGAAACTGTTGCTTATGGCATTTGCATAGACTGCAACAAGCATCGCTTTTATTTACCTTGAAAAGAGGGTTGATTTGCCTCTAGAAAGATTATTTGCCTTAGAATGTCTGACCCCATTAAGCTCAAGAAAATCTGGAAATTCTACAGGAACTTGTTTTCCTCTGTGTGCTGCTCCCTTCCCCCATTTTGTGGCTTAGATAATCTGAGGCCATGGTCAAAACTGAACATTCATTTGAAGTGTAACCCACTGGACAGCTCTATCCTATTTTGAATTCATAGCCTGTTGCACTGCAGCAAGCAGCAAGCCCATGTTTGGGAGAGGAAATGAACAAACACAAATATCCTGGCTTCCTTCTGAGCTGAAGAGTTGAACAAGGCAAGCAGCTCAGCCAGCTCAGCTTGAGTCTGCAGCAGCACAGGGACTCGGCTTCCATCCATCACATGGCAGTGTATTTATGAGACTGGAAAACCGATTAAATGATGTCTGCTATTCATAGGGAAAGAGAACGTAGCAATCCATTTCTCAAAGAGTGGCAGCTTCACAGACCTAAAGAAATTTCTAAGAGCATAAAAATAAAAATAAATTTAAAAAGGTCGAACGTGGTGGCTCACGCCTGTAATCCCGACACTTTGGGAGGCTGAGACGGGTGGATCACTTGAGGTCAGGAGTTCAAGACCAGCCTGGCCAACATGGTGAAACCCCATCTCTACTAAAAATACAAAAATTAGCCCAGCGTGGTGGTGCACACCTGTAACCCCAGCTACTTGGGAGGCTGAGGCAAGAGAATCCCTTGAATCTGGGAGGCGGAGGTTGTAGTGATCTGAGATCGCAACACTGCACTCCAGCCTGAGCAATAGAGTGAGACTCTGTCTCAAAAAAAAAAAAAAAAAAAAAAAAAAAAAGAATCCATGCTTGGATTTTGCTGCTAGTGTCTGAGGCTGGGGGATGTCTGTTGTTTTTTTCTAAATATTTGCAATTTGCATGATATGTGAGGAAAGGCAATGCAACATCAGTGGAGGCAGATATTTTAGGAGTAAAAATAGAATCACACAAGGATCCCAAACTCAGATGTACACAGGGCCAAGCAGATGACCCAATTATGTGATTCAGACTAAGTGTGTGCTTTTCTGGTGGTTTTGTTTCACAATGGCACCTAAGTCTGATTCTTCGACAAAAATCACATTCTGTTTGCATATACACATAGGAATATTATTTACTTCCACTAAATATGTATCCCCCATTTTGTTTGAAACTCATGGCCCTTACAGGTTCTCTTGAATTTTCTAATTTTGATAGAGACATAGACATAATAGTGATATAATTTCCTCTTTTTATTTGTTTATTAATTTTTGTGAGATGGGGTCTCGCTATGTTGTCCAGGCTGGTCTCGAACTCCTGGATTCAAGCAATTCTCCCACCTTGGCCTCCCAAAGTGTTGGGATTACAGACTTGAGCCACCACCCTTGGCCTTCCTCTTGTTTTTGTTATAAGAAATACAGCAGCCCATGTGTGACAATGAGTGGGAACTGATTGTAGTCAGCGTTAAGAAGACAGTGAGGAGTGATGGACGCTATTGGCAACTGGAGGGTACGTGCCTTGTGCTATAGAATAAATTGTGTTCCCCCCTTTCCAAATCCATATATTGAAGCCCTAACTCCCAGTGTGACTGTATTTGGAGATAGGTTAAATGAGCTCATAAAGGTGAGGCCTTACTCTGATAAGATGGGTGACCTTATAAAATGAGACACTAGGAAACTCTCTCTCCCTTTCTATCTTTGAGTGTGCACAAAGGAGAGGTCATATGAGAACACAGCAAGGTGAGGGTCACCTACAAGCCAGGATAAGAGGCTTCAGAATAAAACCTACCTTTCCAGCACCTTGACTTGGACATTCTAGCCTCCAGAACTGTGAGAAATAAATTTCTCTTATTTAAGCCACCCAGTGTGTGATGTTTTGTTATGGCAGCCTGAGCAGACTAACATAGCTTGTCAAAGTGGGCAGCTACTTCTCAGTCCCAGACATTGCTGGGAAGAAACAAAAGCCCCAAGATTGTTGGAATGTCATTATCAGAAAGCAGAAGCACAGATCTTGAAGTGAAAAATTTCCTGGATTTTTAATGTTATTAACTAATAAAAATTCCAACACTGTGAACATAGGAAATGATATCTATAAAGTTCTTCACTGCAACATTATTTGTAAAAGTAAAACGTTAGAAATAGCCCAAGTGTGCATCAATCAAAGACTAGTTAAATAAATGCTGAAACATTCATGAATGGAATCAGAACTGTTGTATCCTTTATTAACACATATTTTGCAATGCCCCTTTGTAACGAAATTTACAAATAATGTAATTGATCTCCAGACATAATTTAAAAAAATTAAGTGTCCCAACTATAATAGAAAAATATAATAATAATAAATTATAAAATGTTATTTCCATGTGTAAGTGTTCAGACCCTTATGCAATAGATGATATAATAACATAGTCCGGGCACCTATCCTTAGAACCTCTGTGAATATAGCAGGCACAAATGCAGATCAATGCATACTGTTGCGTCCAATGAAGTTGAGAAGAAAGCTCAGTACTTTCCTCTCTCAGTTTCTATAATCTGACAAATTCATTCAAATGTATATATAAAATATATTTTATCTTTTTAGGTAAACTAGAATCAAGGCTTGGATAATTATAAACAGTCCTAAAAATGTCCAGTAGAGCATTTTAAAAAGTTATGTAGCATGTGGGGGAAACCTTCATCAGGTTGTATATTGCAGCATGTCAAGTGTCCCCACTAAGTGCTGGTGCTACCCCCAATTTCTATGACAACCAAAAATGTCTCCATAAATTTCCAACACACTTTCTGGGGAGGGGGACAGTTTTTCTTTATTGAGTGCTATAGACTGAATGTTTGATGTTTGTGCTCCACCCTTCCCCCCAAATTCATATGTTGAAGCCCTAATCCCCAATGTGATAGTATCTGGAGGTGGGGCCTTTGGGAGACAATTAAGTCACGGGGATAGAGCCTGTCATCAGTGTTCTCCTAAAAAGAAACACGGGAGAGTTCTTTTCCTTTCTCTCTGCCATGAGAAAGTTCAGCCAGAAGGTGGCCATTTGCAAACCAGGAAGAGAGCCCTCACCAGACACTGAATCCCTAGACACCTTGACCTTGGACTTCCCAGTCTTGAGAACTATGAAAAATAAGTTTGCTGTTTAAACCACTCAGTCTGAAGTATTTTGTTATAGTAGCTGGAACTGACTAAGACACTGAGAATCATGGGACTGGATTATTTCTCCTGTCTCTTTCCATTCTTTCACAGGTAGTAAATCTACAGAAATGACTGCAATGCATAGGTAACCAGAGGTACATGTTCATAGTCAACTCAGGGATGCCTGCTTATGGAATAACCTCACTAGAAAATCCAAGATCATGAGAGATTCCAGTTCTCTGAAGAAAAGACAGAACACGTGGGAAAGAGGATATACAATCAGTCGCGGGGGTGGGAGGTGTGAACCCAGGCCCTGCTGCTAATGGGAAAAGCCTGCCAGGTTGTCTTACAAAGTGTCTGCAGAAGCTCTGAGCTTGCCTGAGGCAAACACCATGTGCCTCCTGAGGATCAGTTACGGGATTCTCAGTGAGAGTGAAAGGTTAACGAGCTCAAAGCCTATAAAGACCCCGATGGTGTTAGACTAAGGACACAGGCCACCCAAAGGGGACAAGAAAAATATTGGTTTAGGGTGGAGTGGGGAGTACCACTTTCATCAGCTTCTCTGTAAAAAAAACCCAGCATCAATATACCTTTAAAATGTAAGGTTTAACAATGATTTCATTCTGCCTCTTTTTTAGTGAGCATTTCTTGTATCGAGAGTTCCTAATTATTGGTTGCTTTCAAGAAAACAACGGAAAGTTTCAGATTTCTGAGGCCACAACTGGATTAATTCATCTTGAGATTACCGTTTGCATCTACCTGTTCGTTCCTTTGTATGTGTAATGGTTAATGTGCTTTAAAAATACATCACCCAAATTCTGTGTTCCCTACAGGGTGTTATTACACAAACAATCTTGTCAGAATAAAGTTGACATTCCCTCCACCACCCGCTCGTCCACCCCTTCTGTTTCTCCTCAGCAGATAGGCAGTCCTCCTCCCTTTCTGGAGTTTATTCCAAGATTTTCATCAGCTTCCCTACTAGGGATCTAAGAAATGGAGTCAGGACCCCATGGAGTGGAGGTAAGTGAAGCAGCATCTTCAAAAGCTGGTGAGAAGGGTCCAGTTACAGAGAGATTATAAATAGAAGACAGAGATCTAACCTTTAGTGTGAGGATTCTGAGGAGGGACAGGAGAATCTCCTTAAGTGAGAAAAGGGATCACAAAAGTGAAACAAAAGTGAATGATCCAGCCTCTCTTTTTTTTTTTTTAAGAAAGGATCTCACTCTGTTTCCCAGGCTGGAATACAGTGGTGCAATCATGGCTCATTGCAACCTTGACCTCCTGGGCTCAAGGGATCCTCTGGCCTCAGCCTCCTAAGTAGCTGGGACCACAGGTGTGTGCCACCACATCTGGCTAATTTATTTTTTGTAGAGATAGGGTCTTCTTACATTGCCCAGGCTGGTCTCAAACTCCTGAGCTCAAGCAATTCTCCTACCCCAGCCTCCCAAATGCTGGGATTAAAGGCATGACACCACCACACCCAGTCAGGCCTCCTCTTCTACTTCTCCTCCCCTCTTCCCTACCTCCTCTTCCTCCACTTCCCTTTCTCCTTCCTTCCCACTACTATCACTTCAAGGTCTAAGCATGTAGAATATTTGGACCTATGTTGGCCGTTGCCTACCTTGCATTTTTAGTTTGCAGCAATTTCAAGAGTGCTTTTAACCTGTTTTGGAAAGATGTTAGGCTAGATTGGAGTCATTAATAAAACATTATATAGCTATCATGAAATAATTGAGAATATAATATTCTCCCTAGCAAGATGGAATAGATTTCATTATTGACTCATAATGTCCAGGCTTTTGTAACAAAACCACAAGCAAGGTCAAATATGAAACACAGAGGAGCCCTTCTCATTCCTCCACCTGTCCTACCCCACCCTATACTTGGGTACCAAAGTACAAGGCTAAGGCATGGTCTCTGTCCTCATGCACTCACAGTCCAGTAAAGGAAACTTTACGTTCTTGGCAATACCCATAACACTACTTCACATTTCTTATTATTTAATGCAGCTTTGTTGAATTTCATTGAAAATTGATTTACCTGGGTACCAGAGACGGGCAACTTCTGAGTAGATATAATGAAATCAGTCTTTCGTAATTGCCTCAGAAGGCTGTTTGCCATCAGCATTCATCTTGAGGTGGCATCAAAGAGCAAGATCGGGTCTTACGGAGTCTGAGATGATCAGATGCATGGATTGGTCCAGCCTCAGCCTCCTGCCACAAGGTAGGGGCTTCACACTCTGATATACAAGTCTCCAGCTTGCATGGTTGTTATGTAAATTTCCAGACTCAAGTTTGTCTAATGAAAGCCTCTGGTACACAGTCATTTCACAGGAGACCTCTGGATTTTATGTTTGTCTGACTGTGATGTCCCAGGCTTCAGATGCACTTGCCAAGGAGTTACCTGGGCTGGCTGTGGCCACCTTCCCTGCATTGCCATACCCAGCCCACTCAACCAGGAATAAAGATCTCTTGCCTCAGAGGCTGGTGCTATTTTGTAAAACAACCTGCTCTCATTTACATCTTTAATTTATCTTCTCTGGAGTAGATCAATTTTCAATTAAATTCAACCAAGCCATATTAGATAATAAGAAATGTGAAGTAGTGTTATGGGTATTGCCAAGAACATAAAGTTTCCTTTACTAGACTGTAAGTGCCTCAGGACAGAGATCATGCCTTATCCTTGTACTTTGACCTCCTGGCATAGTGCTGGGTGCATACAGCAGGGGCCTCGTAAATATAACTTGAACTGAACAAAGATGAATTCGTCTCAGCCATTGTCTTTAGATAACTCATTATCTAGTAGGGGGGTATAAAGCAGTTGCACAGATTAATCACAAATCAAGGCAGAATGTATTAAGCCCACCATGCAGAGGTAAACAAGGTGTAGGAAGGACAACAATAGAGCAATTGCATATTTTAGGGGTTAATTTTATTTATTTATTTATTTATTTATTTATTTATTTATTTATTTTTTTAACTTCTTGACTTTTAATAATATCTTTGAATATAGAGGGTTTCAATTCTCCAATAATAAGATGTAGAGTGGCCAAATGGTTTTTCATACATGTTTCCCTAGTCCAGACACCCAAGAGTATGTCCCTCTTTTGGGCATAAGAAAACCTAGAGTTATATTTAGGGCATCATGTGTGGTGAATAGTTGACTGAGCTGGCATGCTCACAATGACCAAATTATGTTTGTCATATTTTAATCCAATACATTGATCTACTATGAACTTGTAAATAATGTATTTGCTTTCTAGACACATTCCAGGAAGACCAGAGAAACTGACTTTTATCCATATGGAATAATTCACTGGCAAATTTCTTTTAGGACAGACCAAAGCTGATCTAGAACATAATCTTTACATACTTGGATCCTTCCCATCAGTCGAGAAACAACATCTGAGGTGAAAGGCTCCATTAGAAGAGCAATGTGGGATGGTGCTGTGCTGACAACTGGTAGTTCCTGCCCTACATCTTTGTAGAGGACTGGAGGCCAGAGCATGCCATGGTCAACTTGTATGTTGAAGTGAAGACCTCCTTCGAGGTGTGCATGTGCTTATTACAGATATGCCATGGTGCTAAGTACCCCAGGACTACAGGAAAAAATAAGAATAGATGCTGTGTCCATGATCATGAGGCACACAGGCCAGAGCGCCCGCTGTGGAATCGCACAGCCCGGGTTCAAAGCCTGGCTGGGCCATGACCACCTGAATGACCTGAGGAATGGTCTCAGGCAAATTTGTAAAAAGTGGAGACCCTGCCTGCCAGGGAGGCATGTGGTAAGAGGCGCATCCAGTCAGGTCAGGGCACCGCGTCCTCTCTTTGGAAACTTGCGGAGCGAGGCGTGCCTTGAGGCCACGGCAGCCATGGAGAAGGCGGGCCTGGCTCCAGGCGGCACAGAGGCACTGGAGAGGCCCCGGGGGAGCCTGGCAGGATCTGGCTGGTCCTGCGCTCTGCTTCCAGGTTCTGGCCCTGTAACCTGGGGGATAGGGCCGGCCAAGACAGGGCCACTGGATGCCAGCCAGCATCTGGGCCAGGTGCCAGGTGGAAGGGCTCTGGTGGATCAGCCCCGCACCCCCAACAGCCCCACAGGGGGGCCCATCCAGGGCCACACACCTGCCCCCAGGAGCAGGACGTCCCTGAGGCTAGAGTCCAGCTGGACCGGTGGAAGGGTCTCACCCTTTGCCCTTTGACTCCTCTTGTAGGCACCCTCGCTGGGCTCCTAAGCACTCCTCCACACCCTGGCTCTGTCACCAGCCCCATGGTGATGTCATAAACTCCCAGATGCCCAGTGTGCACCCGGCCACAGAGAAGTGGGTGACTTAGGAGTATCCTCTCTGTTTCTGACCCTTAGTTTCGTCTGTGCACAACTCGCTTAAAATGGGCAACTCACTAAGCGTATTTTGTTCCTGGTCCCACCGCAGGTCCTGGCCACGCCATCGGCAACCTGCTCGTCTTGTCTGTGAGGCCTTCCCAGCTGGCCGGGCTCACCCTGCAGCTCCCGCACCTGTGCCTGCCCCGGGAATCTGGGGCCGTTTCCCACTCCTCTTCAACCGTCAGCGACACCTTGGGCCTTCTTTTCCAGTCAGGTGGGACGGCGCCCCTGTCAGGCTGTGTCTTATCTCTCGGAACACGGGCACCCCACAGAAGGTCCTGCCTCCTGTGGTCTGGAGCCCCCCCTCAAGGAAGAAACCCATGCTGTCTGCTCGCAACTCCATGATGTTTGGACACCTCAGCCCCGTGAGGATCCCTCGTCTCAGAGGCAAGTTTAACCTTCAACTTCCTTCATTAGATGAGCAGGTGATCCCAGCCAGGCTCCTGAAGATGGAGGTGAGGGCAGAAGAGCCCAAAGAAGCAACGGAGGTGAAAGACCAGGTAGAGACCCAGGGGCAGGAGGACAATAAAATGGGCCCCTGTAGCAATGGGGAAGCAGCCTCCACCTCTAGGCCCCTGGAGACTCAGGGAAACCTCACTTCCTCCTGGTACAATCCCAGGCCCTTGGAGGGAAATGTCCACCTCAAGAGCTTGACAGAAAAGAACCAGACTGACAAGGCCCAGGTGCATGCAGTGAGTTTCTACTCCAAGGGCCATGGAGTCGCCAGTTCACACAGCCCTGCTGGTGGCATCCTTCCCTTTGGGAAGCCTGACCCACTTCCAACAGTGCTCCCTGCCCCAGTTCCGGGCTGCTCCCTGTGGCCAGAGAAGGCGGCCTTGAAGGTGCTGGGTAAAGACCACCTGCCCAGCTCTCCAGGCTTGCTGATGGTGGGGGAGGACATGCAGCCCAAGGATCCTGCAGTTCTTGGATCAAGTAGGTCTTCTCCACCCAGAGCTGCCGGCCACAGGTCCCGCAAAAGAAAACTGTCGGGGCCACCACTGCAGCTGCAACTGACCCCTCCCCTGCAACTGAGGTGGGATAGAGACGGGGGGCCCCCACCGGCTAAGCTTCCATGTCTATCTCCTGAGGCACTGTTGGTGGGTCAGGCTTCCCAAAGAGAAGGACGCCTCCAGCAGGGCAACATGCGTAAGAACATGAGGGTGTTAAGTAGAACATCAAAATTCAGGAGACGAAAACAGCTGCTTAGGAGGAGAAAGAAGACACGGCAGGGCAGGCGTGGTGGCTCATGCCTGTAATCCAGCACTTTGGGAGGCCCAGGCGGGCGGATCACACTTGGCACTCCTCACTTTGCAGACAGGACGGCGGCGCAACCTTCCAAGTGTGAAGTGACAGCCTTGTGTGTGATCTTTCTGCCCTCCCCAAGTTTGCATTTTCGACATTAAAGTTTACTTTTTAATTAAAAAAAGGAGATCGAGATCATTCTGGCCAACATGGTGAAACTCCGTCTCTACTGAAAATACAAAAATTAGGCCGGCATGGTGGCTTGTGCCTGTAGTCCCAGCTACTCGGGAGGCTGAGGCAGGAGAATGGCTTGAACCCGGGAGGTGGAGGTTGCAGTGAGCCGAGATTGCACCACTGCACTCCAGACTGGTGACAGAGCAAGACTCCGTCCTGAAACGATGTTGTGGTTGAGAGCAGGATGGTCTTTTGGGACAGGAGGAACAAGAGGTTCTGGTTGCCACTCTTCAATCAGTTCTTCTTTTTCTTTGACTGTAAGATCAGATCGTTCTTGTAATTTGTAAGTCTTAGAGAAAAGAAGTCTGATTATCCAGAGTATCAGAATCCCTTCCAAAATAAGATGGTAAGCAGGAGCCTCGTAAAGCAACTGTACCATCTCCACCAGAACCCACTGCTCCATGGCGGTCGCCATAGTTAGCCGCTTCCTTCCGGAAGGCTAGGGGTTAATTTTAAAAAGCTTCATGGAGGAGATAGTAACTAAGGTGGTCCAGGAAGAATAGGGACATGATGGAGGGATGAAAGAAGGGAGGTAAAAAGTGGGACAAAGAACACTGGAGATGGAGGGAATGCTATGAAAGAAGATACCGAGGCTTTGGGAGATATGGGAGTCGTATGCACGTGTAGGCAGTGTCTTAGTTTGCTCAGGCTGCTGTAACAAAGTGTCATAGGCTGAGAGGGTTTTGTTGTTGTTGTTTTTTGTTTGTTTGTTTTGGTTTTTCTGAGACTGAGTCTCGCTCTGTTGCCCGGGCTGGAGTGCAGTGGCACGATCTCGGCTCACTGCAACCTCCGCCTCCAGGGTTCAAGAGATTATCCTGCTTCAGCCTCCTGAGTAGCTGGGACTACATTCATGCGCCACCATGCCCAGCTAATTTTTGTATTTTTAGTAGAGACGGGGTTTCACCATGTTGGCCAGGATTATCTCGATCTCTTAACCTCGTGATCTGCCCGCCGCGGCCTCCCAGAGTGCTGGGATTACAGGCGTGAGCCACCACGCCCCGGCCTGCTGAGTGGTTTAAACCAGCAGTCCCCAACATTTTTGGCACCGGGGACGGGTTTCATGGAAGACAATTTTTCCACAGATGGCGGGGGCTGGGGGCGGTGTAGGGGGGATGATGGTCTCAAGATGAAACTGTTTCACCTCAGATCGTCAGGCATTAGTTAGATTCTCATAAGGAGCGCACAATCTAGATGCCTCGCGTGCGCAGTTCACAACAGGGTTTGTGCTCCTGTGAGAATCTAATGCTGCCGCTGATCTGACAGCAGGCGGAACTCAGGCCATAATGCTCACTGACCCGCAGCCACTCACCTCCTGCTGTACAGCCTGGTTCCTAACAGGCCACAGAACAATACAGGTCCACGGTCTGGAGGTTAGGGACAACCCCGTGGTTTAAACAACAGAAATTTATGTTCTCACTGTTCTGGAGGCTGGAAGTCTGAGATCAAGGTGTCAGCAGGATTGGTTTCTCCTGAGCCTCTCTCCTTGGCTTGTGGATGGCCACCTTCTCCCTGCGTCCCACATGGTCTTCCCTTTGTGGGTGCCTGTGTCCTAATCTCTTCTCCTCATAAGGACACCAGTCCTGTTGGATTAGGGCCCATCCCAGCGACCTCATTTTACTGTCATTAGCTCTCTAAAGACCTTATCTCCAAATACAATCACATTATGAGTTCCTGGGGTTAGGAAGTTAATGCATGAATTTTGAGGAGAAACAGTTCAGCCCACAGTAGGCAGAATCACACAGTCATTATGCACACAGGCTCTGGAGTTCAAATCCCCACTCTGGCACTTATTAACTGTGCAGCTATGATTAAATTACATAAGCTTTACTGTGCATCAGTTTTCTCAGCTTTGAGGTAGGATAACAATAGTAACCTTCTCCATAAGGGTGTTGCAAGGATTAAATGTGTTCCTGTATATACCTGGCACTTAGTGAGTGCTCAGTAAATGTTATCCATTACTAGGACTGAAACAAAAATTTAAACACTGGATAAAAATGCTCAGAGACTGCTTTCAAAGTTGAACTATTCCACTAAGTAGGAGTATGATCTTGGGAAATTTACTCAGTCAATGAAATATTAAGTAGTGTGTACTATGTTTCTATCAGTTAACCTCATTGGGATTTAGCATTTTCCTGTATTAAAACAAGAGGTTTAACAAGATTGCTTTTTGAGTCCTTTTCAGTTCTGGCATTCTGAGAGTGTGTTCATCACACATGGATTGAAATGTGAGCTCATTGTGCAGGACAGAAGGAAACAAAGATAGAAAGAAAGGGGGACAGTAAGTTGTCAGGGGCTCCGAGTGCTGCTGGGGGAGGAGTTAGTATTCTAGGTATTGGCAAGCTCTTGTAGGGTTCTGAACAGATGAACAACTTAGTAGGTTTCCAATTCAGGGTAAGGATCTCAAAAATACAAAATTATTGATTAAGGTCATCTGTCTCACTTTATTGTAGCAACCAACAATTCCTGTATAAATGACTTAACCCAGGGAGGAAATAGTTTACAATTTGAGGTGTCAAAAAACTCACTGTTAAATAGGTAATTTTAAAAACTCTATTGTTTACTGTTTAGCTAACAATGAAGAGATTAAACTCCTTGGGCTGATGCAGGGGCAGAGACAGATGAGAGCTCGGTCCCAGATGGGGATTCCCCACCTAGGTGGCCATCCAGCTGCACCTTGAGAAAAAAGTGTTAGACAATTTGAAAACCAGCATTAAGATCATTATTCAGAAACATCTCATTTTACAGCTACATTAATTCAACAAATATTTACAGAGTACCAACCATCTGCCAGGAACTGTGCTAAGCTCTTCTAAAGCTTTACATTTTAATTAGGTGAGAGACAAAAAAATAGCAAATAAATACATCAGCAAGATAGTTGCAAAATATGATATATGCCTTAAAAGATGTGACTATGCACAAAGAGTATCCTGGGTGTGGGCCATTTTAGATTGGGTGATAGGAGGTGGCATTTGGGGTAGGTAACATTTGGGGCTGGCTCTTTGCAGTGGGCATTGGTTAAAGTCCACAGCTACCTTCATATTTGTAAAGTATTCATAATACCTTTTGAATCCCTATCTAAAGTTTGCAGAATTTCTCACCTTGTGCTCTCACCCAAAGTTAAAGGAACACCTTGCTTTCCTAGCACCTTGAGAGCAAAGTGCAGGCATGAGGCATGAGCTCTGCCAGTCCCATGCACTCACTGGAGATTCCAGCTCAGAAAAGCGTGATGTGAAAGGGGTGATGCCCTTAAAGCATTTCAGGAAGGCTAGTGGGTCTTGGCTGAGACATAACAGGAAGAGGTCCCAGTGGTGGCACCCCCCAATCTAGCATCATGGAGCAGGCTGTGACACAATGTGCAGGACACCTGTCAGATTTCCTCTGGAGCAAGCTGTCCATGCCATTGTTCAAGCTGCTCCCTGGCCCATCTGCAGTCTCCAGGAGCCTCTCATGTGATTTAATAAATTGCATTCCTGATTGAACTAGCTCCAGTGAGCCCTGCTCTTTGCAACTTAGAACCCCGGTGGGTGTAGTAATTGATTCTAGAAGTGTCTGCTGTCAAGAAGCCTTCAAGTAAATGGAATGCAAGGATGATAAGGTAAGCTGGCTGCTTCTGAGCTGAAGAGCTTAAAGAAAGAAAACAATTTCCAAAGTATTTGTTAGCCCAAGGCATGGTCAGAAAACCAGGGACTTTCTTTGATTTCTATGGCTGTGCTGAAAGAATCACTTATCTTTACTGCAGACAGAGGGCTTCTGTAGCCAAAAATCAAAGTCAAGGGTTGAGTCTGAGGGTTGCCAACATTCAGAGTCAGAGGAATTCACTGTATTGCCTGATTTCATTGGTGGATATTAAGGCATCAAAGAGGAATGACTATAATCTTGAATATGGGAACTGGACCAAAGAAGAGGATTTGGGGGCCTTATACTCCTAACCCCCAAAGACCTGTATAATGGAAAACACCCCTCTTTCCAAATCTGATGATCCTCTTCCTGCCTTGCTTAAAGACCTCCTAATGGCTTCATTCATAGCATTAACCTCTTAAAATGTCCTCCAGGCCTCCTCCCCACCCCTCCCAGACATTGTCTCTAACGTATAACTAGGTGCAGAACCCTGTGGGCCCTGGGATGCTAAAAACAAATCATACCTAGGAAAAGGTTTACACACCAACGATTTGTAAGAACTGCCCACTAACAGAAACTTTTTAAAAGTATGTTTCACACATACTTTTAAAGGAGAGTAAAGTCTCTAGGCAAAAAAAAATGATGGATGGTTCTCTAAGGTCCCATTAAGTCTATGTAACTGAGAAAACTTTAGTACTGCCTGCAGGACAGGTCCCTGGATAGCCTTGGCCGGCCCAGCTCTTCCCTCTCTTGCTTGCAATGCAACATCCTAAGATAAGAAGGAAATGTCCAGAACATCTCAGGCTATATCTTCCTTCCTCCCAGACTAGGATGTTCTGCAGTACTTATGCTCAGCAATCCAATTTGCACCCAGGGTATAAAACCCAGAACGAAATACTTCCAGGGTCCCTCAGCTGCAGTGGAATGTGGAACACATACCAATGAGATTCCATCTGCACTGCACCACTTTCCTTCTCACTGAAAGGCTGGCTCGCCGTGGACCCTAGGCTTGTGTTTATCCTTGTGACTACATGTGAGTAACAAAGTCACTTTGCCTCACTTGTGCCAGTGTCTTGTCTTACCAGATTAGACCTGAGAGCCTTCACTGGCCAACAGGGCCCAGCATAAGCCCTCGAATAGTGATTCACAGATTCTGAGGGATTTAGGCTAGAGAGGGCTGGACATAGTTTTGGATTAGGCTAAATATT
Source organism: Homo sapiens (assembly GCF_000001405.40). Taxonomy (NCBI): domain Eukaryota; kingdom Metazoa; phylum Chordata; class Mammalia; order Primates; family Hominidae; genus Homo; species Homo sapiens. Next base: position 27,006,074 of record NC_000008.11, on the reverse strand, counting down.
TCATTAGGCATACTCTGTAAAGATAGTCTAGGTTAAAATAATTAGCTTGACCACCCTGAAGTGCCTCTAGCAACTTGCTCTTTTGGCAGAATTAAATTGAATTCAGTGGTGGCCTTCTTAAGAGAAATTGATATGCCAGAAATTCCTCAGTGCAATGAGCAAGAAAGATACCAAAGTCCTAGAGAGATAGGAATGTAGAAGATTGGACTGTCCACTAATCTATCCCTTAACCTCATACCTGAGTGAGCATGGAAGACATGGCACCCACCAGGATGTAGATAACTGCATGTGGGTGGGGAGTATCAACATCTCTAAAAAGCTCGTTAGCTGGCTCTCTTTAGGCAATAACGTGAGTGGAAGATGCTACTACTGACATGGTCTTTCTGGATGTCAAATAGCAGCATCCAACTGTCAGAGATAAAATGGGTGTGGACCAAATATTAGGCAGCTGAGCCACAGTGGGAAGTACATGCTTCAACCCACAGGGATCTTTGCTACTTGCTAAGGGATAGTAAAGTCTCTGACACAAAATTCATGGATAGTTTACAAATGTCCTATTAGGTCTGCGTAACAGAAAACTTCAGGATGGATAAAGAAAGGTCTGGTTTGAGCCTCAAATAGAGAGTAACAGCCTCTTACCCAATTCCTGCATTTGAATCAGCTCAAAAACTCACAGCCCTTTGAATGAAGAGGAGGCTGGAGTCTTGACAACATCACAAGTACATGTGATCACTGTTCTTCCCACCCTTCTCCCAAAGAGACCTGAGCCCTTTTACTAGGGAACCCATATACAATAACAAAGGAAAACACCTAGATATTTTAGAGATTATTGAACACTGGTTCAACAAGTCTGGGAATGCATGACATCACTACAGTCTACCAGCTTTGCTACGGAGGCTATCTGAGAAATGTTGTTTTTCCTGGAGTCTACCTTATGAGGAGAGTAGAACTCCAAGGCTATCCTTCCCAGTTAACTGTGTGCATGGCTAGAAAGAAATGCCTGGCTCCCTGATCCACGGAGGAAGGCCTATTATGTTAGAAATATCCAAATAAGAACCCGTGGAACTGTTATTTTCCTCCAGAATAGTAAATCTAAAGTTTCTTTGCAAATGGGTGAAATTGTCAAGGTCATTGTTACCATCAAAGACTTGAAAGTTGCAAGGATGGTGCTTTTTGTCACATTTTCATCTCAACTCACCAACTGATCTGTGAAGAATATGGAAGCATCTTGGAAGATGACAGATTATGGCAAGGTAAATCAAGTGACAACAGCAACTGTAGCTCCTAGCAACTGTGTGCAGCTACTCATAAGCTTTATAATTTTTGTCTTTGTTTTTTCAATACCAATATGCAGAGAACCCAGAAAAAAGTTGCTCTCACACGAAAAAAAAAATCAGGAATCCACTGTTACTCTTTGATGTCTGTTATGGCAATTTTCAGTTCTGTATCACAATAGAGATTCTAGGAGCCTTGATCATCTCACCATCATGCCAGAACATCACCCTGGCCTTCTGTAACAGGGATGTCATGAAGACAGAACCTGGAGAGCAGAAAGTAGCAGGTACTAGCATGCCTCTTTAAGACATGTATAGCTGAGGATGAAAAACGCAGTACTGTGGCTTTGCAGTGCAGTGGAGTCTTTTGTTTGTTTGTTTGTTGTTTGTTTTTTGAGATGGAGTCTCGCACTGGTGAAGTCTTTTTTAAAAATAATTTTCACTTTTATTTTAGATACGGGGGTACATGGGCAGGTTTGTTACATGTATATCACGTGATGCTGAGGTTTAGGATACAAATGATCTCATCACCCAGGTAGTGAGCACAGTACCCAACAGGTAGTTTTAAAACCCATTCTCCTCTCCCTCTCTCCCCGCTCTAGTAGTCTCCATTGTGTATTGTTCTCATCTTTACGTCCATGAGTACGCAGTGTTTAACTCCCACTTATAAGTGAGAATGTGCAAAATTTGGTTTTCTCTTCCATGCAGTGACATCTTGCAGTGTGTCCAGTGGTTAAGGGCACATTATAAACGACATGTGTAACAATGTGTTCCCCCTTTTCCAAGGCTGTCCTGAACACCATTGCTGAGGGCCCAACTTGTCAGCACCAGTAGCCAATCCTGATTGGCACATCATACATTTGGGAGAGTAACCCTCCACCTGGTGGCAGGTTAGGTATATTATACCCCTTCTATGATGGAGGGGACTGTGATTTGCCCTTATTGGAATAGACACATATCATGGATGCATATTTGCCTTCACTGTACATAATGCTTCTGCCACTAATAACATAAGGATTTGCTGAATACGTTGATCACCATCATGGCATTTTACACAACACTGCTTTGAAAAAGGGAGATATTTTATAGCAAGTAAGTAACACAATAGCCTTACATTCATGAGATTTCCTGGTCTTTCCATTTACCAAAATCAGCTTACTCTAGAGTAGAGTTGAATGGTCTCATATAATACTTGACTTGTGTAATACAGGTAATACATTGTACTGCTGAGACATGGTTTTCTATAGAACACAGTATATATTTTGAACAAGAAACCTGTAGATATTCTTTTTCTGACAGCCAAAATACTTGGATCTATAAACCAGTGATGAAAGATAAAATGGCATCCCTTGTTATTATACCACTAGATCACTTGCAAAATATTTTCTCCTCCTCCCCTAAGAGTCTTTGTCTCCAAGAGAAGAATGCTTCTTTAGGGGCCACACTGTATTTCCATTCAATGAGAGGTTAAACTGGTCATTTAAGACTGCTTGGCTGGGTGCGGTGGCTTACGCCTGTAATCCCAGCACTTTGGGAGGCCTAGGCGGGCGGATCACCAGGTCAGGAGATCGAGACCATTCTTGCTAACATGGTGAAACCCCCATCTCTACTAAAAACACACAAAAAAATTAGCCAGGCATGGTGGCGGGCACCTGTAGTCCCAGCTACTCAGGAGGCTGAGGCAGGAGAATGGCGTGAACCCGGGAGGCGGAGTTGCAGTGAGCCAAGACCACACCACTGCACTCCAGCCTGGGCAACTGAGCAAGACTGTGTCTCAAAAAAACAAAAAACAAAACAAAAAACAAAAAAACACACAAAACCGTAAACACATTGTGCAGCTGTACAAAAATATTTGCTTTCTTTATATCGTTATTCTCTAAGCTTTTTTATATTTTTTACTTTTCTTTTTTTTTTTACTTTTTATATTTTTGTTAAAAATGAAGACACAAACACACATATAGCCTAGGCCTATACAGGGTCAGGATCATCAATATCACTGTCTTCCACCTCCACATTTTGCCCCACTGGAAGGCCTTCAGGGGCAATAACAGGCATGCAGCTGTCGACGACAATGCCTTCTTCTGGGATATTTCCTGAAGGACCTGCCTGAGGCTGTTTTACAGTATTTTTTTAATAAGCAAAAGAAGTACACGCTAAAATAACAATAAAAAGTATACTCAACACACAAACCAGTAAGATAGTGGTTTATGATCAACCTCGTGCATTAGGTACTATACGTAATTGTATGTGCTATATTTTTATATGACTTTAAAAGTAAGTTAGTTTACAACAGCATCACCACCAAACATGGGAATAATGTATTGTGCTATGACGTTATGATGGTGATGATGTCAAGATGGCTACGATGTCACTGGATGCTAGAACATTTTTGGCTCCATTATAATCTTATGAAACCACATCATATATGCAGTCTGTGGTTGACCAGAATGTTGTTATGCAGCCCATGACTGCGCATGTGGAATGGGCAGCAGAGGAAGGAAGTAATTGTCACTACAGTCTTGAAAAGTTTTAACCTAAAGAGATTTGGGTTTCTCTTTTAGGGAGAGATGACATATGTTTTCTTTTTTGTTTATTTATTTATTTATTTATTTATTTTTGATGGAGTATCACTCTATTGCCTGGGCTGGAGTGCAATGGTGTGATCTCAGCTCACTGCAACCTCCGTCTCCCGGGTTCAAGCAGTTCCCTGCCTCAACCTCCCGAGTAGCTGGGATTATAGGTGCCCACCACCATGCCCGGTTAATTTTTGTACTTTTAGTAGAGACAGGGTTTCACCCTGCTGGCCTGGCTGGTCTCGAACTCCTGACCTCATGATCCACCCACCTCAGCCTCCCAAAGTGCTGGGATTACAGGCATGAGCCACCTTGCCCGGCCCATATGTTTTCATTTGCATAAAATATAATTGTACTAAATGAAGTAACCATTTCATAGTTTTTGGTTGTTGTTTGGAAATTTAAATCTGGTTCGTAATACTGGGCAACCAATAAGTAAACTGTTGTTCAAATGTTATTAAAATTGTGAAAATGAACAATAGTTTTCATGCTCTTATGTTTTGGAAATGTCCTATCTTTAGCTCTATCTCTGTAAAATGGAAACCTGAAATTTTCTTTTCTAGTCTCCTTTGAAGCTAAGACTCAAGCATTAGACAAATTTCCTCAAATCAGATGCACCCATGTGAAACTTCTATTTAAAAGTGAGTAATGTTACATGTATGAAACAGACTCTAAACACCCCAGTTGAAAACAAAGGTGTGAACTAAAACTTAAACTGCTTTCTTGAAGTTATTGAAGAATGAACAGAAGCAAACAGGCTATGATGGGGACGAAATACTTGATTGAAGTGGGGGAGAGATATATGAGTAAATTTCCATTCCTCAGGCTTTTACCCCAAGACTAAGTTTAGTATACACAAGGCACACAACACAGACAGGAGCTCATGTGGAAAAAAACTATATTCTTTCTGTCCTGTCAACCAGAAAAGAGAAGGTATAAAATTGTGGAGGCTGAAGAGAGTGGAAGAATCCTGTGGGGGAAAGAGCCAGACAGGGATCCTCAATCTCTTTCTGCCAAATCTCTGACTAACTCCTGAAGCATGAATGTGTGGAAGAGATGCAAAGAAGCCCAGCTGAGGAAGGTCTGAAGATTTCCTGAATTTATGAAAGACAGAAATGTATAGACATAAGATGCTAAACAAATACTAAGCAGAACAAATACAAAGAAGTCCATGTTAAAGAACACCATATAATCAGATTGTTGAAAGACAAAGGAGTAAATCTTGGCATGTTACAAGCAAGGGACCAATGATCCAATTAGTGGCTGACTTAGCAAAAATCACTGGGCTAGAAGACAGTGGATCAACACTTTTAAAGTGCAGAAGAAAAAAGTTAAAAACTGGCAACCCAGAATTCTATATCCAGTGAAAATATCATCAAGAATGAAAGTGAAATAAGATGCTTTCATATAAAAGGAAACTAAGAATTTACCTCCAGCAAATGTGTATTATAAGAAATGCTAAAGGAAACTCTCCAAGCTGAAGGAAAATGATACCAGATGGAAACTTAGATCCTCAGAAAAGAGTGAAGAGCACCAAACATGATAAACCTGTAGATAAATGCAAAATACTATATTTTTGCATGCTTCCTGTTAATTTTCTTATACATTTTGCTTCTCTTTAAAACAAATTTCTAAGTTTGTCTAACATAAATAACAACTAGACTATAAAGGATAGGAGAAAGCATGGGTTTGTAAGATTGTAAGATTTCTGTATTTCACAATAAATAGTGCATTATTAACTATAAGTTGGCTCATTGAAAGTTCTGAATATATATTATATTCCCTAAGGAACCACTATAAAAATAATGCAAAAAATAATAGGTATGCCATTAGGAAAATTAAGATGGTATTTATACAAATATTCAAATTATCCAAAAAGAGGAAGGAAAGGGGGTACAAAGTAATAACAGCAAAAACAAGCAAGGACAAAACAAATTTTTTTAAAGCTAGACTCAAACCAAACCATACTGATAATAATATTAAATATTAATGAACTTAACATTCGATTAAAAAACAGAGATTGTCCAGATGGATAAAGAAACGAGACACCACTATATGTTCTCTACAGGATACACGTTTAAATAAAAATGCAGATACGTTAAAAGTTAATGGATGATAAAATGTAAAAAAGCTGAACCGACTATATTAATATTAGGTCAAACAAACTTAAAAATAACTTGCAAAAATGGAAATAAAAAGGTAAGCTTCATAATAATAAAAGGGTAAATTCAAGAGGAAGATATAACAATAAAACATACATGAAACAAATAAAAATACATAATGCCGAAATTGACAGGACTAAAAAGAGAAACAGTCAATCACAATTCTAATAATGGATTTTTAATACTTCCTGAGTACATAATAAAACTATTAGAAAAAATAAGACAAAAATATTATCTACCTTTACTTAGTTGAAAACGACACCCAACAATAACAGAATGCAAATTTGCTTTATGTGCACATGGTATGCTTACCAATATTCTAAGCCATACTGTAACAGCCTAAAAGTTTCTTCCATCCCCCTGCACAAACAAAATAGATCATGGCATTGCAGTAAAGAAAGAGTTTAATTGATGCAAGGCCAGCCACCCCACATAGCAGAGTCATTACTCAAATCAGTATCATCAAAAGCTCATAAGTTAGGGGTTCTTCAAAGGTAGTTTGGTGGGCAGGGGGCTAGGGTACGAGGAGTGTTGATGGGAGATGAAATCATTAGGAGTTGAAATTGTCCTCTTGCGCTGAGTAGACCACAAGAGTGTGGGTGGGACCACATGAGCAGTTGGTGAGTCCAGGTGGAGCCATCAGGGTCAGACATGCAGAAAATCTGAAAAGGTGTCTCAAAGGGCCAATCTTAGGCTGCAGGAGTAATAGAGAAAGTTGAAAATCTTGTGAATTCTGGAATAATGTCTGGCAAGCCTTTATATCTACACCTTAGCAGAATTCAGGCTCTTCTATCCTCCTAGCTTGGTGCACTCTCATTAGCTTTATTAAGATGGTTGAGTTTGGGGGAAGGGCTATTATCATTTGAACAATATATTAAATGTTTCCCAAAGTTAGCTTGGCTTAAGCCCAGAAATAATTAAAGGAAGCGTGAAGGCTAAAGGCAAGAGGATTGGCTAGATCAGATCTCCCCAACTGTTATCGTTTTTGCAAAGGTGGTTTCAGTGCAAAAAATCATACAGAGAATGGCTACAATGGCATTATCTTAAAAAAAATAAGCAAAATTAAGTAACCTAGGAAGCATTAAATATTTGCAATTACACACTTATTTTTAAATAACCATTGAGTCAAGCAAGAAATAAGAAAAAATAGAAAATATTTTTAATTTCTTGAATTTGTGGTATGCAGTTAAAATAGTGCTGAGAGAGAAATTTATGTTTAGTGCCAACATTAGAAAAGAAAGTTCTCAAGTAATGGTCTAAGTCTCTAACCTAAGAAATTAGAAAAACACCCAAATTAAACCCGGAGAAAACAGGGGTAAGGAAATAGTAAAGAAGAGAGCAGAAATCAACAAAATAGGAGACAGAAAAACAATAGAGAAAACAAATTAAAATCTGCTTTTCAAAATATCAATAAAGTTGATAGTGATCTAGCAGAAATATCAAGAAAAAAAGAAAACACAAATCACCAGTATAGGAAATGGAAGAAGAGGTATTACTGTTAACTCTTCAGACATTAAGAGATAATGAGGGAATACTATTAACAACTTGATACCAATAAATTTAACAACCAGATAAAATGGACAAATTTCTTAAATAACACAAATTATCAAAATTGACTAAAAAAAGAAAAGTTCAACTGTCCTATATCAATTATAGAAATTGAATTTATAATTTGAGAACTTTCCAGAAGAAAACCCCAGGCCTAGATGGCTTCATTGGTAAATTCCATTAAAGAAAAAAACAATCTAAATTATACACAAATTCATTCAGAAAATGGAAATGGAAGGAACACTTCCTTACTTATTTTATGAGGTCAGTATTATCCTAATGACAATACCAGCCAAAATATCAAAATAAGAACCAAGAACCAATATATTTCATGAACATAGACACAAATATCCCTAACAAAGTATTAGCAAATGAAATCTAAGAACATATATAATAAATAATAAATCATGACCAAGTGAGTTTATCCCAGGAATGCAAGGTTGATTTAACATCAGAAAATCAGAAATAATTCAACATATTAACAGAATAAAACAGAAAAATCATTTTAATAGATCAGAAAAAAGGATTTGACAAATTAAATACCCTTTCATGATTAATAAAAGATACTGAGCAAACTAGGAATAGAAGGGAATTTCCTCAATCAGATTAAGAACATCTGTAAAAAGCATATAGCTAGCATCATATTCAATAGTGAAATGATCAGTGCTTTTTACCTAAGAATAAGAACAAGGCAAAGAAATCCACTTTCACCGCTATCACTTCACATTGTACTGGAGGTCCTATCCAGTGCAATAAAGCAATAAAAACAGATAAAACCTTTAGAGATTATAAAAGAATAATTAAGACTGTCTTTATTTGAAAATGATATAATCACATAAGTATAAAAACCCTAAGAACTACCCCCAAAAGTTAATAGAACTAATAAATAAATGCAAAAATATGCAATATGAAAAAAATAATTTGTATTATTTATGGTCAAAATGCAAAGCTCAATTGCATTTTTTATACTAGCAATAAACAATTAAAACCTGAAATTTTAGAACTACTCTATTTAATATGACATAAAGCACCACCAAACACTTAGAAATAAACTTAACAAAAGATATTCAAATCCTATACCCTATAAACTATAAGACAATGTAAAGGGAAATTAAGCAACCTAAGTAAATAAAGATATATAATATGTTCATGGATTAGAAGACTTAATATTGTTAAAATGGCAATCTTATCTCTATAGATTCAACGCAATTTCAACCAAAATCATAACAAACTTTAAAAAAAATTGACAAGCTGGTTTTACAATTAATACAAAAAAGCAAAGGACCTAGAATAGCTAGAACAATTTAGTAAAAGGGACAGAAAGTAGAAAGGCTTACGCTGATTTCAAGACTTACTATAAGGCTATAGTAATTAAGAACAGTATGGTATTAGAGAAAGGCTAAACTTTACAGATCAGTGGAACAGAACATGTAGTCCAGAAATAGACCCACATTTCTAAAGCCAATTGATTGTTGATATAAGTGTCACAGTGATTTAATAGAGAAATGCTAGTTTTTTCACAGCGCTGCTGTAACTGGATATTTGTATGAAAAAAATAAACTTTGGCCCTTCTCTCATACTATCGACAAAACAACTCAAAATGAACCATAGACCTAAATTCCTAGAATAAAATACAGGAGAAGATCTTAGTGACATTGGCTTAATGAAAGATTTTATAATCAGGACGTTAAAAAATACAAACTATAAAATAAAAAACCTGATAAGATGTGCTTCATTAAGATTAAAAATGTGGCCAGGTGCAGTGGCTCATGCCTGTAATCCCAACACTTTGGGAGGCTGAGGCAGGTGAATCATCTGAGGTCCAGGAGTTCGAGACCAGCCTGGCCAACATGGTGAAACCCCGTCTCTACTAAAAATACAAAAAATTAGCCAGGCATGGTGGTGGGCACCTGTAATTTCAGCTACATGGGAGGCTGAGACAGGAGAATTGCTTGAATCCAGGAGGCAGAGGTTGCAGTGAGCCGAGATCGCACCATTGCACTCCAGCCTGGGCAACAAGACTGTCTCAAAAAAAAAAAAAAAAAAAAAAAGATTAAAAATGTTTGCTCTTTGAAAGGCATATTTAAAGCAAGTTATAGACTGGAAGAAATTTTTGCAAAATATATGCTTAGCAAAGGACTTGGATCCAGAATAAATGATTCTTACAACTTAATAATGTAAGACAAAAAATGGACAAAAGATTTGATGACACACTTTTTAAAGAAGATGTAAGAGTCACTAATAAGCACAAGGAAAAATGTTCAACATTAATGGTCATCAGAAAGCAAGTAAAACACAGTAAGTTACAACTACATGTCCACTACAATGGCTAAAGTTAAAAAGACAGACAATAGCAATTGGTGAGGTTAGGGAGTAACTGGAACTGTCATATATTGCTGATGGAAATGGAAAATAGTACGGCTACTTTAAAAAACTGTGTGGCAGATAACTTATAAAGTTATATATTATATATATATTTATCATATGATCCAGCATAGTAGTATGAGAAATAAGAGCAAATGTCTATACAAAGTATAAACACAAATGTTCACAGAAGCATTATTCATAAGAGCTCCAAACTGGAAGCAACCCAAATGTTCATCAACTGGTGAATGAACAAACTTCTGTATATCCCTACAATGGAATAGTATTTAGCATTAAAAAGGAATAAAATATTAATGTATTCAATATGGAAGAATCTCAGAAACATTACGGTAAATGAAAGAAGTCCAACACAAAATCTACATACTCTATTACCTCATTTATGTGAAACTAGTGAGATTCTGTACTGACAGAGGGGATCAGTGATTGTCTAGTGTGTGGGAGTGAATATAGGGTTGATTAAGCATAAACAAGGAACTATTTTAGGATGCGTGAACCGTTCTGTATCTTAGTTGCACATTATTTACACAATTATATATATCTACCAAAATTCATTAAATTGTACTCTTTTTTTTGAGACAGTGTCTTGCTCCATTGTCCCAGCTGGAGTGCAGTGGCACCATCTCAGCCCACTGCAATCTCCACCTCCCAGGTTCAAGCAATTCTCCTGCCTCAGCCTCCCGGGCAGCTTGGATTACAGGCGCGCACCACTTTGCCCAGCTAATTTTTTTTTTTTTTTGTATTTTTAGTAAAGGCAGGGTTTCACCATGTTGGCCAGGCTGGTTTCAAATTCCTGACCTCAGGTGATCCACCCACCTCGGCCTCCCAAAGTGCTAGGATTACAGGTGTGAGCCACTGTGCTAGGCCAAATTGTATTCTTAATATTGGTAAATTTTGTGGTATAAAATACTATGTTAAAAACCAAAAAATAGAAAGAAGAAAAAAGTTAATGAAGAGAAGAACAACGTGCTACACAGAATACACTCTACTAAAAAGACAGGCCACATGTGGTGGCTCACGCCTGTAATTCCAGCACTTGGAGACTGAGGTGGACACATTGCTTGAGGCCAGGAGTTCAAGACTAGACTGGGCAACATGGCAAAACGCAGTCTCTACAAAAAATACAAAAATTAGCCAGGTGTGGTGGCGTGCACCTGTAGTTCCAGCTACTTGGGAGGCTGAAATGGGAGGATCGCCTGAACCCAGGAGGTCAAGGCTGCGGTGAGCTGAGATCACACTACTGCACTTCAGTCTGGGTGATGGAGTGCGATTAAAAAAAAAAAAAGACAGTGAGGTTTCAGAAACAGTGGTAAAAGTCCTCAAGTCCTAGAACCGGTTCTTAAACTCTTTTGTGACAACAATGCTTTTCGCAGTCTGATAAAAATAATCTTTTTAATAATTTTTTTATTGTGGTAAAATATACATAACATAAAATTTACCATTGTAATTGTTATTAAGTTTACATTCAGGGCCTTAAATTCATTCACATTGTTATGTAACCACCCCCACCGTGCACTCACAGAACTCTTAATCTTCCCAGCTGAAACTCTGCACCCATTAAACACTAACTCCCCATTTCATCCTTCCCTGCAGCCCTTGGTAACCACCATTCTACCTTCTGTCTCTATTAATTTCATTATTCTAAGTGCCTCATAAATGAAACATACAGTATTTGTCCTTGTGTGACTGGCTTATTTCACTAGTGTAATGTTCTCAAAATTCATCCATGTCGTAATGTGTCAGGATTTCCTTCCTTCTTAAGAGTGAATAATATTCATTGCATGTATATACCATACTTTATTTATCCATCTGTCAATGGAAGCCTGGATTGTTTCCACCTTTTGGCCATTGTGAATTATGCTGCAGTAAACATGGAATACAAATATCTGTTGAGTCCCTGCTTTCAATTCTTTTGAGTATATACCCAGAAATGGAATTGCTGGATCATGTGGTAATTTTACATTTAATTTTTGAGGTTCAGAATTTTTTTAAATAAATAAAAAACCTAGGATTATAAAGGAAACCAAGTATATTGAAATACAGTTATTAAAATATTTAAACATAGATGTATGTTATAGCAATATCTGTATTATATTAATACCTATATTAAATAAATGTAGGTTATAGCAATACCTGCATTATAATACAAAGAAAAGACATTTGAAATACCGGTAAATTAAATTTATTTTTATTTTTAAAGATATGTTAAAATGAAGATTATTGTTGCTAAGTTTGAATAAGAATGCCACCGTGGAGTGGCCTTTGATGAGAGAGCATGCATTTCATGTTGAATGAGGTTACAATGTGCTACACTCCAGCCTGGGTGAAAGAGAGAAAAGAAGGAAAGAAATATTAAGGAAAGAAAGGAAAGGAAGGGAAAATGGGAAAGTAAGGGACATGTTGACAAGCAACTCATCTTGACCATTTGTTTTAATAATTATGTGTTAAAAACCTCAATTTGTAAAGACATATTGTTGCAAATGGAATTAAAATTTCAGAGCTTTCTTAAAAAAGCAGGGATAGGATTCTTTCAGGAGAAACTAGAATTCTCCAAAGCTTTAATTACTTCAATTACAATAGATTATTTTTGTCCTAAGATTAATTGAATTAATTTTTGCTAGGTCAAAGTCATCAAACAACTCACACCTGAAAGAAAAGAATTGTGGATCTGTGATTAATTTTGATGCCATCAAGATAAGGGGAAGAAACATTTGAAAAGGTTCTAAAGTGTTTCCGGGTGTTCATTACTTCTCTATTCAAACATGTTAGAGAAGTCCCTACTTCATCTTCATGCAGGGAAAGCACTTTATTCCATATTTGAAAGCTTGCAGTGGTATTGGCCTTACTCTCTTCTTCCATGTTAGCAGCCTAGCCGAGAAAGTTTGTAATTTTTTCAGTTGTATCTCTGATGGTGACTTCGGAGCCTTGAATTAAAAGACTTATTCATATAATTAAATATGCTTGCCATGTAAATTGACCTAGGGATAAAATCCTTTATCTCAAAGTGTTTCAAGAGTTTTTTTTTTCTTTTGGTAAATATAAAACTTCTACCTTTAGTTTTATCAAGCACTTTAATACTTGCCCTCCTAAAAGACAGTGAACTTTGTTACCCATAGAGATCATAAATATTTTCCTACCACATTACAGTTCTGTGTGTACCTTGAAATACTATCTATGCTCATCACTATCTCAAAATTACAGTAGTCATTAGGCCTGCTCGTAGGTCACACATGTCCACAGTTCACCCCTCTACAGAAACTTGTATGACCGGTTGAAAAATTCTGAAGAGATTCTATGTCTACTGGCCTTTCTGCCATGAAATGGTAAAATGACTTGTTTCTGTATTGGAGACTCAGCTCATCTATGTTGATTTTCATTTTTTCCTATTTATAATTATTTGTTAACCAATAGGTAACTAGGTCCAAGGGGATGTAAACCAAGCAAGTTTAAATATCTCATGATTGAGATAAGTGTTGAAGTGTGTTATTTTAAATGATTTGATTCCTCAATGGACATAGGCCATTCCCAGTGTAGCATACTATGAGAACAGTAGAGTCTTTTCAAATTTGCTTTCTTTTTGTATTCTTTTTTTTTTTTTTTGTATACTTTCTGGATATACAAAGTAATGGCACGCACATGCACTATGTGACACAAACCATATTCATATATTATTATTTCGTGAAAGTTCTATATATCTCAAAAATCTCTGCAAGACAACTGTGAAAGCATTCAGAAATTGCTATATTACAAAGGCAAACAAGACAAAACAAAACCAAGCAACTCTCTCCTTGACTGTTGCTGAATGTCAGGAATGACATGCATTCTAAACTGCTGTTATAATCCGCATGTATACATAAGGATTAAAACTCATTAAAATTTTGGATAAATTGTAAAATCTGCTGTCTTTTGTTTGTTATATAAATTTCTTGACTATCCTACACTCTACTTAGTTAACATAAAAATTACTTCGATCTTTGCAGATTAAACTAATTAAAATGCAAAATAAATGAGTTGCAAAAGTCAGTTGAATCAGCATTACTGAGGAATGATTTATTATTTATTGTTCCAGATTCATTTAAGTGGCAGTGCCAAAGAAATGGAAGGATGATGACTCTGGTAATCACGCTTTCACTTGCATTTTTGATGTGATGTGATGGTAGAACACAAAAGCCATAGTGTTTTCTGGGCCAAAAAGTCTTGTCAATTAAAGTATTAATCCAGGAAACCGATAAAGCACTTCACATCTGCCCATTCTAAAAACAGATTTAAACAAAATATTTTAGGTGAGGAAGTGGTAAAGTGAGGAAATTTTAACTTGAAGAAGCTGGGACCTTCCTAAACATTTAATTTACTGTTTCACAAAAACCTTTTCTCAACACATCGTAGAAAGTTGCCAAACTCAGGAAGCTTCACTCTATTGGAGAGGCTTAAGTAAAGTCATGTGTTGCAAATAGTCAAGCTGGTTTGTGGAGTAGAATAGAGGAAAAACTGGAAGTGATTTTCTTGTCTAATGACACATTCTGGAATAGTTGACATTGCTTTTAAGATTTTGAGGCAAGTCATCAAGCAATTGACAGCATCCTTATTCCCCTTCAGTATGCAACTGGTTGAAACTACAGACATCTTTTTATGTAATCACCTCCTTTTTTATATTCACTATTTACATGCTAATGCCATCAAAAAAATCTTATTATGCAAGCTCCTTTTGAAATAACAAACATTGCCAATGTTTTGGAAATGGTAAATAGTTTTTTTTGCCAAACCACTTTCACTGAAAGTAACGACTTCCTACTCTGCACAGATGGAGCCCCTCTGATGCATGTGAGACATCGGGTTTTTGCTACTTTACGGAAAAAGGATGCTCTACACATCTTCATCATGCACAGACATGCCAAACTCTTTCAATATTCCCCAAAGAAGTTTGGTCAACAGCCATAAAGTCACCAGCTTCTTCAGAATTGATCATGATTCCTTGGATACAAACTACTGAAACTGAATCTGAAACTTAGCAAGAAGGTAGTCTGTTGGGAGGGATCAGAAAGCTGGAGAAACAGGCTTGAGCAAGACTAAAGGGAGGGGATAGGTCAAGTTCCTGGCCGAGAAACGGCCAATGAGTGGTGCCCAAGGCACTAGGCTCTGGACTCAGCTGCAACCGCCAGAAATAATTCCTTGCTGACTCTCTGATTTTTGTTGCTCCTTCAAGAATATCTGTTTGTCACCCTTAGGTCACTTTCTGCTCTAACTGTCAAAAGATGAAGAGAAAGAATAACAGCCTCCCTTCAGTTTCCCTGGATGAGAGAACAGGTTTAATTTTCTGAAATTTACGCAGCTGACCACAGGTGATCACAGTGCAAAAATAATCCTGAATTCTTCTCTATTGAAATTTACAATGATATCATGTTACCATCTGGCCACTTTTCAGATAAGAGCCTAACATGATGGATTCATGTATACCTTGCTGCCCCATATTGATCAATTAAAAATGACAGCTAGTAGAATGTGTGCGTGTGTACACTATGTGTGTGTATGTGTTGTGTGTGTGTGCATTTTCATGAAAAATTTTAAAAGAACTCTTGGTCACATATCAATTTTCCTAGCCTTACCCATAAGCAGGAGTAATAATTGATTTTAGGCAAGTTATCATCTACCCCAGTGAATGTGAGCATGTTTTATTTTGAAGTGTAGTATTTTTGTTTCTTCCTTACAAGGCCAGTGAAATCATGTTCCTGAGGGAAAAACAAAAACAAACTCTTTTTTGAGAGAGATGGTAGAGAGGATAATTGGCTGCAGAAAGAATCCACGCAGACAAATTTCTACTTCAATCAGTAAACTAATTAAATTAAAATTTTTTGAAAACTCATGTGTACCCAAGTCATAGTTGGATAACTTGTCAACAACATTTAATTCCTGGACAGTGAAGCCAGGTCTTCAGTGTTTTGAGGAAAAAAAATATGATGATCTAAGAATTATCAACGTAAAATTAGATTACAAAACGAAGGGCCTCTAATGATTGTGTTATTGATGAACAGATGCTGAGCAAGATTGTGGGAGGGGAGATATTAAGAGAGGGAATGTGGGGAGTGTGTGATAGGGGAATGAGGAGGAGAGGTTGTTTCAAACAGGCAGTAAGAGGTTGCTGAACCTTGGTAGCTCCCTTTCCCACATGGGCCTCCTCAGATCCTTGGTAAACAGTGGGCTTTGGGGAGCTGTCTCAGCTAACACTGCTGCTGTCCAGATGCAGCTGTGGGTGCAGAAGGGGTGATGATGAGGGGTCATCTGGAGCAGAAGGTGAAGGGTGCAAGGTCTGAAAAGTGTTGTAGGTAAGCCCTGTGTTCTGAAGGAGGACTGGCCAGAGGAACAGGTGCCCCGGCACAGGTGGACATTTCTGCTTTTGCTGGTCATGTCAGGTGGATACAGTCACTGCATCCTCTCAATTTGGAAATTTACATACTTACGTTCTAGGATTTGTTTTTTAAAGTATTTCTTTGGTCATGTTTCCCATTTTGTTTTATCTATTCTCTCTTTCTGGAACTCCTATTATTCAGATGTTGGGTTAGGGTTAGGGTTAGGTATGGGAATCCTCTAATTATCCTCTATTTTCATATTTTCTCTGTTTCCTATCTCTGCCTTTTCCTTCTATTTCCTTGTAGACTTCTTCAAATCTATTTCCAAGTCTCCTTTTTTTGAGCTTCTCCTTTTCTGCTGTCACATTTCTTTGAATCAAGGTCAAAGCCACCTCTGGATATTGGAGTTAAGAACACTATGATCTCCATTGTATCTTGCACCAAGTTGTCCATAAGCAAATCCCCTTTTACATATGAGAAGCAGAAAAACTGCAAATTATAACCTGCCTCCAGTTTTGCAGGGTGAAAAGGCAATCTGTCTTTTGATGAGACATGGTTGGAGCCACAGAGGACCTGACTGATGGTTCTGAAGAGGATTTGAAGAATCCTCAAACCAGGAACTTTATTTTCCTCCCTTTACACCTGTTTTATGGATCTCACTTTTTGTTGCCATTGTTTTGAAATTTCACAATGATGTGCCTTAACGTGGGTCTATATTTAGCCATTATTCTGGACACTCAGGGTATCCTTTCAATCTGAAAATTCATACTTCCATTCTAGGATTTTTTTAAAGTATTTCTTTGATCACATCTCCCATTTTATTTTGTCTATTCTCTCTTTCTGGAACTCCTATTATTAAGATGTTTGGTTAACGTTAGGGTCAGGGTTGGGCATAGGAATCCCCTAATTATCTTTTATTTTAATGTTTTCTCTGTTTCCTATCTCTGCCTTTTCCTTCTATTTGCTGGTATATTTCTTCAAATTTATTTCCAAATCTCCTTTTTTGAGGTTCTTTTCTGCTGTCATGTTTCTTTTAATTTTCCAAGAACTCTTTTCATTTTTGGAATATCTCCCTGTTTGTGTGTCTATCCATCTGTCTGTCTGTCTGTCTGTCTGTCCGTCCATCCATCCATCCATCCATCCATCCATCCATCTGTCCCTCTATCTATCAGTCATCTATGGCATCCTGTACTTGTTTCATAGATGCAGCATCATTTCTCATTTCTTACCTCTTGGAAGATATTAGTAATTGTTTCGAAGTTTTAATCCCCTTCAATAATCTCAATCCTTCCAAGTTGTTTTTTTTTTCCTGCTGATTTGTTTTCATCTCTAACATTCTTCTTACAGTCTTTCCCCAGAAGCCTGAGGAAAAGTGATCCTCCACTTTCTCCTGCCAACCTGGTTTCAACTCTATCAGGTCTATCAGGTCTAATTAGTCAATCACCAATTTTCCTTCTGCTTTCTATTTTCCAAAACCTTTTTTTTTTTTTTGAGACGGAATTTCACTCTTGTCGCCCAGGCTGGAGTGCAATACATGAGCCACCTTTGTCCTAACTGTCTCACCTACGCTCATCATGTGGGTTTATAACTTTTGTTGTAAATAAAGTCCCCTTTCTTTCATTTTCTGTTTTTGGAAGATGCAGAAATAAAAATTCAAATTCATTATGCAGCCTTTAGCCAGCATTCCATCATCAATTTCTAAAGATAGAATTTTCTTTCTTTTCTTGCTTTATTTTCTTCAGCCAAATTAAGAATTTTTTTTCACAATGCTGCAGGAAAAGAAGGAATTTTTGTTTAACATTTTTGCCCATTAATTAATTATATGTTTTCTTTTTGTTTAAAAATTTTGTTCATTCTCTTAAGGCATTGCTACCTTTATTTTATTTTATTTTATTTTGCTACTACAATCTCAATTTAAGGATGAGTTTTCAAAAGTTGGGCAAAATTAGAAATTATTCCAACTCTTGGGATTTTAATGTTAGTGCATGATTTGGAAGCTATTCCAGCTTCTTTCAATATATTTTCTTATTTTGGAGATTTTAGCACACTGTGACTAAAGCACTAATAATGCAAGTAGTTCAGGGAGGTGATGATGATATTTACAAGAAATTGACCTGTGATAAAAATGCCTGTATAAGGGAGACCTGGCCATCAATGAGACAACTGTCTAATTGACCAAAGAACAAGATGGTCATAACAAAATGATCAGATGCTGTATTTTATTTCTTCTGTAGTGGTCTTATGCATGTTCCCACAGTACCATTTTTATCTAATATTTAAAAGAAGACTAATATGAAAAGGATGCAATAGCTGGATGGAACAAAATGTACCAAATTTGCCCTGGCATTGCTAAAACAGTACATACAGTTCATTATCTTTATTTTAGAGATACTTATATTTTTATGGAATGCCAATTATCACATAAAAATTATGTGATGAACAAAGATTTCCTTTAAAAAAACCTTCAATATTTATAAATTTAATGCGTATTTTTTCTAGTCTGGAAAACTCGTTGCTCCAATAGGAAGATAATTGGTCTTAGAGCTGAAATGCATAACCATCATATAATAAGGGAAAAAACCACTTGAGCTTTTCTGGCTAATGGAACAAGTTTCAGTCTGTTGAACTCAGTTTCAATTGAATTATTTGAATTCACAAGAATGGTGGCTGTCACACCTCCTGGTAGACACAGAGTTAAAACTCTCTTATGAGGGATGCTTCTTTTAGAGAAAGAGTTGTAAATTCATGCTTTGAACTACACTCTACTTTGCACATATATCATTGAAAGATAATGTTGAGAGACAGAAAATTAAAGGACAGACCCAAGTACAAAAATCAACAGCTTGTGGCTCCAGAGGGGGGTCAGAAACTCAAAGGACTAGTCAGGGCTGAATCTGTGGGCTTCACAGACTTTAGGTCCCCAAAAAACCAAAGTGGCCCAGAATTCCTCTATTACAATGTCAAGATCATAAAAAGACTTTACAAGAGGAGGAGCGCAGAGTCAGCAGCCCCTGATTGAAAAGAGGGCCTCAAGAAGTCCCCTGCACTCATGAAAGATGATTACAAAAGCTGCTGCCCATCCCTGCTTGGGCTTGGAGTGGAGTGAAGGGACCTAACCAGGGAAGTAGGGGGACACAGATGCATCTCCCCATCAGCAACGGCTGAGCTTAGTGGCGAGATCTGCAGCAACCCCGGTATCACTATGGTGAGGGGTTCTAAACCACTTCCCAGTACACAATCTGGAAGCTTTAGAGATGGGCTTCTGAGAGGTTAGATGGAAACAAACATATGGGGATGGAGAGAAAGAGAGAGAGGGAGATGGGGGAAGAGAAACAGTGAGAAGGATGAAAGAAAGAGGAGGAGGAAAAGAGGGGACAAGGAGGAAGAGAAAGGGAGGGATAAAGAGAGAACTTTGCTCAAAATGAACTTGTGATTGAAAAGTAAAGAAATACAATACGAAAAATGACCAAGAAATTTTCAAAAGCAAAGATTAAATCCTTTTAGATAAATCTGAGTAATGTAGCACCCAGTGGATAGTTTGAAATAAGTAAATTTAGTTTCTTGAAAAAAAATGTAAGACTAACATCAGTAAGAAAAAGACAATATTTTTTTAAAGTGGCAGAAATAAAATAAGAAGCAGTGAATATAAAACAGAACCAGTTAGAAATCTGCCAGTTAAAATGTTAGATATGATTTGGATCTGTGTCCCCACCCAAATATCATGTCGAATTGTAATCTCCAATGTGGGACGTGGGGCCTGCTGGGAGGTGATTGGATCATGAGGGTCGATTTCCCCCTTGGTGCTGTTCTCCTGATAGTGAGTGAGTTGTCGCGAGATGTGGTTAAATGTATGTAGCACCTGCCCTCCCTCTCTCCCTTGCTCCTGCTCTGATCATGTAAGACATGTCTGTTTCCCCTTCACCTTCTGCCATAATTGCAAGTTTCCTGAGGCCTCCCCAGAAGATGAGCAGATGCCAGCACTATGCTTCCTGTACAGCCTGCAGAACCGTGAGCCAATTAAACCACTGTTTTTTTAAATAAATTACCCAGTCTCAGATATTTCTTTATAGTGGTGTGAGAATGGCCTAATAAAATGTTGTTATTAAATTTTAAAAATCCGTGGATGGGTATGATACTGTAATGGTAAAAATATACCATTATAAATTTGTCCAAACCCACAGACTGTAGAAGCCCAAGAGTGAACCCTAAAGTGACCACCATAGCCTTTATGTTTCTGAGTTCTTAATTTTAAATTATTTATTGGTTTGTTGGATTTTGTCTTTCTGTGATCTTTCCTTAAAGAAATATTTATGTGTGCTCCATTTCTTAGATTCCTGCATGCCAGAAGGCTAGTCTGTTGAAGGACAGCTTAGCTCAGTGTAAAATTCTAGGGGCATAGTCTCTCTCCCTCCCAATTTTTCAGTTGTTCCAGTATCTTCTGCCATTGAGTGTCTTCTGTTAGTCTGAGGCCAGGTTGATCTTTTCATTTCTTAAACATGACTTATCCTGAATGTTTGTGAAATTCTTTCTTCATTCTTGAGGTCCAGAAACATGACAAAGATGTGGATCAGTGGGTATCATTCTGTTTACAGTGTTCTAGAACATCATGTACTTCTTCAGTATTAAGACTTGAGTAAATTTTAGTTAAGACAATTTTTAATCTTTTCAATCTTACTGTGTTTTGAGCTTCACATTTTAATTTAATTCAATACTCCTTAAAATGTGGCTTTAATTTACATAATGTTTTCTCTTTCTTTTTCATTTCCTTTTTTAACTCTGCCAGCTCACTTTTTCGTTGCCTTTTGTGGACTTAGCATCTCTCTCTTGGTCTGCTATACCTCTCCTTATAAGTCTTCTTTAAGTGAAGCCATGTTTCTTTAATTTCTCTCAAATCTCCAATGTTTTTAAAACTTTCTTCTATTTTGAGGCCACATTTGTCTTCTGCTTTGTGTTAATTACTTGCCTTTCAATTTTAATTCATGCTTCCCCTTTTTAATAGTAGTTTATAATGCATAGGATCTATCACTCATTTCTTTCTCTTTTTTCATTTATAATTATTCATTTTTCACGAAGAATATTTTATAAAGGAGGGGGTTATGAAGTGCTGCAGTGCCCAGTGTTTTTTTTGTTTAATTGCACTATTTAATGTATACATTTTGATGTTTTGGGGCGTATGCATACACTCACGATACCATTACCATAGTCAAGGTACTAAACAGATCTGTCTCTGACAAAGATTTCCTTGTGCTTTTTTGTGGACTTTTGTTTGTTTATTTATTTTGTTTTATTTTGTTTTTTGTAGTACCGGCACTTAACCTGAGATTTTTCTTCTTAACATATTTTAAACAGCACAATGTCGCATTGTTAAATATGGTACTATGTTGTACTACAGATCTCTAGAACGTATTCATCTTGTGTACCTGAAACTTCATACCCATTGAACAATAGTTTCCCATTTCCCTCTCCCCCATCCCTTGGCAACCGATTGTTCTAGTCTCTGCTTCTGTGAATTTGACTATTTTAGATACCTCATGTAAAAGCAATCATGCAGGACTTGTCCTTTTCATGTCTGTCCTATTTCACTTAGCATCATGTTCTCTAGGTTTATCCATATTGTCCCTAATGGAAGGATTTGCTTATTTTTCATAGCTGAATAGTATTCCACCATATGTATATACCATATTTTCTTTGTCCATTCATCTGTTGATCAATTTTTGGGTTGTTTACATATTTTGACATTTGTGAATAATGTTGCAATAAATGTAGGGATGCAGATATCTTCTGAGATCCTGATTTCAATTTTCTTTGGAAATAAACCTAGCAGTAGGATTGCTGGATCATATAGTATTACTATTTTTTATTCTTTGAGGAAACTCCATGCCGTTTTTCCATAGTAGCTCAACCAATCCACATTTCCAATAGTGTACAAGGGTTCCCGTTTCTCCGTTTGTTACTTTTTGCTTTGTTTTTCATAGTAGCCATTCTAACAGGTATGAGGTTATATCTCACTGTGGCTTTGATTTGGATTTTGGTGATGGTTAATGATGTTGAGCATCTTTTTATATACTTGTTGGCTATTTGTATGTCTTCTTCGGAGAAATGTCTATTCAAGTTGAGAAACGAAAATAAATCCAAAGCTGAGTCATGCAAGAAACTGCCTTCCCTTTTGTTCCTAAGCAGATAGCTACAGATAAAAGGTTAAATATCTCCACAGGTAGCAACTTTCTGGTTGCCTTGTCTTACGTGATGTGCTGATTCACTGAGCGCAAGACAAATACATAATTAATTATTCCCCTATCTGCTCCTTTCTCTTGCAACGTGTGGATTCAGTAATGTGACCATAGCCTCCCCTTTTTCCCTCCAGCCTGATTTTCTCCTTTAAATATTAAACCCTCAAAATCTTTGGAAACAGGCACAGCCCACCTATCGCTCCTCTGGATTTGTGTTCCTTTTTCCAGGCATGTCCTTAACCTTGGCAAAATAAACTTCTAAATTGACTGAGACCTGTCTCAGATATTTTTTGGTTTACAAAGCAGTTTTCATTTTTTAAAAATCATTGAATTGTAGGAGATTCTTACATATTTTAGATATTAACCCTTTATCAGATACATGATTTGTAAATATTTTCTTCCATTCCACAGGTTGCCTTTTTGCTCTGTTGATTACATCCTTTGCTGTGCAGAAGTTTTTAGTTTGATATAGTCCCATTTGTCTACATTGGCTTTGTTGTCTGTGCTTTTGGTGTTAAATCCAAGAAATCATTACCAAGAACAATGCCAAGAACAACTGACGAATATTTTCATTAAGGAATTTTACCATTTTAGATCTTATATTTAAGTCTTTACTCCATTTTTGAGTTGATTTTTGTGTAGGGTCTAAGATAAAGGTCCAGTTTCATTCTTTTGCGTGTGTATGTCCAGTTTTCCCAACGTTGTTAGACTGTTTTTCCCCAATGTGTGTTTTTGACACCGTTGTTGATCAGTTGACTATACATATGTTAGTTTATTTCTGAGCTCTCTATTCTGTTCCCTTGGTCTATGTGTCTGTCTTTATCCCGGCCCCATGATGTTTTAATTACTGAAAATTTGTAACATATTTTGAAATCAGAAAGTGTGTTAACACCCGCTTAGTTCGTCTTTCTCAAGATTGCTTTGGCTGTTGGGGGTCTTTTGTAGTTCTATATGAATTTTAAGGTTGTTTTTTCTATTTCTGAAAATAATGCCATCGGAATTTTGATGGGGATTGCATTGAATCTGTATATCCCTTTGAGTACTTTCACTTCAATATATTAATTTAGAACTCATTCTCCCTAAGTCTGTCATGCCTTGAGGACATGTCATATCTTAGTGACAGGAGTTTTCTGCCGAAATGAACAGAACGACTATATGCCTTGATGTGAAGCACATGTTTTCTGTGTGGTTTTTAGACCAGTATTTCACACATTGCATTGTGCATACAAGTTGTTCAGGAACTTGTTAAGATACAAGGAGTCTCGGGTGGGGCCTCAGATTCTGCATTTCTAACATGCTCCAAGTGTTCAATTCTTGAGTCCATGGAAAAATACTTCGAATTGCAAAGATTAAGGGGCTGTTGTAGGACTTTCTACTCAGTTCAGCTAAAATCCGGGTTCTTGACACATGACCAGGAAAGATTAGGCTCACGGACACATAGAAGGGTGAGAAAACTGGAACTTATTGGGTGAAAAGGAAAAAGACTCTCAGAAAAACGATAGGGGCTCCTGTTAACAGGCCCCCATCTCACAGATTGAATCTCGGTTTACCACACAGGAACAGGAGTGGTAAGGCTCCTCCTCGGTGCAAACTGCACCAGCTTCCTGAGGCCCTGCCCCATCCTCCCAGTGCGGAGGTTGGTTGGAGATTCTCCAGGGACCCATTTATACTTGGCTATCTCAGGGCTCCTTCTTTCTTTTTTTTTCTTTAGTTTTATTATTATTATTATTATTATACTTTAAGTTCTGTGGTACATGTGCAGAATGTCCAGGTTTGTTACATATGTATACACGTGCCATGGTGGTTTGCTGCACCTATCAACCCGTCATCTACGTTAGATATTTCTCCTAAAGCTATCCCTCTCCTAGCCACCCCCCCGCCCAACCCCGACAGGCCCCAGTGTGTAATGTTCCCCTCCCTGTGTCCATGTGTTCTAATTGTTCAACTCCCACTTATGAGTGAGAACAGACGGTGTTTGGTTGTATTTTATTGCTTCTGGCATTTTATGTTACATCAGGAGAAGATTGAAAATGAACAATTTTTTGGCCTTTGTAAATCGCCTACTTTTTCTGTCTGGAGGCTTTCAGGAATTTTTCTTGTGTGTGTGTGCAGGTGAATTCTTCTGATGAGTTTACAAATGAAGTATTAAGGGAACGATGTTAGTATGCAGCATTCTGCCTGCCTCATGGTACAACTCATGGAGTAGAGGAGAAAGCAGCCTCCATTGTTAATAGTACAGATTCCAGGCCTTTAATTGAAGGAGCATGTTGTTGAAGATGTACAGACAATTTCCTTACTTTTTGTGTGTAGTTTATTTTACTAAAGCAACATGGGAGGGTACAATTAGCCTTGGAGAATTTTTCCGAATTGCTTTATAATTTATCTGGAAATTTCTCCAGATTTTGACAGTTGTCTGTGAACTTTAAGTTTTAGTGAGAGTGTAAATTTTTGTCTTTTGTGTTGTCTTTTAGGGAATTTGTTGAGAAGTTTGGTGGAGTTTGGTGTACTGCTAGGTGAATGCCAAATTGAGAAGGAAATACATAGTGTTTGTTAAATAATAAATTTACCCTTTATTATTTAAAAGGAAAATAGTATTTAATTTACATGCATAAAAATTAGAAGCCATTTCTTCTCATGCAGTAGAAACTATATGAGAAATTCCACTTTTAAGCTTTTAAAAGAAGGCTGTATTGCTCAGGACTTTTAGTTAAAAGTGAGAGAAGCCAAATTTAAACTAGTTCAAACAAACAAACAAACAAAAACTATTTGATATAAACAACAACAAAGGAGAATTTGTTGTCT
This sequence comes from Homo sapiens, assembly GCF_000001405.40. Lineage (NCBI taxonomy): Eukaryota > Metazoa > Chordata > Mammalia > Primates > Hominidae > Homo > Homo sapiens. The sequence goes on along the minus strand of NC_000008.11, from coordinate 26,980,759 downwards.
CATGTAATTAAATTACCCGTGGGTAAAACTGACTTTAAGCATGGCTGTCTCTAGTAACTCAGGAGACCCATAATACCCATAATTAACCCATGATGCCAATGCAAACAGATGTTCCCTTCAGAGGACCCCAGGAGACTGTCAGTTAGGTGCCCTATCTTGGGTTATGTGACCATCCCATGGGATTGAGGATCTGATGACAGGTTTGCTTCTCTGTGCATTCTGGCTTGCCTACATGTGATGTTACTGAAGGGGCTACCTCTACATTGTCTGAGGTAAATACCCTGGGTACGTCATCCCGCACCAGGAAAATTTAGGACACAGACACACACGAGGATTTTAGGAGCGGGGTTTAATAGGCAAAAGAAAGAGAAAGGGAAACAGCTCTCTCTCTAGTGTGAGGGGACTTCGAGAGGAAAAGACAGGCCACCAGTGAATGCCCTGGATTTTGTAGTCAGATTTGAGGAGGCGGTGTCTGATTTACATGGGGCTCAAAGATTGGTTCCATTATGTATGACATTTACATAGTGCTGGGAAGGCTAGCTTCTTCACCCTAATTTTATTATGCAAATGAACTTTCCCTTTGGCCGGGCACCATCTTGTCTCCTCCTTACTGTACACGTGGCTGACAAAGAGAAGGGAAGGTGGAGCTGCCATCTTGAACATGATTGGCTGTAACTGCCTGTACTTGTGTCTGCAGCTCCATTTTACAGGTTGCTCTTTGTTAGAAAGGAAAATAATTTGGGGCTGCTTTTCATAAAAAGAAAAACTTTACCAAGGACTTCCATACCTTCACTATCTGCCTAACTAATTTCTTCTTAACTCCTGTATCATTACCATGAATGTTGATTTTGTTATAGGATTTTTCAGGATGTGTTTTTGTGTTTTCTTAAAAATAGCCACAATGAGATACCACTTCATAGTTATTAGCATAGTTGTAATCAAAAGATAAATAATAACAAATGCTGCCTGAGATATGGAGAAATTAGAACCCTCATACATTTTTGGTGGGAATATGAAATGGTGCAGTCACATGGAAAATATTTTGCCAGTTCCTAAAAAAGTTAAAGGTAGAACTACCATATGACCCAGCAATTCCACTCCTAGGTATATATCCAAAAGGTTTGAAAACATGTCCTTGCAAAAACCTGTACACAAATGTCCATAGCAGTATTATTAACAATAGCCAAAAGGTGAAAACAATCCAAATGTTCATCAATAGATAAATAAATAAAATGGAAAGTTATTCAACAATAAAAGGAAATAAAGTACCAATACATGCTAGAACATGGATAAACCATAAAAGCTTAAGTGAAGTGAAAGAAGCCAGACTTAAAAGGCCACATGTTGTATGATTGTATTTACATGAAATGTCCAGAATAAACAAATCCGTAGACTAGAAAGTTGGTTAGTATTTGCCAGAGTCTGGGGAAAAGGAGGAATGGGAAGTGAATGCTAAGGATGGATATAGGGTTTCCTTTTGGGGTGATGGAAATATTCAGGAATTAGTGATGATGGGTTCGCAATTTTGTGGATATACTAAAAACCACTGAATCATACACCTTGAGAGGGTAAACTTTGTGGTATAGAAATTACATCTCAATAAAAGTGTAGTTTAAAAATATATATATATGTATATATATATATGTGAGATAAATCCAGAAGGAAGAATTTGTCATTTGAATTTTAAATTAGTGCTTATGGGGCTGGGTATGGTGGCTCACACCTGTAATCCCAGCACTTTGAGAGGCCGAGACAAGCGGATCCCTTGAGGTCAGGAGTTCGAGAACAACCCAGCCAACATGGTGAAACACTGTCTCTACTAAAAATACAAAACTTAGCCAGGCATAGTGACACACAGCTGTAATCCCAGCTACTTGGGAGGCTGAGGCAGGAGAATCGCTTGAGCCCAGGAGGCAGAGGTTGCAGTAAGCCAAGAATGTGCCACTGCAGTCCAGCCTGGGCGACGGAGGAAGACTCTGTCTCAAAAAAACAAAACAAACAAAACAAAAATTCAGGGAATTCTCTAGAAATCTAATGGTAGGGGATATGGAACACCTTCAGCCATTCCAGAGCTCAAAGCACAAATTATCATAGAAGTAACTGCTCAAAGTCCTTTGTTTTTCTTTGTAACTACCTCCTTCCTGTACAGCCAGAATGATTTATATTTGCATGCTTTAAATGCGATTAATAATAAACATTAATACAGAAAAAGATTCCAAATATTGCTGAATTAAGTGGCATTTAATGCCTGAAAGAATTTTAGGTCAATTACCATTTACTAAACAACAAAATTAATGTGCAGCTCAGGATGCTTTCTTACTAACCACGGTATCATTTTAAAAATTGCTTTTGAAAACAAACTGGAAAGGCACATTCTGTATATGTAAAGAACACCAAAAAAGGACACATTTAGGTAAATAGTCAGCAGTCTTATTTTCAAAGAACAATAGGGGAGCTAAATATTTTTAGAAATAATTTTATTTACTTTAAAATATTTTATTGTAAAACAAACACAAATACAGAAGGCCCTACCAAACAAATGCAAACCCTAATGAGTTACAACGTACTTTTCTTACCAACACCCAGGTAAGGACATGTGGCCTGTGTCTCTCATGATCCCCTCGCTTCCCCTAAAAGTAACTACTCTCCTTTTATACAGATCACCCCAATGTCCATTCCTAGAGACTATGTTTAATCTTGCTCGTTTTTTTAAAAGCTAACATTTTATCCCATTTTAATCCACAAATTTCTCCTCCATCTCTTTTTTTTCCTACAATTTACTTTTGTTGTTGTTGTTGTTGTTTTTGAGACGGAGTCTCTCTCTTGTCACCCAGGCTGGACTACAATGGCACCATCTTGGCTCACTGCAACCTCCACCTCCCGGATTCAAGTGATTCTCCTGACTCAGCCTCCCAAGTAGCTGGGATTACAGGTGCCCGCCACCACGCCCAGCTAATTTTTACGTGTGTGTTTTTAGTAGAGACGCGGTTTCACCATGTTAGCCAGGCTTGTTTCGAACTCCTGACCTCAAGTGATCTGCCCACCTCGGCCTCCGAAAGTGTTGGGATTACAGGTGTGAGCCACTGCCGCTGGCCGCAATTTACTTTTTGAGAAATCCAGGGCATTTGGAATATTCCACAGTTTCATTCTGTTAATTGCATACTCATAGTGCAGTTCCTCTGCCCTCTGGATTTCTTGCAGATTGGCAGCTGAGTCCAGAGGCTGGATCCAGACTCAGGTTCAAGTCCTTTGGCAAGACCATGTGATGTTGCACACTTTCACCAGCATCCATCTGGTTGTCTCTCCTTCTGTGATCTTAGCAGCTGTTGGTGCCCAGTGCTTAGATCCATTCATTCATTGGTGGTTGCCAAACGGTGATTTCCAATTCCATCATTTCTTTTTCGTTTATTAGATAAAACACATATAAAGAGATGCTTCCCCTCTTCTCCTATTTGGTTACCCAGTCATGCTGCTCACACGGAGAAGTCAAGATAAATGCTTGATTCTTTCCTTTTGAATATTTTTTCTGTTTCTTCATTGTGAGGGTGGAGAGATGTGCTATTTTTAAAAGTTTTCATATGCGGGAATAAAAATGCAACTCCATGCTTTTATGAAAACAAAACAATTAAAGATTTAATATTTGCATTTACTTTTAACTTTCTATTGAAGCATAATATATTTAAATGAAAGTATCCATTGTCATAAGGGTGCAAATCAATGAATTTTCACAAACTGAATATACCATATAGTGAGCGACCAGAATAAAAACCAGAAAATTACCAATACCCCAGAGCCACTGCTCATGTCCCTCACAGTCATAGCATCCTCTGAGGATAAATGCTCCTCTGAGGTCCATCAAGTCATTGTCCCTGTTTTGATGTTTAGATGAGTGAAATCATACTTTTGATACTTAGATGGGTAAAACCCATACATTGTGCATGTGAGTTCTTTTGCTCATCATTATGGTCGTGATAGTCGTTGTGTCGTTTATCCATTTTCTGTTGATAGAATTTGGGTTGTTTCCAGTTTAAAATGGTGCAATTATGAACATTTCAGAGCACACATTTTGGTGAACACAGATGTTCATTTCTGTTGGGTATACGTGACTTTCATTTTCATTTTTCTTTCAACTTTCATTTTAGATTCGGGGGCACATGTATCCCCTGGGGATATTGTGTGATGCTGAGGTTTGGGATGCAAATGATCCTGTCACTGAGGTAATAAGCATAATATGCAACAGTTAGGTTTTAAACCCTTGCTCCGCTTCCTCCCTCCCCTTTCCAGTAATCCCCAGTGTGTATTATTGCCATCTTTGTGTTCATGTCCCACTGGTTAGCTCCCACTTATCCATAAGAACATGTGGTAATTGGTTTTTGGTTCTTGTGTTAATTCACTTAATATAATGGCCTCCAGCTGCATTCATTTTGCTGCAAAGGACATGATTTTAACCTTGTTTATGGCTGGGTTGTATTCCATGGTGTACATGTACCAAACTTTCTTTATCCAATCCACCATTGATGGACACCTAGGTTAATTCTATGTCTTTGTTATTCGGTTTCATTTTTAAATCTGATATTATGACCAGATAGTTTCTCACGAAAAATATTGAAATGTGCAAATTTATTTTACAAAGTACAAGGATTCTTATTAATAAATAGCACAACACCTTATTTAGTTTCAAAATGTTAGCTGATGTTGCCTTCAGTCTCAGACACAAACCAACTAGTTACTCTGGGAGATAGTGGCATTGTCCATAGTTAGATCCAATAACTTGCATATGCCTGCCACAAAGAAAAAAAGGTAGAAGAGACAGACTGGCACTGGAAAGGAGTTTTGTTTGCTTGTTTGTTTGTTTTTAATGCTGTCTCAAAGTTCTGTCTCTTCTGTCAGAACAGTACCAGGTTGCAGCTAGCTCATCAGTTTCTTAGGAAGTTCTGAGTGGAAACAAAAATTACCCGCAAACTGATTTTCAATTTATTCCTATGGGGACTTATCACTTGTTATGGGTTGAATTGTATATGTTAAAAGTTCTAGCTCACAGAACCTCAGAAAATGACCTTACTTGGAAGTTGGATTTTGGCAAATTCAATTAGTTAAAATGAAGTCACTGGGGTGGGCCCTGATCTGATATGATTGGTGGCTTTATTTTTAAAAGGGAGGGGGGCGGAATTTGAACAGGCACACACAGGGGGAATGCCATGTGAAGATGAAGGCAAAGATAATCCTTCTCCAAGCCAAGTGATACCAAAGACTGGTGGGAAGCAATCAGCAGATGGGACACAGACATGGAAAAGATCCTTCCCTTGCAGCCTCACAAGAAACCAAACCAGTTAATACATTGATCTTGGATTTCCAGCCTCCAGAACTGTGAGATGATGCATTTCTGTTGTTTAAGCCACCCGGTTTGCAGCACTTTGCTATGGCAATCTTAGCTAACTAACACATCACACTTCATAGCTTGGTGCCCTGGGTCATTGTCTATTTGTCTGATCTTTAATCTGGCTCTTAACTTGGGCTTACTATTCACTCTTAATACTGTGCACTCTTGAGTAAGTTAGTGAACCTCTCTGAACTTCAATGTCCTCATTTGTATAATTAGGATAATAATCATATCTACATTATAGGATTGTTGTAAGAATTAAATAAAATTCACACATGAAAAACTTTTAAAAATATATCTAAATAGTACTTTTAAAAATAAATGCAATTATTATTATACACTAAGCGACAGCCTCAAGAAATTCCCAAAACTAGAACTTGTACAAGCCACTTTCTCTGGGGTGCAAAAATATATGCAAAATAAGTAAATAAAAATAAAATCACCTTAATAACAAATATGAAAAAAACTGGTTACAGACTGTTAGAAAATAAAAGAAAAATCATGACATTAAATCTTATGGGTGTAGTCACAAAATAGTTATTAGATAAAATGTATAGCTTTTTGTTTTGTTTTTTTTTTTAGATGGAGTTTTGCTCTTGTTGCCCAGGTTGGAGTGCAATGGCATGACCTCAGCTGACTGCAACCTCCACGTCCCAGCTTCAAGTGATTCTCCTGCCTCAGCCTCCCAAGTATGGCTTTTAAGTGCTATTTTAATCAAAGAATATTAAAATAAGTAAGCAAATAAAGTAGTACAAGAAGCTAGAAAAAGCAACAAAGTAACACTAAGAAGGCAGGATGAAGAAAGTGATAATGATTGTGGTGGTCAATTTTATGGATTGACTTGACTGGACCACAGAGTGCCCAGATATTTGGTTAGATATTATCTCTGAGTATGTCTCTGGGGGTATTTCTGGATGAGATTGACATTGGAAACATTACATTGAGTAAAGCAGTAAAACATTCATCCAATCTGTTGAATGCCTGAATAAAATAAAAATCTGAGTAAGAAAGAATTCTTTTTCCCTGCCTGACTGTCTTGGAGCTGGAACACCGGTCTTTGCCTTCAGACTTGGACTTGGACTAGATCTAGAGCTTATACTATTGACTGTCTTAGTTCTCAGGTCGTTGAACCTGGGGCTGAACTATATCACCAGCTCTCCTGACCCTCCAGCATGAATTGCAGATCTTGGAGTTCTTAGCCTCCAAGGAACTGCATGACCAATGCAATTTAGTTATGTATATATATATGTGTATATACATGTGTATATATAGTTATATGTGTGTATATATATATATAGTTTCTGTAGAGAACTCAGACTAATACAAAAGCAGAACACTTTTTCTGACAAATGCAGAATATAAATAACACTAATAAAAATGTCATTATAGGAACTACCATTTATGAAGCATTTTCTCCATGCCAAGCCACGTACTAAGTGTTTAATCCAGACTGTCATTGAATTCTCATTTCAATCTTATGACATAAGTACTGTGATTGTTCCCATTTTACCGGTGAGGAAACAGGTTTTGCGAGGTGAGGTAACTTGCCGAAGGTCAAAAACATAAGAGGCAGGATTTTGCCCCAGGAAGTGTGACTACAGACCCCATGTACTTAATAAAAGAACTGGACACTGCACAGTCTACGGTCTACATCATCCAGGATACCACTGGTCAAATTTCAGAGAACACCTTACTGATTCTCACATACTGTTTCTACCTGCATATCCTGTGGTATTTGAATTAAGTTATTTCTTCTAACCTACCCTCACCACACCCCCAACCCTAGTGAGTATGCACACGCACACACATACACACACACAACTCACCTGACACTTGCTTGACCCTCTCCACAATCTGACAAGACAGACAAAATAAGGACTAATTTTTTCTTCCTATGTTGGATCTTTAACGGTTGATGAATAAGTATTCTCCTACCATTCAAATATGGGAAGGTTTACCCAGCCCAGCCTGTTATAGAACTGAACTGGGGTCCACTCACCCAGCACAGTAAGACCAGATAACCACACCGAGTTTGCAGTGGGGAAAAGGAAGGCATTTATTTGCCGGGTGCCAAGCAAGGAGCACCAGGTAGCTAATGCTCAAACTCTGACCTCCCTAGTGGTTTGCAGGTAAGGATTTTTAAAGGCAGGGTTTAATTTCAGGAAAGCAGAAACTGCAGGCAAAATTGCAAACCAATACCTGGAGGTTACAGATTAGTTTTGGCCTAAAAGGGTGGGATATCTTAAAGTGGGGGTCGTGGGTGGCGGGGGGTGGAGGGGTGGCTTACAGGTCATAGGTAAATTCAAAGATTTTCTGATTTGCAATTGATCAAGGAAGAGAAGCTTTGTTTAAAATTTTGGGGTCAGCAGAAAAGAATGTTAGCTCTGGCTCGTGGGCATGACCTCCTTGAGGCCCTTTGGGAAGAAGTTTAGAAGGAAAACAGCCATCAGCGTTCAGTCTTTAGTACCTCCTTATCTGAGGTCTATGTGCCAGCCAGTGGATTCATGTGGTAGGGGTCCAGGTTCCTGAAAAACAACTCAGAGTATGTTAAGACGTTACTTTAGTTTCCATAGGAAACAAAATATCTCCTTACTCTAACTTCCTCTGCCATTATTTTTAAGTTACTATTATCTCCTTACTTATTAAGGTAGTCATTTACTTTTCATGGCTAGCTAGATGCCTGGAATTTACCTTGAAGGAACTCAAGATTTTCCTTTATTTCCATGCTTCATGGGCACACACATCCCTAAGATGGATCCTTGTGCCATCTCAAGTCCTCCCCATGCCCACCTTGCCTACGGCCGTGTGTGATCTCATGAAGCTCACCTCTGCACTCTCTGCCACCAATGTCCCTGAGTGTCTCACTCTGCCCTTCTGAAAGCCTTTGTAATTTACAGTTTGTGGCTTCATTTACCCATGAATTATTTAAAACCAAATCAACAATAGTTTGTTTTTCCTTCACTTAACATCCACAAATAAGAACAAGTTCCAAGGACAAAAAAAAAAAATTCTGCATATTTGTAAATTTCTGGTCCCTATCAGTTCACCAGGCAGCAATAGTTGGAAAAAAATAAAATATCCAACCCAAGTGTTCATCAACAGATGAATGGTTAAGAAAAATATGGTACTTATACACAATGGAGTACTAGTTAGCCGTTAAAAAAGAATGAAATTCAGTTATTTGCAGCAACATGTATGGAAATGGAGATCATTTTGTTAAGTGAAATAAGCCAGGCACAGAAAGACAAACATCGCATGGTGTCACAAAAATATAGTTAGAAAGAATGAATAAGGCCTAGTATTTGATAGTGCAACAGGGCGACTATTCAATAGTAATTTAATTGTACACTTTAAATAAGTAAAATAGTATAATTGGATTGTGTGTAACATCATGGATAAATGCTTGAGGGGATAGATATCCCATTTTCCATGACGTGATTATTATGTGTTGCATGCCTGTATCAAAACATCTCATGCAACCCATAAATATATATACCTACTATGTACCTACAAAAATTTTTAAAACATTAAATCTCCACTTTCAGATCATGTTCTCACAGTGACAAATTAAATGCAGTTAGCTAAAATATACCTTTATTTGGCCACTGCAATTTTTTCAGATGTGACAAAAGTAAATCTTACTTTTAAAGGATATTTATATAAATAAGAAATCAGTTGGCAGATACTAAGACAAACCCCACAAGTAGAACAAAGGTAAATTGCAATTAGTTGTTTTATAAGCATTGTGCTCAGAAAGCCTAGTATTTATTCCAGCTTTGTACATACTGTATAATGATATAGTATCTCTGAAACCATACATATTTAGAGACCCTAATTATAGCAATGTGATGCTTCACTCTCTTATTTTCTAGGCTTAGTTAAAAACTGAAGCTAAGTGGAGTCAGAGTGTACCAGTTTATTCTACAAGTTTAGCCCAGTTACAAATCATGTTACAAAAACAATCATGCTTTAAGAAATAAACGACATTGCTGTATTTCTCATCCCTTTAGAATGTGATGCCCACTGCGGTAGAAAGCAGAAAATAAGAATGTTTCACTGGGTTTTCATTACCATTCAAGGAAGCAGGTTGGGTCATGTCTTTTGGTTTCTTTTCATGTTATTCTGTTATAATTAAGGACAGATGGGCCTCAGTTTGGCTGTTTTTGTACATTTTATATACTTTGTGGAAATATTTTTGGTTCAAAAGAACTAAGAATGTACTTTGTCCTAAACATTCTTTCTTTTCATTTTCAAGTGATCATGTAAACATTTACAATGTTTTCTGATTTATTTACACTTACCTCATCAAAACTTTTCACAGCATGATTTTGGACAGGCTAAAATAAAACCAAGCTCTCTTATTTATACGAGACCTGAATTCTAGAATCTCACTGTAGAGTCCACCAAACACTTTTCTCTTAGAACCCATACAGTCATGTTTTACCAAATATAATTGAGTTTAAAAATCCACTGGGTTTTCATTCCATCTGAAATTCATTGGGCCATTCAAGTCCTGGGTATCTACTGGGACTAAACCCTTCCATCCTGCATGGTTTTTCGTCCCATGATAATTCTATGGTGAAAGTGATACTGGTGGGCTGGGGGAGGTCCAAATGCTGGTGAGACCTCGACTCCAACCAGTTTCCAGGCCCTTAACACCACTGTAAGAAAGAATTCAAGGATAAATCTGAAAATAGTGAAAGTACAGAGATTTATTGTAATGGGAAAAGTACACACTCAAGCAAGGAGAGTGTAGATGTACTCAAGACAGAGTCACCCAGTGGGGTTTAGGGTATCTTTCTTTATGAATTTATTTAACCAAGGGATGGGATATTCATGAAAATTCCTGGAAAAAGTGGAGATTTCTTGGAATTGTGGAGTCGCCCATTTTTACACCAAATATGGGTGTTCCTGGAACTGTCATGGCACTGGTGGTTGGGTAATTATGTAAATGAGCATATAATGAGGTTCTCGGTGGAACCTAGGTCAAATCCAGCCCATGTTGGTTCCAGTCAGTCTTAGCCAGCTTGGCCCACATCCTGTTTTTCAGGGTCTTATCAGCCCGTAGCATCTAGTCATGTGAAACTGCTGTGACCACCCTGTATTATTCCTGTCTGAACAGCCCAGTCTGCTGAAAACCCATCATCTTCCCTTCAAATCTGTTTTTCTCTTCAAGCATATTTTCTCAGAAAATGGTTCACCCAGAAACTGAGAGTCATCCTAGATCCTTGCTTCTCACTCATTCCCCTCCCCTCACCACACTCCACTGAATTTAGTTCATTCCACCTCCAAGTGACAGGGACAGGAGGCAGGGAAATTATGGGCAGAAGAGGGTGGGTCCCCGGCAAGAGCCCCACCCTCAAGCCTGAAACTGTGGCCCAAAGTGAGGACTTACATCCCTGTTTTCCTGCTTAAATATTGCCTTTTCCAAAACCACCCATGCCCACCTTGCCCCACATCCTGTGTCCATAAAAACCTCAGGCTCAGCTGGCAGAAAGGGGAGAAGAAACTGGACGTTGGAGACTACAGTTGGTCAGAGAGAAGCAGCTTGACTTCAGAGGGACAGCTTGATGGTGTAACTTCAGAGAAGAATCTGGCCAGAGATGGCTGGACAAGAGGACCTTCCTACTCTATCCCCTTTTCAGTTCCCCTTCCAGCTGACAGCCACTTTCATGGGCAATAAAATCCCCCACATTTACCATCTTCAATTTATTCCTGCAAATGGCAGAGCTAAAAGAGTACTGTGACACTTCCTCTGGGTCTTTGGAGATCACAGGCACCCCCTAGCCCCAGATGCTGCCACAGGGCCAGTACAAAGTTCACTCCTGCCAGTGCCCAAAAGCACTCATTCCAGCTCCTGCATGCTCCTTATCCCAGTGCAGGAGGTCCCAGTGAGTGGAGTTCACCCTTGTCAGTGCCAAAGCAGCCAGCCTATGCAATTGTGCATTTTGTCCATATTTGTGCAATAACTTCCTGGAATGAGTTGATCCACCCCATCTTGTCCTTCCTCAGTCCATTGTTCACTTATAGCCAGAGGGATCTTCTAAAGTGAAAATCTGAATCCCCTTCTCAAAGTCTTTCAATCATCTCCCATCACTGTTGGAATAAAACTCAGGGTTCTTGGTAGGTTTTAGCAGGCACTTCTTTACTTGTGTCTGTCTTCCTCTTCAGCCTCCTTCCTTAACCCCTCCTTGCCTCTCACTACACAAGACAAGGAACTTCATTCAGTGGGACATTTCCTTCCTCCAGGCCTTTGCTTTAACTGTACTTAGAACACCTCATACTCTCCACTCCCAGCAGCTCTATCTCTGGGAAAGTCCTACACATCTTTTTGAACTTGGCTTTAAAGTCATTTTCTTTCTGAGCCTTCTTATGCTAGATTAATTATTGCTGCAATGTACTCACTAGCAAAGCACCCCTGTATACTTTGCCTGGACACTTAGTTTGCTTTTTCAGTTGTTTGTCTCCTTGGCTAGACCTTCAGTTCTGTGAGGACAGTGACCGCATCTTTTTCCCCTGGTTTTGTATTCAGCCAGCCCAGCACCAGGCACCTAGGAGGCAACCAATAATTATCTGTTGAGTGAATATTAAGTGATTGAATTCTATCCATGATTTAAAATATATCAGCATTCTTTCTTCTTTCATAATGAAACAGATTTAACATTTGGTCAAAAGAATTCTATCTGTTTAGCATAATAATAACAATTTGTTGAATGTTTTATTGTATACCAGGCATTGTTCTAAATATAGTCAGTTCTTTTATAATGAGATATTTGCATTGCAAAAAAATCACCATGTTATGCAAAATCATGTGATTAAAAAACTATGGAAAAAATGGAGTTGAGATACAACACTCAAAAACTGCCATCAGTGACACATTAAAAAAGTTAGAAAACCAATAAAAATGTGGCAAGCTTTTACATATATTGGATGATTAAGAAACAGATAAATTACTGGAATAAACTTGGAATTTTAACAAGGTCTGAAGTTTTCTTGTGGAATTGGGCTTCGGAAGGGCTACTGGCCTGTGTTATTTTGAAGTGACAGAAGGAGGAGTATCTGAAATGGAAAGAAAAATAGAAACACTAGATGTGGCTCATGATATATGCAGTGAACTAAGGGAGAGGGTAGCTGCTTGAGGTGTGTGTGTGCGTGGGTGCTGTATGTGTGTACAGGTGTGTGCATGCAAACATTTGGTATATTTCTACATTAGCCCCACTCAGCCAAATGCAGGTTTCTGTGCTCATCTAGCATTTCTCATGAATAAAATTATGCACACAACAATGCAAAATTCAAGTGAATGCTCGAATTTTTCCCTAATATATGAATTATATGGGGCCAAATTCCCATTTTCAAAACAAGTGTTATAGCAGAACTGACAGTCAGTTAAATTTTTAAACTTATAATCCTGATTCAAAGCCAAAAATGTTGGTACTGTATTTATCTCCATTTTATAGATGAGGAGATTAAGGTATATAGAAAGTTGAACTAACTTGCTCAATATATACATTTAATAATTAACAGAGACCAGATAACAGCACAGGCAATCTCTTCCACATCTCTGGCTTGTAACCACTATGCTAGATCACTGTATCTTCTAATAGTCTTTATTAGAACTTATATTTCATTGGTGTTGGACAATACTTTCCACAGCCTGCCTTCTTGACAAATAACATCCAAATAAAGAATGAAGAATCTAATAATTCATTTGCTTCTCTTTATATCTGAAGCTCTGGGGTTATTTGCTCTCACCCACTGATGTCATAGGATGTAAAGAAAAAGAGTAAGTTTTGAGTCAGGCAGGTGACAAATCCTGGTTCTTCTGACTTACGGTCTTTGAAGCCAGGACAAGTCAACTTCAATGAGTCTATCTTCCTATCTGTAAAATGGGGGTGTTAATTCATATCTCAAAATATTTGGGTATAATAGAAGAGATACTGGGAAAAAGGGCTAGTAAAATTTCCCCAGCCCTCTTCAATGCCTTGTTAATTGCTGAAATTCCACATGTAATGATTAGGATTTTTCAAATTAACTATTGCTTTCTTCATAAAGTAAGCAAAATCTACCAGGTTTCTAGAAATTTCCTTTAAATAAATTTTTCAGGAACGCACTCACTGACTGGCTTGGAAGGAGGAATGCAATATAAGAGGAGAATCAATGCACGGAGGTGACCAAGATTTCTTCCTTCACAACTTTGCCTAGAGCTGGCTGTATCTGCAGTTTCAGTATGGTGCCAGATCATCCTCTCCCTGGCCCAAGCTTTGATGCAATGATAGCTTCCAGTTCACATGAAAGCTAAAGTAAGACAGGGGGTGCATATATAATGCCAATGAAATTATTTTCCAAACATAGAGTATTCTTAACTTCTTCAACACGGTTATACACTAGTTACCTTATTTTACTCTGAAAAATATGGTGATTGGATTGTATGATTCCAATTTAACAGATGGGGAATCTGAAGCAGAGAGCTTAGGTTTATGGATTTTTAGATAGCTTAGAACTCATTAGTAGCAGTGGGCAGCTCCAGAAACTAGATCTCCTGTCTCCAATTCCAATGGCAATATCAATTATTCTACAGTTTCTTCCTAAAAGCATAATTTACTATTAAATCTCTCATTGGTTCACAATCCTTTATAATTATCTAAAATGTACAAACACTGTAGTAACAGTAGGAATGCAAAGATGACTACTGGTCCCAAATCCTATGAACCTACCACATAACATGAGGTCTGAAGGTATTTTTATCATCTCCTGAAACCAGATTTCATATTACGAATTGACTGAAGTACTGTGCCCCAAATTTATTTTTGTAAATTCCAAAATATTCTTGTCTCAAAACAAGAAAGTCAGAGTTAGAAAACCCATTAAGTAGGTGAAGGGGTATCAGGTGCGTGGAAGAAGTTTAAGAATTATGACAGTAATACCTTTGCACAGTAAGTATAAAATAGAAAAAGTGATCGAAACAGAATTATTTTCTATGATAGTTTAAAAGATTAATGGTGAGCTTGACCCCAAATTAGCAGAGTAACTGTCAAAGAATGTGCCATACATTATTGAAATTTTCTATTCAGCAAATAAAGGTTGGCAGAGGACAATATTTTCTAATATGTATTTTATCAAATGCTGATTTCTTAAGATATTGTGTGAAATGCTTGGAATAAAAATAGATGGATTTCTTTACTGTTGGATTTTTTAATGTCTTTATTATGAAGATATACATGGTGGATCTCTAAGAAGGAGATGACAATAAACTGTTTCCAGAATCTGTCTCTCTCTTTTTCTCTAGATTTGTATTTAAAGAATATACTTTTAGAAGTCTTAGCATAGAGGATTGAGGAAAATGAGAACCAATTAATTCCATCCTTCTTAAAATTGCTTCTATGTGTCCAAATGTTTGATAATACTCTGCCTGAGTTTATTTCACTTGCCATGGAGTTGTGGACTTGAGCTTTTCATCTACATTTCAAGGTAACAAATATATATATATACTCCAACACAAATGAATAAGCTATTTATCCATGTGCAAAGAAGCAGCCTGTCTGCTATTGATGAAAATAACCCAAGCACTGTAATTGTGCACTCCTGGTCTTTAGACTCGTTCGTATCTGGGATTATTGTGGCTGTCTGATGGGTGATTTTTTAGGGGCTCTTCATTATTATTTCACTGTGAAGTGTGATACTTACCATCTCCAGTATGTGGTCTCCGTGCTTCCTCTCAGCTTTTGAACAGGTGCGATGCAATTTAAAAATCATCCTGAATAGTGAAATGGACAAAATGAGTTTTCTGTGAGCATGAAAGGCAAATTGGGTAAATGGACTAGCCTGGTCTGGAACTAGAACTTCAATGAATTTTCCAGCTTCAAATAGAACTAATGCTATTTCATAGCAAGTTATTCTTCTCTGTTCCGTTTTGGTAGTATGAATCCTGAATTTAAAATTAGCATGACAAAGCACTTTCTTGTGGATAGATTCCTGCTTCAGGCTGCATTCATGCTGCAGAAGCTTTGGTTCAGCGAGTGCCAACTGAATAAAAGTACCACCCTCAGGGTCAAAGCATGTTCCTTTTTTCCTTGCAATCATCTGACTGCTGGGTGCTCCTAAAAGTATCATGGAAAAGAAATCTTTTCTCTTCTTTCCAAGGAAAAGGAAATTCTAGAATAAAGAGTAGCCATTTAAAAATGACCTGTGAATCTTTTCATTAAAGTTGGAGGGCAGACCTCTCCAAGGCAAGGAAGTAATAATCCCTTCCAGTCAGACCAAGAGATAGAAACGTGAGCATTTTCTTATTCTCAGGTGCTGTCCAGAATGCCTCACTGCCTCTCAAGAAGATATAAAAGAAGAACTAAATAAATATACAAATAGAAATTAATGAAACAGAAAATAGAAAGCCAGTAGACCTGATAAATAAATCCAACGGCTCATTCTTTGAAGAGACTAATAAAACACAAATAGCGAGGCTAATCATAGTCTCTGGTCAAATGTCACATCCTCAGACAAACCTTTTTGAATTTTCTGAATTTTTTCTGCCTATCTTCATCACTCACTTATTCCTTTCCCTTGCTTTATTTTCTTCAGAGTTAAAATTCCATTGTATAGCTATTTGCGACTTTTTCATCAAGCCTCCTATTTTTGCACTGTCATCTCCAAAATGAAAGAGACTTTTTCTGTCTTGTTCACAAAGATATCCTCTGCACCTATTAATTACTGTGTATAGAATATAATAGGAGCTCTATAATTACAGTTGATTAGATAAATACTATAGAAGAAAAAAACATGTGTTTAATAATAAACATGAGAAAGGAGATAGATGATAGACAGAAATCTATGCAGTTCTTCCAAGATCACACATATGGAGACAGATATATAGAGGTATATATCAAAGGAGATATATATATATATATATATGTATATACATACGTATATCAGATGTATATATACACATACATATATCAGATATATATATATATAGTCTTTCTATATATGATCTTGGAAAAATTGGATAATATTATTTGATATATATACATATATAAAAATCTACATCTATCTCTCAGTCTCTCTGTATATGATCTTGGATAAACTGAATAAATATATGAAAAATAATAAAGGCATAGGTTAGTTATACTTTATATTAGTAAGTTCCATATAAATTAAATATGATCATGTTAAACAAAATATTAAGATAAAATATATATGATATATGACTATATAATCTTCTTAGGTGTTGAGCTGGGAAGGTCTTTATAAAAATGATCCCAGAGCAAGCATAAAGGAAAAGATTGGTAGTTATGAATATCTTGAAACAAAAAGAAAAGCAAAATTTTAGAAACAAATAAATGGAGAAAGTATTTGCAGTGTACTATACATATACCATAATCAACAAAGGATTAACATTTTAATATAAAAGAGCTTTTAAAATTCATGAAAAAGATGAGTACCTCTTTCAAAAGAAAATATATAAGCAGGTGCTATGGTTTGAATGTGTCCTCTCCAAAATTCAGATGTTGCCAATGTGCTAATATTAAGAAGTGGGGCCTCTCCAAGGTGATTATGTCCTGAAATCTTTCCACATTAATAGGATGAAGGCCTTTATAAAAGAGGCTTCACACAGTGTTCCGCTAGCTTGCTCTCTTGCCCTTCTGCAGGGTGCCATGTGAGAACGCTGCAAGAAGGCTCTTACCAGGTGCCAGCAACTTGATCTTGGACTTTCCGACCTCCAGAACTGTGAGAAATACATTTCTGTTATTTAAACATTACCCAGTCTCCCGTATTTTGTTATAGTAGCATAAATGGACTAAGACAGTGGGCAATTTGCCCAAGAAGAAATGCAGATGGCCAGTAAACACACTAAAGTTAGCAAAGAAAAGCAAGCTCAATGCAATTCCACGTTCACCTATGATAATAGCCAAAAAGGTAGCCAGAAAGGGAAATACTCTGTTTTGGTGAAGACATGGAGAAAGAGCTATTAAGTAGTTTTGATGGCTGGGAAATTGATTGAGTCTTTATGGAAAAGAGTCTCCCAGTTATGTATCACAAATCTTAAAATTGGCATCACCTGTGCAATAGCAGTTTTACTTCTAGACATTTACCATGAGAAAATACTAAGGAAATGTGCTAAGATTTAGTTACAAAGACAAAAGAACAATTTTGCTTATGATGGCCCTAAATTAGAAACAAATTAAATATCTAGCCATTTTGAATTCATTAAATAAATCATGGTATGTCTGTATGATTTAATTTGAATTAGCCATTTATACAGGTGATTTATACAGCCACTAAAACATTGGAACTACTATAGCAAATAGTAGGCTGATGGAATCAGCCTAGATGTCCATCTATCACGGACTGGATAAAGAAAATGTGGTACATATACATCATAGAATACTACATAGCCATGAAAAAGTAACAAAATCACGCCCTTTGCCGCAACATGGATGCAGCTGGAGGCCATTATCCTAAGAGAATTAATGTAGGAACAGAAAACCAAATACCATGTACTCTCACTTATAAGTGGAAGTTAAACATTGAGTACACATGGACATAAAGAGGGGAACAATAGACACTGAGGCCTACCTGAGGGGAGAGAGTGGGAAGGGGCATGGATTGAAAAACTACCAATTGTGTACTACGCTCACTACCTGAGTGATGGGATCATTTGTAAAGCAAACCTCAGCATCATGAAATTTACCAATGTAAAATACCTGCTCATGTGTCCCCTGAACCTAAAAGAAAAATTGAAAAAAATTGTGTTCTAGGTATTAGATGATGTTGAGGAGCTACTACAGTAATTCCCCCTTATTTGCTGTCAGAGTTGAATAAGACAATGCAGGTACCAGGCTTCCCACAGTGTCTGGCACAAGGAATGTACCTCCCCAGAATGTAGAAATTTTCAAAGTCATAGCAGGAGGTCAATGAGGCACTTGGAAAACTAGAAGCCCTCTGCCAGCATGACCACTTTGGCTCTGAAAGATTAGCTCCTTTCTCCCAACAGAGGCCTGAATCTCGATGAGGCAGGGCTAGTGAGGCTTGGGTAGGACCTAACACAAGTGGGGAGAACCCCTAGCTGCAGGAAGAGAGCCAGATGCTAGCACAGGAGGCTGCTTAATGGATAAGAGTGTATTTAATAGAGGAGAAGAAAAATGCTTCCTTCAAAATTTTGCCTGTGGCAACAGAGGAATAAGCTTCCCCTGTTGCATGTAATAACTCGAATGGTGGTAGTGGCAGGGCGGGAGTTGGACTGACTTCAGATCCTGCTCTCTAAGCCACTGGCTCCTCTCTGGAAATCCCTACTCGCTCTTGATTTTCCTTCCTGAAAAATCATTTTCATTTAAGTAGGACTTTACTGCTGAATGCAAAAGGCAGACTAATTAAAAAAATTAACTAATAGGGGCTCTCTATCTTGTAGTTAACTCCTGGCTGACAGCATAGCCCTACTGCACAGGTCCCTCTAGGCTCCTACAGGGAAATTTATCCTGCAGTTGTTTTCCAGCTCAAGTGAACATTCTGAGTCTCTGATTCCTTTCTTTCCAATCAGATCCTCAGGGGGCATGGCTTAATCAATGAAAAGAATTATAAGGTGAAATAGGAGGATCAATGAAAGGTAGAAAAAATATTCTTGGTCTGCTTCAAAGTAGACTTAATAAAACGCAAAATGCTGCAGATAAGCAGAAAAAGAAGGACTTCCATTTATTCTTCTTTTATGTAAAACATTTAAAGCAATATCTAAAGGATTGGGTACTAGACAGACAGTTGTAGCTTCTAACACAGGCTTTAAAATAAGACATGCTGGGGGGAAAGATTTGGTTCTTTTAGTTCTAGGTGGTGATGCTATATCTTCAACATGAGATCACTATTTCTTTGGTAAATGAATACTGCCAGTTGAACCCAATTGCCAGTCACAGAAGCAATGCTGCACAGCTTCTTGCTTTTACTTTTTCTAAAAAATAAGAGAGAAGGTTTAATTTTACAAATAATGTGGGAATGTGGAATTCAGGTTTGTTATTCTGTCTCCAGTCCTCCACCCACATCCTCTGACATTTTAGCCACATCTTTAATCTATAAAGATGAGGAGCAAGGACCCTGTAAATAACCTGTGAAAGGAAATTGGTGCAGAATAACATGACCATCCAGACATACTCCTGTGCCTTGAACAATTGAACCAAGGGTATTGTGTTAGTCTAGTGGTTCCCAATCTTTTTGGCACCAGGGACTGGTTTTGGGGAAGATCATTTTTCTGTGGATGGGGCTGGCGTGGGGGATGATGGTTTTGAGAAGAAACTGTGATCATCAGGCATTAGTTAGATTCTCATAAGGAGCATTCCTAGATTCCTTGCATGTGCACTTCACAGTAGGGTTTGTGCTCCTATGAGAACCGAATGCTGCTGCTGATCTGACAGGAGACAGAGCTCTGGCAGTAATGCTCTCTCGCATGCCACTCACCTGCTGTGCAGCCTGATTCCTAACAGGCCACAGAATGGTACTAGTCCATGGCCCAGGGGTTGGGGACCAAGGTGTCGGTCTGTTTGAGCTGCTGTAGCAAAGTATCATAAACGGAAATTTATTTCCTCATGGTTCTGGAGGCTGGAAGGTGTTGGCAGGGGTGATTTCTTCTGAGACCTCTGTCCTTAGAGTATCAAAAGCCACCTTCTCCTTGAAGGACTCAATCCAGCTTAGCCTTTCCTCTGTACATGTGTGTGACCTAATTTCCTCTTCTTATAAAGACATCAGTCATATTGTATTAGGGCTCACCCAAATGACATCATTTTACCTTTATTACTTCTTGAAAGGACTGAAGTCCAAATATAGTCTCATTCTGAGGTGCTAGGGTTAGGACTTAAATATATGAATTTTGGGAGAATGCAAGTCAGCCCATAATACTCCATTATCTGACTCTCAAAATTCATGACCTTCTCATATGCAAAATTCATTCACCCCATCCCAGTAGCCTCAAAAGTCTTACCATAATACAGAATAAATTCTAACTCCAAAATCTCATCTAAACGTGATCTAAATCAGTTATGATAAGGCAAAAATAAATGATTCATCCTGAGGCAAAATTCCTCCCAGTTGTGAACCTATGAAACCAAACAAGTTATCTGCTTTCAAAATACAATGGTAGGACAGGCATAGGATAGATATTCCCATTCCACAAGGGAGAAATAGGAAAGAGAAATGGGAGCACAGGTTCCAAGCAAGTGTGAAACCTACCAGTAATCTCTTAGTAAACTAGGATACATTTTCTTCTTTAACATATTGAAGAGTCTGTTTCAAATTAACAACCAATATTTTATTAATATTGAGCCACAAGAGATTTTCTAATAAAAGTTAAGAATAAGACAAAGCAACCACTGTAATATATAACATTATTCTGAAATATTAACTTCATGCAACTTAACAAAGGTGACAATTGGGAAGACAAAATTATCACTATTCTAGATTATGTGAGTATCAAACTGCAATAACTAGGAAAAACAGAAAATTGACTGGAATGGGAAAATAGACATTTCAGCCAGTTATAAAAGAAATATTTTACTCATCAACAGTAACCAGTTAAAAAGTATAAAGAAAAAAGAGTCATTATCAATAGCTTTGTGAAATATAAAATACATGAAGTAAACTCAAAGGGTATATTAAACATTAAAAAACTTTACTATGGATATAAACAAAGACAAATAACTGGAAAATAATCACATTCTTGTAACAGGAAGATAATAGTGTAAAGATATAAACTCTCCCCAAGTCAACCATTTAATAAAATTCTAAGAAAAAATTTCAGTTATATTTTTGTAACTTAGAAAAATAACTCTAAAATTTCTTTGTATGAAAAATGGTAAAAGATAGCCAAGAAATATTTGCATTTGATTAACCTGAAATTTCAGCTCCTGAAAGGGATAGATTATTCAATATACTTTGATGTTATAATTAATGAATCATTTACGGAAAAAGAATCTTTCTCAACTAGCCACATAATAAACCCTAAATCAATTATACATGTAAACATAGAAGGCATATAGTAAAAATCTGATAGATTTGGCTTCATACTAGTTAAAGCCATCTGTACATCCAAATATAATAGATAAAAGGTAAATGTACAAAAATATATTTGTAATATTTATGATTGATAAATTGTACCTTAATATATCAGAAATACATTAGAAGAAGAAAGTTACCTTTAGAAAAATGAACAAAGGAGATGACCAGGGAATTCATAAACAATAAACACAAAAATTAAATACATTATTAAAAACCATTTATCTTAAAAGTTATTATTTTGTCCATTAAATTGGTATATTTTAATCAATGAATAATGAGGATTAGAAAAATAATTATTTCTAGTCAGAATGTAAATTTGAACAATATTTCTGGAAGGCAATCTTAGACTTCTACCCAAAGCACAATTCCTTAAAAATCAATAAACTGGACTTCATCAAAATTAAAAACTTCTGATCAGTTAAGGAGATAAAAATATTTGAAAGCCACATATTTGACAAAGGACTCATATCTAGAATATATAAAAAGATCAAACCTCAAAGTTAAAAAAATCCAATGAGAAAATGGACAAAAGATAAAAGCAGACATTTTGGCAAAGAGAATACATGGATGGAAGTGAACTCATGAAGAGTTTAACATCACCAGCCATTAGGGAAATGTAAAGTAAGACTGTGATGAAATATCATGACACAGCTATCAAAATGTCTAAAATGAAAAATAATATAACACCAAATGCTGGTTAGTATGCAGAGAAATTGAATCATTCATATACTACTGGTGGAAATGTAAAATGGTACAGTCACTCTGGAAAACAGTGTGGCAGTGTAGTTATAAAAACTCAACATGCTCCTACTATAGGATCCAGCATTGTGCTCTTGGGCACTTATCCCATAGAAATGAACATCATGTAGTAAACCTCAAATATACACAATAAAATTTATTTTAAAATAATGTTCTCAGTGCTTTGGGAGGCCAGGGCAGGAGGATCACTTGAGGCCAGGGGTTTAAGATTGGCCTGGACAACATAGTGAGATTTCATCTCTACCAAAAATAAAAACATTAGTAGTGCATAGTGGCATACACCTGTAGTCCTGCTTACTTAAGAAACTGAGGTGGGAGGATCACTTAAGCCTAGGAGTTTGAAGTTACAGTGAACTATGGTTGCACCACTGCACTCCAGCCTGGGTGACAGAGTGAGACCCTGTCTTTTTAAAAACAAACAAAACAAAGTTATTTATAATAGCCAAAGCTAGAAACAAACAAAATATCCTTCAACAGGTGAATAGTTAGACAGATTCTAATACATCTCTTCCTTGGAATACTGATTAGCAATAAAAAGGAATGAACTATTGCACATAACAACTTTGATGAATCTCAAAGGAATCATGCTTAGTGAAAAAAGCCAGTCTCAAAAGATCACAAACTGTATGATTCCATTTATGTCACATTCTCAAAATGACAACATTACAGAGATGGAAACCAAATTAGTGATTGCCTGGGTTCAGGGATGGTTGGTGAAAGAGAGGTGGATGTAATGAACTAGAAAGGGGGACATGAGGGAATCGTGTAGTGATAGAATCCTTTTGTATCTTGATTGTGGTGATGGTTCCGTAAACACAAGTGTGATGAAATGATGTGACCTACTGATTTGACTATTTTGACGCCCAGACTCATTGATCAGCTTGGTTGTTTCAAATTCCTTTCACACTTAAGAAAGCGCCATCCCAGACTTTGTTGGCGATGGCCTGTTGAAAAGACAACCTCCATACTTTACATATAACGTAAATTACAGAGCATTTATTATGTTTATAGCGAACACTGAATAAGATACAGATTGCAGCTTTCAAGGAATAACCAATGTCAGGAAAGATCTGATCCTGAGTAAGCCAAACAATCAGGGTGATTGAAAAAGTATGATTATTAAAACTGCCAACTGATTTGACTAAGCTCTTCATATACATGATTTTCTCTCTTGACAGCTATTCCTTGGGCAACAGGGGGATAAGCAGTAACTCCCTTTTAGAATCATTGTCTAAGCTACAGAGGGAGTTCGATGTAAAATCTCTCTCCCTCTCTCTTTAATTAACAAGTAAAAATTGCATATATGTCAGGTGTACAACTACGATGTTTTGATATATGTATACATTGAAGAGTGGCTAAATCGAGCTATTTAACACATGCATTACGTCACATACTTATCATTATTTTGTGGTGAGAACATTTAAAATCTACTCTCTTAGCAATTTCAAGTATATAATATATTGTTATTAACTCTGTGATGAACAGTAGAGCTCTTGAACTTACTTCTCTTGAATTTATTCCTTCAGGTATTTTTTATCTAAAATTTTGTATATTTTGACTAACATCCTTTCAAACCCCTCAACCCCCATTTCTGGTAACCACCATTTTACTCTCTGTTTCTATGAGTTTAACTTCTGTGGATTCCACGTACAGAGGCTTCTTGACTTATGGTGGGGTTATGTCCTGATAAAACCATTATAAGTTGAAAGTATCATAAGCTGAAAATGCACTGAATACACCTAACCTACCAAACACCATAGCTTAGCCTTGCCTAACTTTTTTTTTTTTCCTTATATTTTTTTGAGATGGAGTCTCGCTCCGTCGCCCAAGCTGTGGCGCGATCTCGGCTCACTGCCAGCTCCGCCTCCTGGGGTCACGCCATTCTCTTGCCTCAGCCTCCCGAGTAGCTGGCACTACAGGTGCCCACCATCACGCCCGGCTAATTTTTTGTGTTTTTAGTAGAGACGGGGTTTCACTGTGTTAGCCGGGATGGTCTCGATCTCCTGACCTCCGTCAGGAGGTCCGTCTCGGCCTCCCAAAGTGCTGGGATTACAGGCGTGAGCCACCATGCCCGGCCAGCCTTGCCTAAATTAAACATGCTCACAACATTTACATCAGCCTACATACACTGGGGCAAAATCATCTAACACAAAGCCTATTTTATAATGAGGTGCCAAATATCTAAATGTAATTCATTAAATACTGTACTAAAGCACAGTTTCTAGTGAATGTGTATTGCTTTGGCACCATTGTGAAATCAAAAAAATCCTAAGTCGAACCATTGTAAGTTGGGGGTCATCTGTGTATGTGATATCATGAGTTATTTGTCCTTCTGTTCCTGGCTTATTTCACTGAAATTATTGATGTCAATAAAATCATCTATAAAATAATTCTATAGATAGGCAACCAAAATAATCTATAATATAGGCAACCATAGATACCCTTCACTGGTATTTGTACACAATTTTTCGGCTTATGCTTTCTCAAATATTGCCTCATTTCATTGCTCTACCAGTTCTGCAATGTCAATATTCTTATCCTTGCCTTACAGATGAAAAATAAATGGCTCCAAGATTGAGGCTTAGTATCACACAATTAGCAAGTTGAAAAGTCAGGCAGGGCTCAGAGCCAGGCTTTAAAATTCCATCCAATGTTTGATTCACCAGACCAATGAAAGAAATTATAATAAGGTGATTAACTTCAGTAATGCTGGACAGGCCATGTAGTTTGGGGAGACAATCCCTAGACTGAAGAGGCACTAGATGTGGTTCTATGCAATAGCCAGCTTTGTTACCTTGAACATGACATTCAACTCTCCAGCATCATGGTTTCATCATCTGCAAAAATGAGATGGCTAACATCTCTAAGATGCTTTTTTTATCTCTAAAATTGTTTACTTTGATAGGGAACATTGGCCTTCTATTTTGACAATTTCTATTCCTAAAAGAAGATAGATGATCAATTTCTGAAATATAAAAGTGCAATAACATTTAGGGCATATTTATCTGTCTATAGGAATCACTAACATGATTTTTACAAAATAGTAAAGAAGAAATGGCCATTTTAAAATATTTCTTATCAGGCAATAAATCAATAAAACTTGAGACCAAAATTGAAGGCAGGCTTAACACAATAAAATGCAGTCTCTTAAGTTTTGAGCCAAGAATATAAAGTTCAGGTGCCTATTTAAAGACCTGGCAAGCACAATAGCTCAAATCTCCAATGTGGAGAACACTCTGTAACCAAATCCCTTCCTGCAAATCTGGGGGAAATTATATTTCCAACAACAATTGGCACATCCTTCAGCAACTAATTGCCTACTCATTCAGTAATTCTCCAGTTCTCTAGTTAAAATTCCTAATCTTTAGTCTTTAAGATGCAGGCAGGATGTGTTTCAGCAGGGAAATTAGAAAAAAAAAAATGCAGAGGAGTTCCAATGAGACCTGATTCATGCCACTAGAAAAATGATTCAGCAGGAGGTAAAACTAAATTATAAGAACCCTGAGGTTAGCAAGTTCTCACAGGCTCAGAGCATCAGAGTGCTGTCATCTCATCAGGCAGCAAATCATGCCAATAAATTAATTAGCATTTTCATACTTACTAATACTAAAAGAACCTCAGGAAGTTCCCTTCAGTGTCTTCAGAAATCTAAATCTTTTAATGGTTTAGATTCACCTTCATTCCAAGTATTCTACCAAATAGAGCTTAAGCCACAGCTAATCCTGGTCTCTCATAAAGTGGAGCATAGGGGTGAACTATCATCTGCATTTGGATGATGACTGTGCAAATTGCAGGAGAGCCATAGATGACTGGGATTCATAAGTAGTAGAGACTAGAAGACATTTAGAAGTCGCCCAACTCGATACTTCCTTTTAACAGGCTAATCTCAGGGCCAGGAAAGTGAAGTTCCTTGCCCTTCACCCAGAAGATTGACCTTCACCCAGAAGATTGATGCTGTCTTCTCCCTCCACAGTCAGCGTTTTCCCAGTTAAACTGACTCTGAGCATACCACAAAAGACATAGTATTTTCTCTTTTTGGTTTTTTGGAGGACTGGTTTTTGTTCATTATGAAAAAGAAACACGTCAGAGAGTTCATCCCCATAGAAGCCAGAAGAAGAGCAGGGTGGAGGTTGCAGCCAAATTGTGACTAATTTAAGAATATAGATAGATAGATAGATAGATAGATAGATAGATAGATGATAGATAGATAGATGCATGAGCATTGCTGAATATTTGTTTTTTGCTTGTTTGTTTTTTGTTCTCATTCTGTCATTCAGCCTGTAGTGCAATGGTGCTATCTCGGCTCACTGCAAGCTTTGCCTCCCAGGTTCAAGCGATTCTCCTGCCTCAGCCTCCCGAGTAGCTGAGACTACAGACATGCACCACCACACCCAGCTAATTTTTCTATTTTTAGTAGAGACAGGGTTTCGCCATGTTGGCCAGGCTGGTTTCAAACTCCTGACCTCGTGATCCACCTGCCTCAGCCTTCTAAAGTGCTGGGATTACAAATGTGAGCAACCATGCCTGGCCACATTGTTGAATATTTGGACGTGCCTTACAGAAAGGATCAGCCAGTGTTTATGCCTGGAGAAGACACCTTTCCTTTTGCTGAAATGATTATTCGATATAAAACAGAGGTAGGGAAGAGCATTTGGAATAAACATACCAGGGCTTGAATTTGGTTGTGTGCCTTTCTCAACTGTGTGCCCTTGAACAGTTTCAGAGTTGGTTCATGGATTAAATAAGCTGATATTCAAAATGCCTACATAAGTGCCTGGCAACCTGGCAGGCAGTTAACTCTTTCCCACAAAACAAGTATCTTATTTGCATTTGGGAAAGACTGCAGAGTCAGCATGGAACTCCTTCCAAGTTCTCCCTGCCAGTGCTGCAGGACAAGTGGCATGGAACAATTAGGGGAATCTGCCTGGGGGCTGGATCCTAGGCAAAAGGGACTTCCACTTCTGAGGCATTCTTTTTGGATTTGATGTCAATTGAACCTGATGAAAGGAAAGGGCTGATAACTACTTCATAGATCCTCATATTGAGAAAATGGCTAGATGCAGCTGAAAATAAAAGCAGATCCCAACAGAAGCCCTTTCACAGCTGCTAACACAAAGGAACAAGAAATGGAGGCATGACTGGGCCTTAAGAGAAAAGGAATCAGGGCACTGGAACTCACTTTTCTAACACAGGTCAAAAGACTTGTGCCAGGTGAGTGCTGCTTGACCTTAGAAAGATAGCAGTCAGCTAAATCTAAATCCACACATCATCCCCCAAACACTTAAGATCACCATGAAGTGCAAATAATGCCATATACAACTCACGCCTTCAGCATTACTTAGAGGCTATTACCAATTTCTTTTCTTTTCTGGTTTTTTTTTTTTTTTGAGATGGAGTCTTGCTCTGTCGCCCAGGCTGGAGTGCAGTGGCGCGATCTAGGCTCACTGCAAGCTCTGCCTCCCAGGTTCATGCCATTCTCCTGCCTCAGCCTCCCGAGTAGCTGGGACTACAGGTGCCCGCCACCACACCCAGCTAATTTTTTGTATTTTTAGTAGAGACGGGGTTTCACCGTGTTAGCCAGGATGGTCTTGATCTCCTGACCTTGTGATCAGCCCGCCTCGGCCTCCCAAAGTGCTGGGATTACAGGCTTGAGCCACCGCACCTGGCCGCTATTACCAATTTCTGATTATCTGTAAGCAGAGAAATAGACACCAAATTTCAAAAGAGCTTGAGCTCCAGCTGCTACTCCAAGCAGAGAAGGATCAGGGGACAGAGGATTAAGAGACTCTGAAAAGAGGGGCATGGAAGAGAGAGATAAACTAGACAAAACCTCCCTCCCCATCTCCCTAAGAAAGAAAAATAATACTAAGTGCTAAAATACCCAGCACAGGCTGGAGGTTTGGTATTTCACAGCATCAGCCACAGGGAAGTAGCTTGAAAGTGAATGAGACTGGTAGTAGCAGCCTCATGGAAGCATGCTTACAGGGGAGAAGGAGATAGAAATAATGTGGTCCCCTTAAAGGATGCAGCAATGAAGGGAAAGAAAGAAGCAACATAGGAAATTAAAGATCCTGTAGAAATGAAGAACTGTAAGGCAAGGCATGCCAACCTTGCACTTTCC
This sequence comes from Homo sapiens, assembly GCF_000001405.40. Classification (NCBI taxonomy): domain Eukaryota; kingdom Metazoa; phylum Chordata; class Mammalia; order Primates; family Hominidae; genus Homo; species Homo sapiens. The sequence goes on along the minus strand of NC_000008.11, from coordinate 26,952,470 downwards.
TTCCCCAACATCATCCGTGGAATAAAATGCATTTTACTGCACAGGCCATAAAATGCCTAGGAATAGGAAAAAAAACACACCAACTGTACACAATGTCCCAGAAAAAGAAAATAGAAAATAAAAATTCCCCCACAAAACATCAGTCAAGAAGCAGAAGAGAGTGCTAACACGATACTTCAAACTGAATTAAATATCTTCAAATGAGCATCTTAGAAATACTTTTTAAATTCTTAGAATTCGAAATTCAAAAACTAAGATTACAAATGTGCAAAACAGAAAGAAATGGAACAAAAGCTAATCAAGATCAAGGCAAAAATAAAAGGAAAGGCAAAAAAAAATCAACTCAGAAATGAAGAATGAATTACAAAGTCTCCAGTGGAATAGAGTAAAATATAATAATAAAGAATAATGAAGAAAGGTAGGCAAACAACTAAGATTAAAAATGAATAAAGAGGTAAAAAGGGGGTAGAGAGGAAGCACTTGAAAATCAGAATAAAAAGAATATTCAATATATATGTAATTGGAGTCCTTGAAGAAGAAACATGAAGCAATGAAACAGAACTAATATTTGAAACTATAATTCAAGAAAATGTTTTAGAAATAGAGAAAAGTTAAATCTACATATTGAATGGGTACACGATATACCTCAGAAAAATTATTCTGCATGATCAACTCTGAGACATAGCCTAGAAAAACAATTAGGTCTTAAAGGCAATAAAAAAATTATCTGGCCTCCAGACAAAAAGAGCAAGCAAGCAGTAAGAAGAAAATGAGGCTGGCATGTGACTTCTCAAAAGAAATGCACAAAGCACAGAAGCAGCAGAGCAGCATTTTCAATAAACACAAAGAGAGAGAGAAGGGAGGAAAGAAGGAAGGAAGGTAGGAAAGAAGGAAGAGAAGGAAGGAGAGAGAAAGAGAAATAGAGAAAGAAAGAAAGAAAGAAGCCAAAAATTGTATTTTATCAGAAATATGTGCAATTAACTTTGCTATTAAAATACTTCTACTAACCACTGTAGTTCCATGAATCCAGGCATCATACCCACTATTCCAGTATGATCAACTCATACATCTTCTGTGAAAAAATGTTCTACCCCTGAAATTAGCTCTATGTATATGACATATCTCAATGCCCATCCTAATGTCTAGTATTCCACCACAAAAATAAGAAATGTGTCTGACAAAAGAGTGAATTATAGAAGTTTGAAGGTGTCCTCCAAAAAGCATGTGTAGGAAACTTAATCCCCAGTGCAACAGTGTTGGGAAGTGGAACCTACTGAGAGGCAATTAGGCTATGAGGGTTCTGCCCTCATGAGTGAATTAATGCCACTGTCATGGGATTGGGTTCTGTATAACAGTACAAGCTCAGCCCCCTTTTTTCTCTCTCTCACTCACCCTCTCTTGCCCTTCTACCTTCCACTATCAGACGACATAGCAAGAAGACTCTTTCCAGATGCCAGCCCTCAATCCTGGACTTCTCAGCCTCCAGAACCATATGCCAATGAATTTTTGTTTATTACAAATGACCTAGTCTTAGGTATTCTGTTATAGCAGCACAAAACAGATTAAAACAGCTTGTTAGAAGAAAAACTTCAGACCAATTAAATTTAGTAGCGTTTATCTGAGCAAAGAACAATTCATTAAACAGGCAGCACTTAGCACCAGAAGGGGCACAGAGAGCTCACACCAGTAGCATGAACGGTAAACCTTTGTAAGCTGAACATGAAAGCAGAGAAATCACATAGTTGGCTAGAGCTAGGCATTTGCCTTATTTAGATGTGGTCTAATCAATTGGCAGCCTGTGATTGGTGGAAGCTTGGCTGTTTGTCATTGCCTGAAACCTGGCTATTTGTTACAAAAAAAATATACTCTCCTGTTAGGTTTGGGTTTGTTTGCTAAGTTAGATTGTGGTTTGTTATGTAGAAACTCGAAGTACAGAAATAGCCTCAGGCTGATGATCTCCTGCTTATTTACTCTAACAAGCTAAGTGATCTTGAAGTATCTGTGCTATGGAAATAGTTTTAACCTGCAAGTTCTTAGGGAATACTTTCTACTCACATACGCTTATGGTGAAATCTTCTAGAGCGGAAGCTCCATTCTGCCAAGTAATGACAGAGAAATCTTTGGCAAAGGATAAAAATGAAGACGTAATTTGTTTATTTGTATATCTAAATCTAAAAGTGAGGTCAGTATGGGTGAGGACATGAATGGAAGAATAATATGTGAACATTGTGTGTTCTGAGAAAGTATGTAATTAAAATAAATGTCAGGAAAAGGAATTTTTAAAAATAAAATAAGATCATTAATGGATGTATAGGTAATAAATGAGAGTTAAGGAATACTATTTAAAACTGGTGTGAAAGGCAGAATAATAACTTACAAAGATGTCCATGCTTAAGTCCTGAGACTTCTGACAATGTCAATTACACAGCGAATGGAGTGTTATAGATAAGGTTAATGCCACAAGCCTTAAAAGAGACAGATTATCCTTGATGATTCAGATGGGACCAATGTAATCACATGGGCTCTTAAAAGTGAAATAAGAGGGCAGACAGTCAGTCAGAGAGATGTGACAATGGAAGAAGAGATAGGAGAGATTTGAAGCATAAGAGGGACTCCATGCGCCACTGGCCGTGAAGATGATGGAAGGAAGCTATATGTCAAGCAATGTGGGCAGCATCTGGAAGCTGGAATGACCCTCAGCTGACAACTTGCAAGGATAAGGCAACCTTAATTCTACAACCACAAGGAATGAATTCTGCCAGAAATCTGCATTAGCAAGGAAACAGATTCTCCCCTGGAGCCTCCAGAAAGGGTTGCATCCCTGATTAGGCTGTGATCTTAGCCTGTTAAGATAATAAATTTGTTTCATTTTAAGTCACTAAGATTGTTGTCCTTTGTTATGGCAGCAATTGAAAACTAATAGAACTGACACACCAGAAAATAAACAAGAGAAAACTGTAAAAAGATATCAGTACAAAGGTAACTTTGTATTTAAATAAAAGGCTTCCTAACTACCAAAGTAAATTCTAAAAAGTAGCAAAGAAGATACAACACATAAACAAACATAGTAAATGTAACATAGTACACACAGGAATTATAACCTAAACTGAAATATTTAATTCCAAACTGTAATTTAAGATAATAAGAAAGAGTTGAGCCCACATACATCAGTCATTTAAATAAGATTTTCAGGTTCAGGGATCATCATGGCAGACAGGAGGCAGGACTAGATTGCAGCTCCAGACAGAGCAGTGTGTGGAGGCTCGCACTGTGAATTTAAGCTCAAGATCGACTGCAAGAACAAATCAGCAGTCCCAAGAGGACCCTCAGACCCTCTGAAGGAAGTGGACTACTTCCGTGCGACCCCAGAGACATCCCAAATACTGTGAGTGCCCCAGCTGCAGAAGTGGGAAAGGAGACCCTTCTCTCCCGAACACACACACCCACTGGAGAAACTGAAGGTCTGTTTGTGGGAGAAGTTTCTGACCTTACCTGGAGCTGACTCAATTTAGAGAGCTGAGCAAAATACAGGGGTTGAGGAAGTAGCAGGAAGGTGCTGGGAGCTCACTGGGTCCCCAAAGAGCCCATTCCTTCCTGGCACCACAGGAATCCACAGGGAGGGCAGCCAGAGGAGCAGGGGTTAAAACTCCACAGGGAGAAGGAAATCTCTAGATGAACTTTGTAACAATTCCAACTGGGCAAGAAGCCTCCTGGCCAGAACTCAGGGGAGGGCACAAATCTGTTGTGTAGACGCCACAGCCAGGGGAAGAACCGAGCCCTTTTCTTTCACAGCTGGGAGGTGGGTAGCCTGGGGCAAGATTTCAAGCCCATCTCGCCCACCGCCTGGAACAGACTCGCGGTTGTTGGTGGGAGCACAGTGGGAGTGAAACTGGCCCTTTGGTTTGTTGGGGAGCTGGGTGAGAGCTGTGATTACTGGCTTTCCCCCACTTCCCTGACAACCTGCATGACTCAGCAGAAGAAGCTATAATACTCCCAGGTACATGACTCCAGTGACCTGGGAATCCCACCCCCATCCCCCACAGCAGCTACAGCAAGACCCACCCAAGGAAAGTCTGAGCTCAGACACACCTAGCCCTGCCCCCACCTGATGGTCCTTCCCTACCCAGCCTGGTAGCTGACAACAAAGGGCATACAATCTTGGGAATTCTAGAGCCCCAACCACCACCAGCTCCTCTCCATACCACCACAGCTGATGCTCTCTGGAAAGCACCACCTCCCAGCAGGAGGCCAACATGCACAAAAATAGAGCATTAAACCACCAAAGCTAAGAACCTTCATGGAGTCCATTGCACCACCCTTGCCACCTCCACCGGAACAGGTGCTGGTATCGATGGCTGAGAGACCCATAGATGGTTCACATCACAGGACTCTGTGCAGACAACCCCCAGTGCAAGCCCAGAGCCAGGTAGACTCACTGGGTGGCTAGACCCAGAAGAGAGACAATAATCACAAAATTTTAGCTCACAGGAAGCCACATCCATAGAAAAGGGTGAGAGTACTACATCAAGGGAACACTCTATGGGACAAAAGAATCTGAACAACAGCCTTCAGCCCTAGACCTTTCCTCTGACAGAGACTACCCAAATGAGAAGGAACTAGAACACCAATCCTGGTAATATGACAAAACAAAAAAAATCACACTAGTTCACCAGCAATGGATTCAAATCAAGAAGGAATCCCTGACTTAGCTGAAAAAGAATTCAGGAGGTTAGTTAAGCTAATCAGGAAGGCACCAGAGAAAGGCGAAGCCCAGTACAAGGAAATCCAAAAAAATGATACAAGAAGTGAAGGAAGAAATATTCAAGGAAGTAGATAGCTTAAAAAAAAAAAACCAAAAATTCAGGAAACTTTGGACACACTTTTACAAATGCGAAATGCTCTGGAAGGTCTCAGCAATAGAATTAACAAGTAGAAGAAAGAAATTCAGAGCTCAAAGACAAGGTCTTTGAATTAACCCAATCCAACAAAGAAAACAGAATAAGAAAATATGAACAAACCCTCAAAGAAATCTGGGATTATGTTAAATGACCAAACCTAAGAATAGTCGGTATTCCTGAAGAAGATAATTCTAAAAGCTTGGAAAACATATCTGGGGAAATAATCGAGGAAAACTTCCCCAGCCTTGCTATAGACTTAGACATCCAAATACAAGCAGCCCAAAGAACACCTGGGAAATTCATCATAAAAAGATCATTGCCTAGACACATTGTCTTCAGGTTATCCAAAGTTAAGATGAAGGAAAGAAACTTAAGAGCTGTGAGACAGAAGCATCAGGTAACCTATAAAGGAAAAGCTATCAGATTAACACCAGGTTTTTCAGCAGAAACCCTACAAGCTAGAAGGAATTGGGGCCCTATCTTCAGCCTCCTCAAACAAAACAATTATCAGCTAAGAATCTGGTATCCAGTGAAACCAAGCATCATATGTAAAGGAAAGATACAGTCTTTTTCAGACAAACAAATGCTGACAGAATTAACCATTACCAAGCCACCACTATAAGAACTGCTAAAAGGAGCTCTAAATCTTAAAACAAATCCTAGAAACACATTGAAACAGAACCTCTTTAAAGCATAAATCCACAGGACCTATAAAACAAAAATATAAGTTAAAAACAAAAAACAAACAAAAAAACCAAAGTACACAGGCAACAAAGAGCATGATGAATGCAACAGTATCTCATATTTCAATACTAACATTAAATGTAAATGGCCTTAATGCTCCACTTAAAAGATACGGAACCACAGGCCGGGCATGGTGGCTCATCCCTGTAATCCCAGCACTTTGGGAGGCTGAGGCAGGCAGATCACCTGAGGTCAGGAGTTCGAGACCAGCCTGACCAACATGGCAAAACCCGTCTCTACTAAAAATACAAAAATTAGCTGGGCATGGGGGTCGGCCCCTGTAATCCCGACTACTCAGGAGGCTGAGGCAGGAGAATCGTTTGAATCTGGGAGGTGGAGTTTGCAGTGAGCAGAGATCATGCCATTGCACTCCAGTCTGGGTGACAGAGCCAGACTCCATCTCAAAAAAAAAAAAACAAAAAAAAGATACAGAACCACAGAATGGATAAGAACTCACCAACCAACTATCTGCTGCCTTCAGGAGACTCACCTAACACATAAGGACTCACATAAACTTAAAGTAAAGAGGTGGAAAAAGGCATTTCATGCAAATGGATGCCAAAATCAAGCAGGGGTACTTATTTTTATATCAGACAAAACAAACTTAAAGCAATAGCAGTTAAGAGACAAAGAGGGACATTATATAATGATGCTATTCCATAAGACAGAGAAAGAAGGAACCCTCCCTAATTCCTTCTATGAAGCCAGCACCACCCTAACACCAAAACCAGGGAAGGACATAATCAAAAAACAAAACTACAGACCAATATCCTTGATGAACATAGATGCTAAAATCCTTAACAAAATACTAACAAAATCCAACATATCAAAAAAAAATCCACCATGATCAAGTGGGTTTCATACAAGGGATGCAGGGATGGTTTAACATATGCAAGTCAATAAATGTGAAACACTGTATAAACAGAATTAAAAACAAAAATCACATGATAATCTCAATAGATGCAAAAAAAAGCATTCAACAGAATTCAGTGTCCCTTTCTGATTAAAACTCTCAGCAAAATTGGCCTACAAGGGACATACCATAGTGTGATAAAAACCATCTATGACAAACCCGCAGCCAACATAATACTGAAAGGGGAAAAGTTAAAAGCATACTCTCTGAGAACTGGAACAAGACAAGGAGGCCCACTTTCACCACTCCTCTTCAACATAGTACTGGAAGTCCTAGCCAGAGCAATCAGACAAGAGAAAGAAATAAATGGTATCCAGATTGGTAAGAGGAAGTCAAACTGTCACTGTTTGCTGATGATATGATCGTTTACCTTGAAAACCCTAGCTTTCCTCCAGAAAGCTCCTAGAACTGATAAAAGAATTCAGCAAAGTTTCTGAATACAAGATTAATGTACACAAATCAGTAGCTCTTCTCTACACCAACAGCAACCAAAGAGAGACTCAAATCAAGACCTCAATCCCTTTTACAATAGCTGAAGAAAAAAAAAAATCTTATGAATGTACCTAACCAAGGAGTTGAAAGACCTTTACAAGGAAAACTACAAAACACTGCTGAAAGAAATCACAGATGACACAAATAAATGGAAACACATCCCATGCTCATGGATGGGTAGAATTAACCTTGTGAAAATGACCATACTGCCAAAAGCAATCTACAAATTCAATGCAATCCCCATCAAAACACCAACATTCTTGACAGAATTAGAAAAAACAATTCTAAAATTCATATGAAAGCAAAAAAGAGCCCACCTAGCCAAAACAAGACTAAACAAAAATAATAAATCTAGAGGCATCACACTACCTGATTTCAAACTACACTAAGAGGCCATAGTCACCAAAACAGTGTGGTACTGGCATAAAAATGGCACATAGACCAATGGAACAGAATAGAGAAACCAGAAATAAACCCAAATAGCCAACTGATCTTCGACAAAGCAAACAAAAACATAAAGTGGGGAAAGGATGCCCTTTTCAACAAATGGTGCTGGGATAATTGGGTAGCCACACGTAGGAGGATGAAACTATATCCTCAACTCTCACTTTGCACAAAAATCAACTCAAGATGGGATTAAGGACTTAAACTTAAGACCTGAAACTATAAAAATTATAGAAGATAACATTGGAAAAACCCTTCTAGACATTGGCTTAGGCAAGGATTTCATGACCCAAAAGCAAATGCAATAAAAACAAATATAAACAGCTGGTACCTAATTAAATTAAAGAGCTTTTGCACAGCAAAGGGAACAGTCAGCAGAGTAAACAGAGAACAGAGAAAATCTTCACAATGTGTACATCTGACAAAGGACTAATATCTAGAATCTACAGTGAACTCAAATAAATTGGTAAAAAAAAAAAATCCCATCAAAAAGTGGGCTAAGGACATGAATAGACAATTCTCAAAAGAAGATATACAAAGGCCAACAAACATATGGAAAAATGCTCAACATCATTAATGCCACCTTACTCCTGCAAGAATGTGACACCATCTTACTCCTGCAATACCACCTAATTCCTACAAGAATGGCCATAATCAAAAAATCAAAAATCAATAGATGTTGGTGTGGATCCAGTGAACAGGGAACACTTCTACACTGCTGGTGGGAATATAAACTAGTACAGTCACTATGGAAAACACTGTGGAGATTCCTTAAAGAACTAAAAGTAGAACTACCATTAGATCCAGCAATCCTGCTACTGGGTATCTATCCAGAGGAAAAGAAGTCATTAATCGAAATAGATACTTGGACACCCATGTTTAAAACAACACAATTCACAATTGTGAAATCATTAAACCAACCCAAATGTCCATCAGTCAACGAGTGGATAAAGAAACTGTGGTATATATACATATGATGGAATACTACTCAGCCATAAAAAGGAATGAATTAACAGCATTTTCAGTGACCTGAATGAGAATGGAGACTATTATTCTAAGGGAAGTAACTCAGGAATAGAAAACCAAACATCGTATGTTCTCACTGATGTGTGGGAGCTAAGCTATGAGGACGCAAAGGCATAAGGATGATACAATGGACTTTGGGGAGTTGGGGTGGGAAGAGTGGGAGTGGGACAAGGGATAAAAAACTACAAATATGATGCAGTGTATACTGCTTGCATGACAAGTGCACCAAAATCTCACAAATCACCACTAAAAAACTTACTTATGTAACCAAATACCACCTCTATTCCAATAACTTATGGAAAATTTTAAAAAAAGAAAAAAGAGATTTTCAACTGGTTTATCAAGCAAAACTCAATACCATGGTATGTACAAGAGATACACTCAAAGCAGACTAAGTTGAAAAGCCTAAAATTAAAAGAATGGGCAAAGATATACAGTCATGTGTTGCTCAACAATGGGGATAGGTTCTGAGAAATTATGCAATTTTGCCATTGTGTGAAACCACAGAGTGTACTTACACAAACTTAGACTGTGTCAAATGCATTTGCTGCATCTACTATGATGATTGTATAGTTGTGTATGTGTGTGCATGTGTGCGTGCATATGCATGCACATGCATACATGGTAAATTACATTAATTGATTTCTAAGTGTTAAATCATCCTTTAATTCCTGGAATAAAACCTACTCAGCCAGGATATATTACCTTTTCTGTATATGTTGAATACAATTTGCCATAATTTTGTTTTAGATTTTGCACTAGGTTTCAAGTCAAATATTGATCTGTGGTTTTGTTTTATTATAATGCCTTTGGTTTTCATATGAGGGCAATATTGGCCTCACAGAGTGGCTTGGGAAGTGATTCCTCCTCTTCAATTTTCTGGAGGAATTTGGGTAGGTTTGGTATTATTTCCCCCTTAAATGTTTGGATGAATTTGCCATTGAAGCCATCTGGACCAGGACTTTTATTTGTAGATAGGTGTTTAGGTACAAAGTAAATTTTTAAAATAAATATTGGGCTATTCAGATTATACCTACATCTATCTAGCTATATCTACCTACCTACCTACCTACCTACTTATCTACCTAGCTAGCTAGCTATTGATACACACACACACACACACACCACCCATTTTCTAAAGATGTAATCCATATACCATGTAATTCACCTCTTTAATGTATACAAGTTCATTGTTTTAAATTTATTCACAAAGTTGTGCAGCTATCATCACAACCAATTTCAGAACATATTATTGCTTCAGAAAGAAACCTCATACTCATTACCACTCAGTCCCCAATTACCTCCACCTGTTCAACCCTAAACAACCACTAATTTGCTTTCTCTATATAGATTTTCCTATTTAGGACATTTCATGTAAATGGAGTCATACAATGTGTGGTCTTTTGTAAAGAGATTATTTCACGTAGCATAACACTTTCAAATTGCATTCATGGTGTAGCAGTGTTATGGACTGAACATTTATGTCCACCCTTAAATTCATATGTTGAAACTGTACCCCTTAATGTGATGGTATTAGAGGCCAGGCCTTTGAGAGGTAATTATTAATATGATTAGATGAGGGTGGAACCTACATGAATGGGATTAGTGCCTTTATAAAAATCATAAGAAAGTCTGCTTCCTCTTTTTCTTCCCACCATGCGAGGATACAAGGAGAGGACAGCCATTTGCAACCCAGGAAGTGGGTCCTCACCAGACACCAATCTGTTGGGCACCTTGATCTTGGATTTCCCAGCCTCTGAACTATGAGAAATAAATGTTTATTGTTTAAGCCATTCAGTCTATGTAATTTTTTATAGTAGCCCAAATTTACTAAGATAAACAGTTATCGGTATTTCCTTCTTTTTATTCCTGAAAAATATTTTATTGTATGAATATACCACATTTTATTTATCCATTCATTAACTAATGGACATTTGGATCATTGCCAATTTTTGGAGTACAAATGTTGCTATGGACATTCAGATACAACTTTTTGTGTAGACATATATTTTCATTTCTCTTGGGTATATGTCTAGGCGTAGAATTCCTGGGTCATATCTCGCCAACAGTGTAGAAAGTTCTGATTTGTCTACACCCTCACCAACACTTGTTGTGTCTTTTTTAGTATATCCGTGTTCTTGGGTACAAAGTGGTATATCATTGTAGTTTTGTTTTGCATTTCTCTAATGTCTAATGCTGTTGAGCATCTTTTTATCTGCTTTTTAACTGCTTGCATATATTTTTAAAAATATTAAATCACATCCTTTTCTGTTTGTATATTGGTTTATTTCATTTTTTAAAATTTTAGTTGTAAAACATATTCACATATTCTAGATACAAATCATTTGTCAGGTATATGGTTTGCAGACATTTTTCCCCAAACTGTGGGTGGCTTTTTTACCATTTGACAGTTTCTTTTGATGTACAAAAGGTTTTAATGTATATGAAGTGCAATTTATCTATTATTTCTTTTGTTGCTTGTGGTTTGGGTGTTATACCTAAGAATCCATTACCTAATATGAGATTGTGAATACTTATCCCTGTGTTTGCTTCTAAGAATTTTATAGTTTTAGCTCTTACATTTAGATCTTTAATGCATTTTGAATTAATTTTGGCATATCATATAAGAAAGGGGCTCCACTTCATTCCCTTGCATTTGGTTATTCATTCAGTTGCCCTAGCATCATTTGATGAAAAGACTATCCCTTCCCCCATTGAAGTCTTGGCACTCTTGTCAAAAGTCAGTTGACCATAGACACATACTTTTTTTCTGGACTCTCAATTATGGTTCATTGATCTATGTGTCTATCCTTATGTCAGTATAATACTGATTTGAGAGTACAGCTTGGTAGAAAGTTTTGAAATCGGGGTGGAGCCAAGATGGCTGAATAGGAGCAGCTCCAGTCTACAGCTCCCAGTGTGAGCGATGCAGAAGATGGGTGATTTCTGCATTTCCAACTGAGGTACTGGCTTCATCTCACTGGGGAGTGCCAGGCAGTGGGTGCAGGACAGTGGGTGCAGCACACCGTGCATGAGCTGAAGCAGGATGAGGCATTGCCTCACCCAGAAAGCACAAGGGGTAAGGGAATTCCCTTTCCTAGTCAAAGAAAGGGGTGACAGATGGCACCTGGAAAATCGGGTCACTCCCACCCTAATACTGCACTTTTCTAACAGGCTTAACAAATGGCACAGCAGGATATTATATCCCACACCTGGCTTGGAGGGTCTTATGCCCACAGAGCCTCGCTCATTGCTAGCACAGCAGTCTGAGATCAGACTGCAAGGCAGCAGTGAGAATGGGGGAGGGGCGCCTGCCATTGCGGAGGCTTGAGTAGGTAAACAAAGTGGCCAGGAACCTGGAACTGGGTGGAACCCACCACAGCTCAAGGAGGCCTGCCTGCCTCTGTATGCTCCACCTCTGGGGGCAGGGCACAGATAAACAAAAGGCAGCAGTAACCTCTGCAGACTTAAATGTCCCTGTCTGACAGCTTTGAAGAGAGTAGTGTTTCTCCCAGCACACAGCTTGAGATCTGAGAATGGGCAGACTGCCTCCTCAAGTGGGTCCCTGATCCCCAAGTAGCCTAACTGGGAGGCACCCCCCAAGTAGGGGCAGACTGACACTTCACATGGCCGGGTATTCCTCTGAGACAAAACTTCCAGAGGAACAATCAGGCAGCAGCATTTGCGGTTCACCAATATCCACTGTTCTGGAGCCACTGCTGCTGATACCCAGGAAAACAGCGTCTGGAGTGAACCTCCAGCAAACTCCAACAGACCTGCAGCTGAGGGTCCTGACTGTTAGAAGGAAAACTAACAAACAGAAAGGACATCCACACCAAAAACCCATCTGTATGTCACCATCATCAAAGACCAAAGGCAGATAAAACCACAAAGATGGGGAAAAAACAGAGCAAAAAAAAACGGAAACTCTAAAAATCAGAACACCTCTCCTCCTCCAAAGGAACGCAGCTCCTCACCAGCAATGGAACAAAGCTGGACGGAGAATGACTTTGACCAGTTGAGAGAAGAAGGCTTCAGAAGATCGAGCTACTCCGAGCTAAAGGAGGAAGTTCGAACCAATGGCAAAGAAGTTAAAAACCTTGAAAAAAAATTAGATGAATGGCTAACTAGAATAAACAATGCAGAGAAGTCCTTAAAGGACCTGATGGAGCTGAAAACCATGGCATGAGAACTACGTGATGAATGTACAAGCCTCAGTAGCCTATGTGATCAACTGGAAGAAAGGGTATCAGCAATGGAAGACAACATGAATGAAATGAAGCGTAAAGAGAAGTTTAGAGAAAAAAGAATAAAAAGAAATGAACAAAGCCTCCAAGAAATATGGGACTATGTGAAAAGACCAAATCTATGTCTGATTGGTGTACCTGAAAGTGACGGACAGAATGGAGCCAAGTTGGAAAACACTCTGCAGGATATTATCCAGGAGAACTTCCCCAATCTAGCAAGGCAGGTCAACATTCAAATTCAGAAAACACAGAGAATGCCACAAAGATACTCCTCAAGAAGAGCAACTCCAAGACACATAATTGTCAGATGCACCAAGGTTGAAATGAAGGAAAAAATGTTAAGGGCAGCCAGAGAGAAAGGTCGGGTTACCCACAAAGGGAAGCCCATCAGACTAACAGCTGATCTCTTGGCAGAAACTCCACAAGCCAGAAGAGAGTGGGGGCCAATATTCAACATTCTTAAAGAAAAGAATTTTCAACACAGAATTTCATATCCAGCCAAACTAAGCTTCATAAGTGAAGGAGAAATAAAATCCTTTACAGAGAAGCAAATGCTGAGAGATTTTGTCACCACCAGGCCTGCCCTAAAAGAGCTCCTAAAGGAAGCACTAAACATGGAAAGGAACAACCAGTACTAGCCACTGCAAAAACATGCCAAATTGTAAAGACCATCGATGCTAGGAAGAAACTGCATCAACTAACAAGCAAAATAACCAGCTAACATCATAATGACAGGATCAAATTCACACATAACAATATTAACGTTAAATGTAAATGGACTAAATGCTCCAATTAAAAGACACAGACTGACAAATTGGATAAAGAATCAAGACCCATCAGTGTGCTGTATTCAGGAAATCCATCTCACCTGCAGAGACACACATAGGCTCAGAATAAAGGGATGGAGGGAGATCTACCAAGCAAACGGAAAACAAAAAAAGTCAGGTGTCACAATCCTAGTCTCGGATAAAACAGACTTTAAACCAACAAAGATCAAAAGAGACAAAGAAGGCCATACATAATGGTAAAGGGATCAATTCAACAAGAAGAGCTAACTATCCTAAATATATATGCACCCAACACAGGAGCACCCAGATACATAAAGCAAGTCCTTAGTGACCTACAAAGAGACTTAGACTCCCACACAATAATAATGGGAGACTTTAACACCCCACTGTCAACATTAGACAGATCAGTGAGACAGAAAGTTAACAAGGATATCCAGGAATTGAACTCAGCTCTGCACCAAGCGGACCTAATAGACATCTACAGAACTCTCCACCCCAAATCAACAGAATATACATTCTTCTCAGCACCACATCACACTTATTCCAAAATTGACCACATAGTTGGAAGTAAAGCACTCTTCAGCAAATGTAAAAGAACAGAAATCATATCAGGCTGTCTCTCAGACCACAGTGCAATCAAACTAGAACTCAGGATTAAGAAACTCACTCAAAACCACTCAACTACATGGAAACTGAACAACCTACTCCTGAATGACTACTGGGTACACAATGAAATGAAGGCAGAAATAAAGATGTTCTTTGAAACCAATGAGAACAAAGGCACAACATACCAGAATCTCTGGGACACATTTAAAGCAGTGTGTAGAGGGAAATTTATAGCAGTAAATGCCCACAAGAGAAAGCAGAAAATATCTAAAATGGACACCCTAACATCACAATTAAAAGAACTAGAGAAGCAAGAGCAAACACATTCAAAAGCTAGCAGAAGGCAAGAAAGAACTAAGATCAGAGAAGAACTGAAGGAGATAGAGACACAAAAAACCCTTCAAAAAATCAATGAATCCAGGAGCTGGTTTTTTGAAAAGATCAACAAAATTGATAGACCACTAGCAAGACTAATAAAGAAGAAAAGAGAGAAGAATCAAATAGATGCAATAAAAAATGACAAAGGGGATATCACCATCAATCCCACAGAAATACAAACTACCATCAGAGAATACTATAAACACCTCTACGCAAATAAACTAGAAAATCTAGAAGAAATAGATAAATTCCTCGACATCTACACCCTCCCAAGACTAAACCAGGAAGAAGTTGAATCTCTGAATAGACCAATAGCAGGCTCTGAAATTGAGGCAATAATTAATAGCTTACCAACCAAAAAAAGTCTAGGACCAGATGGATTCACAGCCAAATTCTACCAGAGGTACAAGGAGGAGCTGGTACCATTCCTTCTGAAACTATTCCAATCAATAGAAAAAGAGGGAATCCTCCCTAACTCATTTTATGAGGCCAGCATCATCCTGATACCAAAGCCTGGCAGAGACACAACAAAAAAAGAGAATTTTAGACCAATATCCTTGATGAACATCGATGCAAAAATCCTCAATAAAATACCGGCAAACTGAATCCAGCAGCACATCCAATAGCTTATCCACCATGATGAAGTGGGCTTCATCCCTGGGATGCAAGGCTGGTTCAACATATGAAAATCAATAAATGCAATCCAGCATATATACAGAACCAAAGACAAAAACCACCTGATTGTCTCAATAGATGCAGAAAAGGCTTTGATAAAATTCAACAACCTTTCATGCTAAAAACTCTCAATAAATTAGGTATTGATGGGACGTATCTCATAATAATAAGAGCTATCTGTGACAAACCCACAGCCAATATCATACTGAATGGACAAAAACTGGAAGCATTCCCTTTGAAAACTGGCACAAGACAGGCATGCCCTCCCTCACCACCCCTATTCAACATAGTGTTGGAAGTTCTGGCCAGGGCAATCAGGCAGGAGAAGGAAATAAAGGACATTAAAGTAGGAAAAGGGGAAGTCAAATTGTCCCTGTTTGCAGATGACATGATTGTATATCTAGAAAACCCCATTGTCTCAGCCCAAAATCTCCTTAAGCTGATAAGCAAATTCAGCAAAGTCTCAGGATACAAAATCAATGTGCAAAAATCACAAGCATTCTTATACACCAATAACAGACAAACAGAGAGCCAAATCATGAGTGAACTCCCATTCACAATTGCTTCAAAGAGTATAAAATACCTAGGAATCCAACTTACAAGGGATGTGAAGGACCTCTTCAAGGGGAACTACAAATCACTGATCAATGAAATAAAAGAGGATACAAACAAATGGAAGAACATTCCATGTTTATGGGTAGGAAGAATCACTATCGTGAAAATGGCCATACTGCCCAAGGTAATTTATAGATTCAATGCCATCCCCATCAAGCTACCAATGACTTTCTTCACAGAATTGGAAAAAACTACTTTAAAGTTCATATGGAACCAAAAAACAGCCCGCATTACCAAGTCAATCCTAAGCCAAAAGAACAAAGCTGGAGGCATCAGGCTACCTGACTTCAAACTATACTACAAGGCTACAGTAACCAAAACAGCATGGTACTGGTACCAAAACAGAGATATAGACCAATGGAACAGAACAGAGCCCTCAGAAACAATGCTGCATATCTACAACTATCTGATCTTTGACAAACCTGACAAGAACAAGCAATGGGGAAAGGATTCCCTATTTAATAAATGGTGCTGGGAAAACTGGCTAGCCATATGTAGAAAGCTGAAACTGGATCCCTTCCTCACACCTTATACAAACATTAATTCAAGATGGATTAAAGACTTAAATGTTAGACCTAAAACCATAAAAACCCTAGAAGAAAACCTAGGCAATACCATTCAGGACATAGGCAAGGGCAAGGACTTCATGTCTAAAACACCAAAAGCAATGGCAACAAAAGCCAAAATTGACAAATGGGATCTAATTAAACTAAAAAGCTTCTGCACAGCAAAAGAAACTACCATCAGAGTGAACAGACAACCTACAGAATGGGAGAAAATTTTTGCAACCTACTCATCCGACAAAGGGCTAATACCCAGAATCTACAATGAACTCAAACAAATTTACAAGAAAAAAACAAACGACCCCATCAAAAATTGGGCAAAGGATATGAACAGACACTTCTCAAACGAAGACATTTATGCAGCCAAAAAACACATGAAAAAATGCTCATCATCACTGGCCATCAGAGAAATGCAAATCAAAACCACAATGAGATACCATCTCACACCAGTTAGAATGGCGATCATTAAAATGTCAGGAAACAACAGGTGCTGGAGAGGATGTGGAGAAATAGGAACACTTTTACACTGTTGTTGGGACAGTAAACTAGTTCAACCATTGTGGAAGTCACTGTGGCGATTCCTCAGGGATCTAGAACTAGAAATTCCATTTGACCCAGCCATCCCATTATTGGGTATATACCCAAAGGATTATAAATCATGCTGCTATAAAGACACATGCACACGTATGTTTATTGCGGCACTATTCACAATAGCAAAGACTTGGAACCAACCCAAATGTCCAACAATGATAGACTGGATTAAGAAAATGTGGCACATATGCACCATGGAATACTATGCAGCCATAAAAAAGGATGCGTTCATGTCCTTTGCAAGGACATGGATGAAGCTGGAAACCATCATTCTCAGCAAACTATCGCAAGGACAAAAAACCAAACACTGCATGTTCTCACTCATAGGTGGGAATTGAACAATGAGAACACATGGACAAAGGAAGGGGAACATCACACACTGGGGACTGTTGTGGGGTGGGGGGAGGGGGGGAGGGATAGCATTAGGAGAGATAACTAATGCTAAATGATGAGTTAATGGGTGCAGCACACCAACATGGCACATGTATACATATGTAACAAACCTGCACGTTGTGCACATGTACCCTAAAACTTAACATATAATAATAATAATAATAATAAAGAAAGTTTTGAAATCAGTAACTTTGTGTCCTCCTACTTTGCTGTTCATTTTCAAGACTGTTTTGACTATCCTGGTTCCTTGCAATTCCATATAAATATTAGAATCAGCTAGTCAGCTTTTATAAACAAGTCGGGAGGGATTCTCACGGGATTTTATTGAATCTGTGAATCAGTTGGATCACTTTGATGCATATAGCCATTTTAACAATACTTGTCTTCTAATGCATGCACATGGACTGTTTTATCATTAAGGCTTTTAAAAATTTCTTTGAACAATGTTTTGTAATTTTCAGAGTAAAAGTTTTGAACTTCTTTGATAATTTACACATATATATTTTATTCTTTCGATGCTATTGCACATGAAATTGTTTTTTAAATTTCATTTTGGATTGTCCATTGCAAGTGTATGAAAATACAGTTAATTTTTTCTTTTTTTATTGATACATACATAATAGATGTACATATTTTCAAGGTACATGTGATAACTTGATACATTCACGTAGTCAAATCAAGGTAATTGGAATATCCATCATACAATTTATTTTTGTATATTAATATATTTTGCAATATTCCTGAAGTTGTTGACTAGTTCTGATCATTTTTAAGTAGATTTCTTAGGACTTTCTATATAAAAGATTATGTCATCAGTGAATACAGATAGTTTTACTTCGTTTCCAATTCCAGTGCCTTTTATTTCTTTTTCTTGCCTAATTGTCTTGGCCAAAACCTCCAGTACAATGTTAAACAGAAGTTGCAAGGCCAGACATCCTTGTATTGTTACCAATCCTAGGGTAACATTTCTAGTCTTTCTCCATTAATTCTAAGGTTAGCTGTGGCTTTTTTATAGATGCCATTTTGCAAATTGAGGAAGTTCCCATATATTCCTAATTTGTTGACTGTTTTTATCCTGACAGAGTGTTGGATTTTATTAAACATTTTTTTCTGCATCTATTAAAATTATCATGTGGTTTTTGTTTTATATTCTATTGTAATTGATTTTCAGATATTAAACCGACCTTGCATCACTGGGATAAATCCATCTTGTTCACAGTGTATAATTTTTTCATATGTTGCTGGATTCAGTTTGCTAGTATTTTGTTGAGGATTTTGCATTCATATTCATAAGAGATGTTGGTTTGCAGTTTTATTTTCTTGTGATATTTTGAATTTAGTATTGGGATAATGCTAACTTCTAAAATAAGCTGAAAAGTAGTCCTTTCTTGTCTATTTTTTTGGAAGGCTTTGTGAAGGATTGGTGTTAATTATTTTTTAAAGGTTTGCTAGAATTCATTGGCAAAACCATCTAGGCCTGGGCTTTTCCTTGTGGGTAGATTTGTGATTATTAATTCAACTTCTTCACTTATTATAACTTGTTACAGATTTATTCAAGTTTTCTGTTTCTTTTTGAGTCATTTTCTATAGTTTGTGTCTTTCTAAGAATTTGTATATTTTATCTAATTATTTAAATTTTTGGCATACAATTGTTTATATTATTCCATTATAATACTTTTTTATTTCTGTTAGATCTGTAGTGATATCTTCTGTTTCATCCCTGATTCTAGTAATTTGACTCTTCTTTTTTCTTGATTAATCTAGCTAAATATTTTTCAATTTTTTGATCATTTAAAATATATGAAATGATAAAAATTATTATTTTCTGTATTGAGAATCATTTATTTTCTGTATTGCTTTCCTATTCTGTATTTTACTAATTTCCACTGTAACCACCATTATTTTCTTTGTTCTGCTTACTTTAAATTTGGTTTGCTGTGATTTTTTTCCAGTGTCTTTAAGTGGAAGTTTAGGTGGTTAATATGAATTCTTTCTCCTTTTTTAATATAGACATTTACAACAATAAGTGACCTCTAAGCACTGACTTTTTCTAGCTGCATCTCATATATTATGGTATGTTGTGTCTTCAAAGTCATTCATCTCAAGTGATTTTCTAATTCCTCTTTTTTGATAATTCTTTTTTGATCCACTTGTTATTTACGAATGTGTTGTTTCCCTAATTTCTTTCCACTATTGATTTCTAATTTCATTCAATTGTGGTTAGAGAACATATTTTGTATTACTTCCATTTCTTTATACTTATTGAAACTTGTTTTATGCCTTACCATTTTATTTATTGGATAATTCTCCATGTGTGCTTGACAAGAATCTGTATGCTGATGTCATTGGGGATGGAGTGTTTCATACATGTCTATTAGGTCTAGTGGTTTATAGTGTAGTTCAGGTCTTTTACTTCCTTGTTGCTTTTCTGCCTACTTGTTCTATCTATTGTTGAAAGTAATGTGTTAAAGTCTCCAACTATATTGTGAAAATTGTCTGTTTCTCTCTTTAGTTATCTGGTGTTGAGGATTCTGTTGTTAGGTGCATATATCTATATATGTAATTGTTATATCTTCCTAATGTATTGATTCTTTATCATTAAAAATATTTCTCTTTAAAATATTTTTGTTTTAAAGTTCATTTTGAAAACATATTTTCTCTGATATTGGTATAGCCACTTCAGCTTTCTTTTGGTTGCTGTTTGCATGCTGTATACTTTTTCTTCCCTTTATTTCCAATCTATTTGTATCTTTGAATCCAAAGTTTATCTCCTAGAAATGGCATATAATTAAACCTAGTTTTCCAATCTAGTTTGACATTCTCTGCCTTTTTTGAATTATTTAATTCATTAACACTTAATCCTATTGTTGATAAAGTTGGGTTTATTTCTGCCATTTTACTTTTTATTTTCTCTATGTCTCATGTCTTTTTTGTTCTTCTACTTCTTTGCTACTGCTTTTTTTTACACTAAGTGAATATTTTGTGATGCAACATTTTAGTTTCTTCAAGTATCCTTTTTTTTTTAGTTATTTCTTTAGTAAGTGTTTGAGTTTACCATATACATCTTAACTTGAAATAAACTACTTCAGATTTATACTTAATCCCATTGAAATACAGTGATGTTGCTCCAAATTTTTGCTGAGTATATGTCACACTTTCCTGCTTTTTCATGTCTTATATATTTTTAAATGGTACTTTTTTTAGTACATATTGCAGCAACTCTGAATGCTGAACCCTATCACACCTTTCCCCATTCTCCAGAATTTTTATTTGTTTAATAATTTGAATGAATTATTTTAGTTAATTATATTTCCCCCACAGTATGAAGCCTCTGATGTCCTTACTGAGAGGGCACAGCCTCCAGGAAAAACACAGTTATCCTGAGATAACAGCAGTTTGACTATTTCTTTCCCCATTAGGCTGTCTGTCTCTGTTGGTATCACAGCCAGCTGTTAGCTCCACTAATTGCCAGCTGATTATTCTATCGGTTTTGATGATGCCATGGAGCATAAATTGCTCCACAGTCTGATTAATTACATTTAGGCATCTTCACAGGAGCAATTTTTGAGGCTAGTCTTTGAGTTTTTTTCTAATCACAGAAATGCTCATTCTCTCCAATAAACTAGCTGGCCTACAGTTTACCTTGTTGCTCTCATTAAGCTACTAATTTCCTCTTAATTGCCTGCTACCAAAATTTCTATTGCTTTCAAAAGTGCCATTTAACTTTAACTTTTCAACACTTTATTCTAAATTAAAACTCTGCCTTTGAGGAGAGCTTTGGAGCTCTCTCTTCTTATGGTCTGTCTCTCTCCTGGGAAAAATCTCTGAGCCCCTGTTCAGGAGTCAGGAGCAGGAATGGTGGCCCACTTCTCTCTGAGTGACAATGGAATTTATGAGTAGAGTACTGGGTGGGGACAGTGGTCTCTGGTCATTTCACCTCGCCTAATTTAGTGTGGAAATTCTGCCCCATGAGTAAACTAGGGTGAGTATAATCAGAGCCCCCATATTCTTCACCTTTTTTCTTGGAATAGAGCTTCTACCCCATGAGTGAGAATTGGGTGGAAGAAGGGATCTTCAAACTCTTGGCTGCCCAAGTCTGGAATTTCACCTCCACGACAAAGATCTAGAGGGATAACACGGTGGCGACCTTCTCCTTCCAGGGAGATGCCATAACCCTCGACTTGGAGAAAAGAAAGCCTTCTTGACCACAACTGTACAGAGTGGAGCTTCCATCAGAGGAAGATTCTCATGGCATCCTCCCAAAAGTTGTCCTGTATTTCTTCTTGAGAGACATTTGGTGATTACATCTTTCAAAGAATTTATTCATTTGATCTAAACTGATGAAGTTATTGATATATGGTTGTTCATAATATTCTTCCATTATCCATTTAATATTTGTAGGTACTATTGTGATATCACCTCTCTAAATTTCTGATATTGGCAATTTATGTGTTCTCTCTTTTTCTTCTAGTCTCTCTAGAGGATTATCAATTGTATCTATTTTTCTCAAAGAACCATCTTTTGGTTTTAATTATTTTATATAATGTTTAACTGTTTTCTATATTATTTATTTTTGCTCTGATATTATTACATTTTTGCCCACTTTGGGTTTTGTTTTCTCTTCTTTTTCTAGTTTCCAGTTTTCAAGTTGGAGCAGTGATCATTGATTTGAGAATTTTCTTCTCTTACAATATAGTTTGCTATACTCTATTCACAATATACTATACAGTTTGCTATGTTGTATTTATAATACAGTTTTTATACCACAAATTCCACCCTAAATACTGCTTTAGTAGAATCACACACATTTTTATATGCTGTGTTTTTATTTTATGAGCTAAAAACACTTTCTATATTTCTTTTGATTTCCCTTCAATCCTTGAATTATTTAAAAGTTTATTTTCCAAATATTTTTAAATAGTTAAAAGATCCTTCTTTTTATTATTGATTTTTTATTTAATTCATTCTAATTGAGGGAACACACTTCATATAACTTGAAGCCTTTAAAATTTATTTGGTCTTGTCATGTGGCCCTGAATATATTTTGTCTTGATAAATGTTTTATGTACACTCGAAACTAATATGTGTTTTTGTTGTTGTTGCTGGGTAAAGTATCCTATAAATTTCAAGTTGCTTGATGGTGTTTAAGTCTTCTATATGCTTACTGATTTTCTATATACCTGTTCTATCAATCATTGAAGGACAGGTATAGAAATCTCCAACGATAATCATGGATTTGTCTATTTTTCCTTATAGCTCTATCGGAATTTGCTTCATGTATTTTGAAGCTTTAATATTAGGTCCATAAATGTTTAGGATTGTTATGCCCTTTTAATAAATTGAACACTTTATCATTATGAGGTAACCTTCTTTATCCCCAATAATATTATTTTCTTTGAAATCTACTATATCTGATTTTACTATAGTCATTTCAACTTTCTTTTGTTTAGTGTTAGCTTAGTGTATCTTTTCCATTCTTTCACCTTTAACCCCTTTGTGTCTTTATATTTAAAATATGTTTCTTTTCAGAGGTACTTTAATCCAGTCTGACAATCTCTGCCACTTAATTAGACTGTCTGAACCATTTACATTTAATGTAAGTAGTGATATGGTTAGGTTTAATGCTACTATCTTCCTATGTGGTTTTTATTTGGCCCATCTACTCTTTGTTCCTCTTTCCTACTTTTTTGGATTAATAATATATTTTAATTTGTATTAATCAAATATTTCAACTCCCTTTTTGGCATATAAGCTATATTTATTTATTTTGTTATTTTACTGTTTGTTTCATGGTTTATAATATACATCTTTAACTTAATAAAATCCACATTAAAGCAGTATTATACCACTTCACATATAGTAAAATGACCTCATAATAATATACTCATAAATGACCTCATAAAAATATAATATGCATATAAATGACCTCATAAAAATATACAATTTTTCCCCTTCTGATCTTTACACTATTTTGTCATACATTTTACTTATACCTATGTTGTATACCTCAAAATATGGTGGTATTATTTTTATTTACAAAGTTGATTATCTTTTAACAATGTTTAAATGGTAAGAAAGTTATGTATAATCACCATTGTAGTTAGTATTTCTATTTCCTGTCATTCTTTCATGTATATTCAGGTTTTCATCTTCTATCATTTTTCTTCTGCCTGAAAGAATTTATCATATCTTGTAGGGATGATGATGAATTTTTTTTCTTTTTTATCTGAAAAAGTCTCCATTTTCTCTTCATTTTTTAAAGTTTTTTTTCTGGGTAGAGAATTCTAAATTGACAGTTTTTTCATTCAATATTTTCAAGATGTCACTTCACTTTCTTGCTTAATTTATTCCTGAAAAGAAATCTTTCGTGTTCATCTTTGTTGTCTTATGCATAATTTATACTTTTTCTCTGCCTGATTTTAAGCTTTCTTTTTTATCAATGGCTTTGAGAAATTTGATTATGGCATGCCTTACTGTAGTTTTCTCTATGCTTCTTTTATTTGGAATTTGTTTAGATTCTTGAAGCTATGGGTTTATACTTTTCATCAAAATTGGAAAACATTCAGCCATAATTTCTTCAAATATTTTGTTCTGTTCCCTTATCTCTCTTCTCTTTCAGAGACTTAATTGCATATATAGGCTGTTTAATGATGTCTCACAGCTTACTGATGTTCTTTTCATTAAACTTTTTTTCTGTTTTATTTTGAAAGTTTCTGATGCTTTGTCTCCAAGTTTAATAATATTTTTTTGCAATGTCTATTCTGCCATTAATCACATCCCTTCATTTTTCATCTTACATTGTTTAGTTTTCATCTTTAGAGGTTTCATTTAGATTGTTAAAATAACTTACATTTCTCTATCATTGTTACCATGCCGAACTCAGTTATATTAACTCTTTTAATGTCATTGTCTGCTGAGTCTCCATATCCGTGTTAGTTTTAGGTTGATTTTCATTGACTATTTTTCTTCTCATAATGGGTCATATTTCCCTGCTTCTTTGTGTATCTAGCAATCTTTAATTGGATACCAGATATTGTTAATTTTGCCTTGTTGGATGCTGGATATTTTTTGTATTTCTATATTCTCAAGCTTTGTTCTGGTATGTAATTAAGTATTTTGGAAATAGTTTGATCCTTTCGGATCTTGCTATGAAGATTTGCTAGACAGGACCAAAGAAACATTTTATCTATAGTAATCATAGTTTCCCACTATTGAGTCAAAACCCTTCTTGGTACTCTATCCAATGACCCCATTAATCATAAAGTTTCCCACTCTGTTGGAGGCAGGCACTTTTTCAGGCCCAGATAAGCATCAGGCACTATTCCCTGTAATTATTTTAAATTTTCTTCTCCCAAGTATGTTCTTTCTCATATGCTGCTCTATACAATGCTGAACACTCAAAGTGGACCTTCTGGAGAGCTTCAGTGCTCTGTTTCTGTGTAGTTTTCTCCTCTCTAGTACTCTGTCTTACAAACTCTAGCAGTCAGGTTCCACCTGGACTTTCAGCTATGTTTCCTTAATTCAAGGAGCCTATCGTGCTTCCCCTGGGTTCTCCCTCCTTTTTCTGATGCTCTCTCAAGGCAGTTAAGCTTGGACAATTACAGGGCTTACTTCATTTGTTTCCTATCTGTTGAGGTTCACTGTCCTTCACTGTTTGATATAGTGTCTTAAAAACTATTGTTTTATGTATATTGTCTGTTTTATTTACTTATTTTTATTTTGGATGTTTCAAGCATAAGGTAAACCCAGTCCCTGTTTTATTTTTATTAGATGTGAAAGTCTGGAGAACCTACTTTTAAAACTTACAGGAAATGGAACGAAATTTTAAATAAGATCTGGTATCTTTCACAAGGAAATTAAATAAGGCAAAATTCTATTTAAAAATGAAAGATGAGACAGATGTAAGAGAGCTGACAACATTAAAAAATGCCATGGCTGGGCACGGTGGCTCATGCCTGTAATCCCAGCACTTTGAGAGGCCGAGGTGGGCAGATTATGAGGTCAGGAGATCGAGACCATCCTGGCTAACACAGTGAAACCCCGTCTCTACTAAAAATACAAAAAAATTAGCCGGGCGTGGTGGCGGGCACTTGTTGTCCCAGCTACTCGGGAGGCTCAGGCAGGAGAATGGCGTTAACCCAGGAGGCGGAGCTTGCAGTGGGCCGAGATCGCGCCACTGCACTCCAGCCTGGGTGACAGAGCGAGACTCCGTTTCAAAAAAGATAGTATGAACAGCTACCATATACCCCCCCCACCCAGATTCCCTATTATTTACGCTTAACATTAGTGTAGTGCTTTTGTCACAATTAATGCATTTGTATTATATATCAACACACTTTGTATTAACTAAAGCTCATAATTTTTTCGAATTCTCTTGAGATTTACCTAATATTTATTTTCTATTCCAGAATCCTGTCCAGGATACCACAATAGTTTTATCATATCTCCCCGGGCTCTTTGACAGTTTCTAAGGCTTTCCTTGTTTTGATAACCTTGACAGTTTTGAAGAGTACTAGTCAGGTGTTTTATAGTATGTACCTCAACTGGGATTTAGTTGATTATTTTTCTCATGATTAAGCTGGGATTATGTGCTTTGGGAAGGAAGACCACAGAGGTAAAATATCATTTTTATCACTTTATATAGGGAGAATATATGACCAACATTATTTAGAATTGTTGATATAGAACCTGTTCAGCTGGCTGAGGTAGTGTTTGTGGGATTTCTACACTGCAAAGTTACTTTCCCCCCATCCATACTGTATTCTTTGAAAAAAAAGTCACTATGAAGAGCTCACACTTAAGGAGTGAGGAGTTATGTTCCACCTTTTTGAGGGCAGAGTATCCACATAAATTATTTGAAATTCTTCTGTGTGGGCAATTTGTTTATTCTTTCATATATATTTATTTATTCAATCATTTTCTTACATAAGACTTATTGTCTTATGTAAGAAATGACTTATGAAAATGATTTATTCAATCATTTTCTTACATAGACTCATAAATATTTATCTTGTCTTGTTCTTTTGGTTATAATCCAATAATACTTTATTTTATTGCTCAAATTGTTCTGGCTTTGGCCATTGGAAGCTCTTTCAGTTGACTCATGTATCCTTTTGGCATACCCCCATCATTGCAGATTTTTTGTTTTAGCACTTTCTTACTTTCTGGCACTATACAATGCTCCAAGCTCATCTTGTATATTTCCTTCCCTACCAAGTTCAAAAATCAGCTATTTCTCCAAAGAGCCCTGGTTCCTTTTATTGGAGAAAGGTATTAGAAACCAAGATCTGGGTGCCAGGAATGCTCATTGCTAATGGAGTGCCATTGCTTCTAGGCCCTCCTCTCAGCTAACAGAACAAGAAAATATATGTGTATACAGTAACTCAAGTATATACCCATATCTATAACTATTCCATATGTACCTGTCTGTATTAAGCTAAACATAAGTTCATACAGATGCTGACAAATCTAATCAGTTACTACATGGATCCTTTTCTTCTCCTTCCCTTGCTTATCTATAACCTCCTACTCCAACAGTGAAAAACCTGACTTCCACCATTTGCCATCCATTTACGTAATTGTTCAATTCCAGTATACATGTGTAGCGGTATCAGAATTGTTCATTTGTACCCCTATATGAAACAACTGTATCAATTAGAGCACAGTGTTTATGTGCAGCTCCCTTTGCCTTTAGTCTTACAGTCTCAAGTCATTTTCACATGTAGTAAGGTCAATGCTTTTTTCCCCCCACCACTCTCATTGAAGTTGTTTCATATGTTTGTAGTACAATAGATTATTTTGTAATATTATTTATTCTACCCTGGATGTGGTGACATCCTGTATGATAACTTTTTTAATGACTTTAGACCCAGAGAGTAACAGAATCAATACTGCATCAAATAGAATAAATGATAAAACCTTGAGAAATTTTCTCAGTAATGCAGAGGAAAATGCCAAAAATACGAAAGAGATCAGAAGAGGAAAACATTTCCCCAAATAATTAAGCTCAAGTAAATCCACATAAGAAAATTTTGAAAAAATACTGTATAAAGTGTTTTTATAATACACTAAAACTGTATTTAATTCAAACAATTACGATAATGTAGTAAAGATGCAGGGAGCAACTGAAAGCTCAAGTGAGTAAAAGGCAAAGTCCAGAAACTGACCTAAAAATATATTGGAGTTTAACACAGTATGAAAATGGCATTTAAAATCAGCCTCCTCTAATGTTCTTTCTGATCCTAATCTTGTATGCCAATCTTTCACCCACATAATTATATTGTCCAAATGCAGTTACTGCTATAATGAGCACTGTTGTTTAGGAGCTTTGCCATGAGATATTCTGGCTGTGGTCATACAGACTTGTGTGGCTGTTACTAGAATGTCTAACTCACTCAAAGGGAGTGACCAACTGTCGTAGTCTGTTCCTGCTACTATAACAAAATACCACCTACCAGGTAATTTATACACAACAGAAATCTGTTTTTCACAATTCTGGCAGCTGTGAAGTCCAAGATCATGGTGCCAGAAGACTTCATGGCTGGTGAGGGCTGCTCTCAGCTTCCAAGGTGGTGCCTTGTTACTTTATCCTCTAGAGGAGACAAATGCTGTGTCCTCACACGGCAGAAGAGATCAAAGGGCAAGAGACACTAGTTTACTTGCTTCAAACTCTTTTCTAAGATCACTACTCATGAGGGTGAATCTTTCATGACTTAATCACATTCCAAGGGTCCCCACCTCTTAAACCATCGCCTTGGGGTTTAAGTTTCAACACATGAATTTTGAAGGGACACATACATTCAAAGCATAGCACCAACCATGCCTATCACTGTGCCCAAAATGGCTCAGCAAACCTATTTATGGTTGGAGCAATAACAATATAGAAGATAACTTGATACAAGTGTTGGCCAGACGATAAAAATTCACAAGCCTCCAGTAGGAGGAAGCATTTGAGATACACTTCACCTAGATTGCCTGGGTGGGGCAAGGATGAGATTTTTCCTAGTGAAAGAAATCTAATCTTGGTCAACCATGTCGAGGCCCCAGCACAGCTAACTGAATGAAGTTCAAGACCAGGCTTAAGAGTAGCTGCACTGCAGGAAACCAAGGCAGATACTCACTTATATGAAGTAAATCAACCCAGGCCCCAAATACCAGGAATGAGGAGGCAAGACCTCAGGAGACTCTGGTCTCTGATATTGGTGCAGGGACTCGAGCCAGCTGAACCTCTTGCAGGTTAAATGCCTATAGCTGGCAAGGTTGGAGATTGCAGGTATTGTGAAATCAATCCCTTGGAAATAGGCTGAGTCAAGAAATATTCATAAATGAAGGAAGAGGATACATGAAGAGAGACGAAAAGCTGCTGCAGAGACTAATATCTTGTGATTTTCTCAACAGACGTGCTCTTAACATACTTTTACTATTTTTGGAACTCCCTCTGACTGATCCGGGTCTGGGTGAAATGCTTTCATCAGCTATAGTCTTACAGGAAAAGGGAACATGTTTTGCAGCTATCTCTTAAGGCAGTGTTTCTCAAAGTAGGAAATTTGCACCCCAAGAAATGGTGTGTCCTGCATCATTTCCTCACATCCCAATAGCTGGAAAAAATGTCTTCACACACCCTTCTCTTTTTTTGGTCAACACCTCCCCATTCTTCCCCCAACCCCCACTTTGTCCTGGAGTTAAGGAAGGTGCTGAAAGGAGGAGGCTTGCCAAAGTCAAACTTGAAAGATTCATAATTTAGCCTTTGGCCGGGCCTGCTGTTTTCATGTGAGAGCCAAGAATAAACCTGAATCAGACCAATGCCACTTTCTGAAGCCAAGAAATTTTAGAATCACAACCAGGGTACAATTCTAAAAAACATACATTATCTTTTGCTGTTACATTTCCGTTGATGTTTCATGATTTGTATTCATATAGTGTGGTGTGTGCGTGTGTGTGTGTGTGTTTACACAATGATGGTATTATATGTAAGAGTGAGGTTAAATATACTAACCTGCATCCTATAATCAAGGCTCCTTCATTCCTTGACATGAATTCCCAGACCAAGCCATCACCATCTTAATAGTTCTGATTCCTTCCCTATGCCCATCTTCCTCTGGTTCTTCATTTTCAGAGAAGGGCCTAAAGCTTTTTTATGATATGAGTAACTTATACTCTTCATAAAAGGAAACTAACATTTATAAAGTGCCTACAATGCATTATTTTTGTTTAACCCTAAAAAATCAACAAGATAGATATCATTATGTTTATAAATGAAGACATATTTTAAGAAAATTAATTTGCTCAAAATCTCACAGCTATTAGGTGAGAGAAATGATATTTGAGTATAAGGATGTGTGCTGTTAACAACCATATACTTTCTACAACGTCTTAGTTTAGTGGTAAAAGTGGAATTAGTTTTAAGGTATAGGGAGAACAATATGTGCCTTACAAATGATCTCAGGAAACACAACAGATTCAAACACTACTGAACATATTCAGAACGATTAACTTACGCCAACACTACTAAGAGGAAAACAGGAAAGAAAAACAAATAAATACAAATATTTCTTCAAATATATTTAACCCAATCCCAATTCATCTTTATCCATTTTTAACTTGGTGAGGACTGGAGGAAAAAGGGGGCATTGTTCCATGAATGGAATGCTCAGATTAAGAAAACTGAATTAAAACATTGTTTTCGACACCTATAATTTAACAACCACAATTTTTAAAAGTTTGTTACGGCTGAGTGTGGTGTTTCACACCTATAATCCCAGCACTTCGGGAGACCTAGGCAGGAGGATCACTTGAGCCCAGGAATTTGAGATCAGCCTGGGCAACATAAGGATACCCCATCTCTACAAAATTAAAAATATTTTTTTAAAAAATTAGCCAGTCATGGTGGTATGCACCTATGGTCTTATCTACTCAGGAGCCTGCAGTGAAAGAATCGCTTTATCCTAGAAGGTCGAGGCTGCAATGAGCTGTGATCATGCCACTGCAGTCCAGCCTAAGTGACAGAGCAAGACCCTGTCTCAAAAATAGAGAAATAAAAAATAATTTTTAAAGTTTGTCATAATCACTGAGAAATGTGATTCTTTAGCTATTACTTATCCTACAAATCAACAAAATCAAAGAATCAGAATTTTTAAAAAAGAATACACCTTTGGAAATTATCTTAGCTAATGATTTTCAAACCCATGGTGCCCTTATGGAACCTTAGTTCCATAGAAATCTTCCAGAACCTTGGGAGTGCTGAGAGAGAAATCAGTGTCAGAAGAAAGCAGTGAAAATTAGTGGACACCCAAATACAATTTTTTTGGGAAAAACATGGTTCCTTAACTTTAAAAGTTTGGAAATACTTGTCGCAGAGACTGCTCACTGTATAACTCCTAGTCTGTCATTTCTCATTGGTAACAGAATCCCAATCTTATTGGAGATGGCAACGTACTCAGTTCGAGGACTGCATTTCCCAGCCTCCCTGACAGAGATTAAATTCTAGCAATGAGATGTTAGCAGAAGTATGACATGGGACTGCTAGGACAGCACCTTGAAAGGCATGGCCACCCTTTTGTCCTGTTTCTCTTATTTTCTCTGTGCTGGAATGTGCAGGCAATGGCTAGAGTTCCAGTCAATGTGAACTACAGGGGACCTTGAAGGCAGAAGCCATGACTGAGCATGAAGCAACTCAAAGTAAGGAGCTTCAATTTGAGATGACCGGATGGTGCCACCAGACGATGTCAGTCCTAGACTGCCTGTCTCCAGACCTATTTTACAAAAGTGAATCCATAAAATCCTATCCTGCTCAAGTCAGTGATCTTTCCTGTCACATAACCAGATGAAATTCCTAATGATAAACCACATTTAACATATAAAGAATCCGAGGTCTTAAAAATTTGCCTTTCAGAAAGGAGTCAACGCTAAAGGAGTTAAACATTTATCCACTGTTTTTTCTTGGAACCCCAGTTTTAGTAACTTCCCAGTCATCTGAGTGTTCCTAATAGAGAAGCTGTGAACATTTACTAGAGCACATGCTCATAATTCACAGTTAATTTTACAGCAAGTAAAGGGAAATTTATACGCATCTGTGAAATTAAGCCAAACCATATAATACTTAGAAACAAGTGAAACCAGTGGGCCATAAAGATAAAAGACACACAAATTAAAACAATTTAAAAATGATAGTAAAATACACTATTACATTAGGTCAATATATTTTTACTCTGGGACAAAAACTTCAGAAGGAGTTAATATAAAATGCCCATTAAAGCTAGCTAGAAAGTTAAAAATGCAGTAGGAAAATATGTAACGTTGTAGAGTTAGAGGGAGTAAGTATCCAAATAATGCAAAACTTGAATATGTATTTTACCAAAGATATTTAGATAAGTTTTGATTTTGGGTTTTGAAGTGGGAATTACAAAAAAAAAAAAAAAGAGAGAGAGAGTCCAAGAAATATACTTGACAATGTGTCATGGTGAAAGCTGTTACTTTGACTTCACACCGGTCATGCCTATAACTCCCCTTTTATTTGTGAAAAGTCTGAGAATTCTGTGCAAAATAAATGAGAAATAAAACCAAAGCCCTCTTTCTTTCCAAAATATTCACCAACCCAGCCTGGTGCCTTTTTATTTTATTTTGTTTTTGCTCTGAGAGATTGTTTGAAGGAGTATTTGTATCCCTAGGTCAGTATTTCTCCATCTAGGCATGCTGACACTTGGACTAGATAATTCCTTGTCTTGAGGGCTGTCCTGAGCATTGCCAGATGCTTGGCCTCTACCTGCTAGATGCCAGTAGCAACAACTCCCACACAGTCATGACAATCAAAAATGTCTCCAGAGATTGTCAAAGTCCTGTGGGGGGAAATCCACTCACAGTTGAGGACCACGATTTAGGCTGTGTTTTATTTCACTCAAAGGTTACAGAAAAAGCCTGATGCTAAGCAAGTTAGAAGCAAGAAAAGAATTTGCACACTCCTTCTGCCAATTTTTAAAATCCATTATCTTAGAGGAGTGGGACAATAGAGTTGGCTTGGAGAGGCTCACCAGCTATGGGCTCCTCTCACATAAAGACCCTTGTATCTCTGCTCAGACCCTGAGAACTTAGTGCTTATGATGGCCAAGTCACCCTGGGCACAGGCCAAGGGAAGCACTCTCCCTGCTAGTAACGGGTCTTTACTACTGCTCCTTGTTTTCTTCCCTTTGGCTTTGAGGGTACTTTCTGGCAAGAGAGGAAAGAAGGCCTGAATATTTCCTAGTGGAAACACTGTCAGGGTCTTTCTTGGCCAAATTGCCTCTGGCTGTAATGAAATAACTTGGAGTCAGAGCAGAAGTGTCCCAATCTTCCCCAAAAGGCCATGGGCTATGCTGGACAGTACGTAGTTTCCCTTTGCAGTGTTCCTGCAGAATACATTTGCTAAAGTTATGCAGAATCTGGTTCCAGATAGAAACTATTTGCTTACCCACCTCTCCTTTGTTATACCCAACTGCAATGTCCCCAGAACTGCAGCGCAGTTGAAATATTGGTACTAAAAACTAGAGAAGTGTAGCATCCAGGTGTCAAAAACATTAATAGATTTCCGCAAGAAATAAGTGGATAGATTGAAGGAAAAGTCCACCTACTTGAGAGTCATGTGAGGAGAAAAAAACCCACCTGGAGAGCATGTAAAAAGTATCTCCGGGGTCCCCTGGGGTCCTTTGTTTCATGTAATTGCATATTCATCAGTGTCTGACTTTGTCTTTGGATTATAAACTCCATGAAGGCAGGAACATTGCCTTTCCTCTCCATTTTACCCCAGTGCTAATCTTTTTTGAATGAATCAATAAAAAGAGAGGATTTCTTTTTTGCACAGGTGTTTGCCCTTCCTATTTTTTTTTTGCTTTTTATTTTATTTTATTTTGAGACGGAGTTTCACTCTGTTGCCCAGGCTGAAGTACAGTAGTGGCACGATCTCAGCTCACTGCAACCTCCGCCACCCGGATTCAAGCAATTCTTCTGCCTCAGCCTCCCAAGTAGCTGGGATTACAGGTGTGCACCACCTCGCCCAGGTAATTTTTGTATTTTTAGTAGTGACAGCGTTTCACTATGTTGGCCAGGCTGTTCTCCAACTCCTGACATCAGGTGATCCACCCACCTCGACCTCCGAAAGTGCTGGGATTACAGGCATGAGCCACCACGCCCGGCCTGCCTTTCCTTTTTTTGTATGCAATGTTTTTACATACTTTTTATTTTTATGAAATCTAATGTATCTATCTTTCCTACTTTTGGGGCATTTTTAGAATGGGCCTTGCCGCCCCAAGATTACATAAATATTCAACAAAATTTTCCTGCAGTACTTTTATGGTTTCATTTGCAAGACTTAATTCTGAAATCCATCTGGATTTTATTTGTGAAAGAAGTGAAATAGTGCCAACTATTTTGTTTCAGAGCCAGTTTCTCCCAAGTTGAAAACTTCAGCTATATCCAGTAGTGTGATGTTATTAAAGCTGATAGGATTTGAGATCAGAAGGCCTGGTTTTAAATTCAGCTCCACTCACTGTGCAAATTTTAGCAAGTCCTTTAACCTTCTGAGAATTCTCAACAACATTTATGGGAAGAGGACTCAAGGGAAGAGACGGTTTAGGAATTCCCGTGAACAAAACAGCCTTTGAAGATAAAGATGGAGAGTGGAAGGGTAGCCTGATGGGTGGGAGCGTGTGCTTGAGTCTGACTACCTGGGCATCTATCATTGTGCCCCTCCTTTGTCATTGAAAAATGGGATAAAAAATAGTACCCTTTGCATGTTTGTTTCTGCAAATCTCATGTTGAAATGTGATCTCCAATGTTGAAGGCGGGGCCTGGTGGAAGGTGTTTGGGTCATGAGAGCAGGTCCCTCATGGATTGGTGATGTCCTCACAATAGTGAGTGAGTTCACATGAGATCTGGTTGTTTAAAGGTGTGCAGCACCTTCCTCCATCTTGCTCTTGCTTTCGCCATGTAGTGAGCCTCCTCCCTCTTTGCCTTCTGCCATGATTGGAAGCTTCCAGAGGCCTCCTTAGAAGCAGATGCCAGCACTATGCTTCCTATACAGTCTGCAGAACTGTGAGCCAGTCAAACCTCTTTTTTAAAATAGATTACCCACCCTCAGATATTTCTTTATAGCAATGCAAGAATGACGTAATACACTTTCTTTGTGTAGTTTATCATAATGATTGAATAACAAATGTAAAGCACTAAGACCAGCGTCTGGATCATGGTAATAAGTAATAAGCATTAATTCTCACGGAAAGGGATGTCATTGTTTCAGTGAGGATAACAGAAAAGATCCCCCATCCATATCCTTTGAAGAAACTAGAAAAGTATGTCATCAAAATATGCTTCAATTTTCTAATTTTCTCTTGTAGCTGTTTTGAAATATGCAACATATTGTTGTTAACTGAAATGTTCCTAACACAAAGAAATAATAAATGTTCGATGTAAGGGATATCTTAAATACTGCAATCATCACACATTGTATGCATGAATCAAAATATCACATGTACCCCATATATATGTAAAAATCTGGAGTATTAATAAAAAATAATAATTTTTTAATGTGTTTCAAAATGAGCTAATGGGAACAGTAAAGAAAAGGTAGTAGAAACATCAGTTGGCTGACAATACAACCAAAGTGACTTCCAGTTCCAGTTTCCTTTTGTTCTTGCAAATGTATTATTGTCTGTGGTCTGTCCTTCAGATGAGAAGGGTAATCACTAATGTTTTACAGTTTTAAGGGAGTAATTTTATTAAAGTCATTAAATTACTACCTTGAAGTTTATAAAAATCAATTCCTTTTATATGGATAGATTTTAATAACATAAATGGAGATGAGCATCTCTAGAAAAGAACTGATAAAAGTGGCACATACTGTTAAGAAAGTGGGTTGCAAGAGAATACTTACTTCACATGCCCAATCATAATGAATCTTTTTTTTTTTTTTTTGAGACAGAGTCTGCCTCTTTGCCCTGGCTGGATTGCAGTGGCACAATCTCGGCTCACTGCAAGCTCCTCCTCTGAGGTTCAAGCAATTTTCCTGCCTCAGCCTCCTGAGAAGCTGGGATTATAGGTGCCTGCCACCATGCCCGCTTGTAATCCCAGCTACTCAGGATTATGCATGGCTAAGTTTTGTAATTTTAATAGAGACAGGTTTCACCATGTTGGCCAGGCTGGTCTTGAACTCCTGACCTCAAGTGATCCGCCCGCCTTGGCCTCCCAAAGAGCCGGGATTACAGGCATGAACCACCACACCCAGCCCCATAATGAATCTTTTCATTACCATTTTGAGCCCCTAAAATGCTGAAGGAATGGGGGGTGGGGTGTTTTTTAACTACACGGTATCAGAGAATAATAAATACTCAACTCCTGTTTTCACATCTCCTTTCCCTTCCTAGGATTTCCCTGGATTACAGGCTCTGAAATGGCCTAGCCTCATATCAGACCAGGCAGGTGCAGCTCAAGATATGTGACTTCCAGAAACTGCTTTCAGTGATTAATGGAATTGTATATCTCTTTCATTAGGTCCATATTAAGGGCTTTATTACTTGAGCTGAATTTAAAACTCATTTAGAATTGCTTATCATTTCACAGTTCATCACATAACCAGATAGCATTACTCAACTAAGGATAAAATAAATCTGTTTTATTGTTTTGGGTTCTTTTTTTCTTTTTTGCTTTCACAGAATGTTTTGATTTTCTGACACATTCTCTTTGACAACAGAAACATTGTCAAGTGGCATGTTCCCATAGAGAATATAAACGCTCATTTGATATTGATGATTGTAAATACGGCTTGATCATTTTAAGTTTATTAAGTCATCACATTTATAACTTTTTCCCATGAGCAATTTTCCTATAGTATATTGAATCAGAGAAGCAGCAGTTATTGGGAACCTTAAAATAAATGGACTGTTTTTCCACCTATGCCTCATGTTGGGGGATCCTTTATCCCCAGCCGGCTCCTCAGTCAGTGAGTTTGGTTAGTGGGCTTGGTGGTGGGAGTGGGGGCAGGTAGGTACAGGCTGAGTATACGCTCTACAGCCACATTCAAAGAAACAGCCAGGGCTCCCTTTATCCAGCTCACTTATCCGGTTCAGTTATTACCCTCTTGGCCAGCCCAATGAATTTACCTTTGGTGAGCTGACCAGCACATTCCCTGGCCCTCACTCCTCTGACAGCTCAGCCAAGCCTCTGATCCTTCTGTTCTAGCCTCTGGGTGGATAACTGCAGTCAGCCCTTTGCTCTTCGGTGATGGCCAGTTATCTCAAACACAGAGGCAGGAGAAAACGCCCCATTTAGGCTCAGGTTCAAGCCCTATTCTCCATGACGATATTGTCAACAGCAAAACTGGGGCTTGACCCCCGTTTGCTGTTTTGAGTTTCTTCTGTACACATTGGAAGCCAGAGAGAGAAAGCAGTGATCAGCTGGGACTCCTGCTCTCATGGCACAACGTGCTCACCATTTGTTCAGTCGGGCACCAGGCCATGGAGCGGGAGCCTCATGACTGATGTCAGCAGCAGCAATGAAATCCCAGGTTTCCATTTTCACATGGAAAAGAGCCCTACTCTAATCCCACCAATTTTCAGTTATTGTTTCTTGACATTAATTATCTGAAACAGCAAAACGTCAAATATTATTCCATTTTGATTTCTATTTCAAACTGAGATAGGAATCAGATCCTGGGCAAAGAATGTTTGCTCGAAACTGGAGGAAGAACAGTCACTTACTAATTTACTTCCACCGAAAAAAAAAAAAAACGAATTAACACAACATTCCCTTTTCTTTCATAATCGTTCTCCATCGAGTTTTCTCTTTCAATTTTCAAAAAAACTAGGTTCTCAGATGAGATATTAGTACTTTTCAATTTTAGATAAGAAAATGAGTCCCACCCCCATGCCATCCACTATTCATTTCAGAATTCCAGACTGCTCTGCTGACGTTTTCAGGCAACTGTCAACAGATTGGTCGATGATATGGTTTGGCTATGTCCCTGCCCAAATCTCACCTTGAACTGTAATAATCCTCACATGTCAAGGCCGGAGCCAGGTGGAGATAATTGCATCATGGGGGCAGTTTCCCCCATACTGTTCTTGTGATAGTGAGTGAATTCTCAAGAGATCTGATGGTTTTATAAGCATCTGGCATTTCCCCTGCTGGTACATTCTCTCTTTGCCTGCTGCCATCCATGTAAGACGTGACTTGCTCCTCCTTGCCCTCCACCATGATTGTGAACCCTCCCCAGCCATGTGGAACCGTAAGTCCAGTTAAACCTCTTTCTTTTGTAAATTGCCCAGTCTCGGGTGTGTCTTTATCAGCAGCGTGAAAATAGACTAATACAGTTGAAGATCAGTGACTGGCCAGATGATGGGCCCTATAAGTTGTCATATGCATGCCACAAATACACTCAACAGACCTAGGTCAGCACTGGCAAGGTTTACTAGTTTTATTATTTTTTTCTGTTTACTTAGGGGTACCATTCCTTTTACTGGGAGCAGGAACTATTTCCATGTTGACAGTTATGTTTGCTTCCTGGGGCTGCTGTAACAAGTTACCACAAACGTGGTGGCTTAAAACAACTGAAATGTATTTTCTCACAGTCCTGGGAGCCAGAAGTCCAAGGTCAAGGTGCTGGCAGGCCACACTCCCTCTGAAGGCTCTAGGGGAAGAATCCTTCCTGGCCTCTTCCAACATCTGGTAGCTCCAGCTGTTCTTTGGAAGAGCTGCATAACTCCAACTTCTGCCTCTGTTTTCTTTTTTGTTTGTTTATTTGTTTCTCTTTTGTTCACAGCTTTATTGAGAAATAATTCACATACTATACATTCAGTCTCTTAAAGTATACAACTAAATGATGTTAGTATATTTTCAAAGCTTTACATCACCACTATCTAATTCTGGAATATTTTTATTCCTCCCAAAAGAAACCCCATACCCATTAGGTGTCATGTCCATCCCAGTCCCTAGCCCAAGGCAACCATTAGTTTACTTTAAGTATGTGTAACTTTGCCTATTCTGGTCAACTTCTTTCTTTCTTTCTCTCTCTCTTTCTCTTTCTTTTCTTTCTTTCTGTCTTTCTTTCTTTCTTTCCTTCCTTCCTTCTTTCTTTCTTTCTTTTTCTTTCTTCTTTCTTTTTGGCATAGCCTTTTCCTCTGTGTTTTCTCTCCTTCTCTTGTCTTACAAGGGTCACTTGTCATTGGATTTAGAGATGATCTCATCTTGAGATCCTCAATTTCATTTGTAAAGACCATTTTTCCAAATCAAATCACATTTATAGGTTCTGGTGGACATATATTGTGGTGGGCCACCGTTCAGTCCACTATGCCAGAAATGTAAAAACAGGATGCTTGTTCCTGTATTTCTGATATATTTTAGTAATTTAAAGCCCCTTAGAGATGACTGACTGTTTGAAGCTTCCCAGTTGGCTGCATCCCAATCTGGCTATTGGCTAGGGAGAGGAAGTCATGCACTGAATTAAGAGACGTTTGAAAGAACAGGTTCTATAAAAGAATTCTGTACACTCCCCCACCAAAACCCAACTGGTAAGTGCTCAGTGTTTCATGAAGCCAAACTTGCTAACACAACAACTCCGCTCATTCTTCTCCCTGAGCAAAACCACCATCCTGTTAAAACCCAAACCTCCACCTTTCCTGCACTTGTGCCTAAGAATGGACCAAAGGACTGACTGACTTCAAATTAAATTCATGACCAGTGACAACAAATTGACATTAAACACGCATCAGCAATTCTACCTCATCTGCCTAATAAGTCTGTTTTCCACACTGTAGGACAAAATTTCCTACCTTCTCCTCTGGCCCAGAGGGTCCAACTCCCAACATTCTTAGCTGATGATCTTGCATCACACTTCACTGATAAAGCTGAAAATCTCCCATCCTCAAATTTATAATAAGCTGACATCCGTATCTATAATCTCAGTGTTCTATCTTGTTACAAATGTATGATTCATTTTCCTGTCAGACTCCTTTAGGATAGCATCTCAACACCCTTTCTGAAGGATCTCACTCCTGCAATTAGCCCTTCTCTCCATCATCAGCCTTTCCTCCATGGGTCACTTCCACCAGTATCCAAGGATACTCTACTAACTCCAGCATCTTATGAATAAATTCTCCCTTGGGGTCTTAGTCCCCTTGATGCCTTTTTCTCCACTCCTCTTTTTGGGAATTTTTGTTCATTTTTCAGTTCATCTTCCTTGAATTTCATTTCCCACAACTCATTGGATACTACCCATGTGTAAGTCTCAAAACTCCCTCATGTTGTCAATTTCATCAATCACCTCCATGTTCTCATCTTCCTTAACTTTTATTTTAACAATTTCCCTCTCCTTTGCAGATTTCTGCACATTAGTAGTGAGCTCTATTTTCCTTATTCTATCAGTGACTTCCTTTTTTTCTCGATGCACCCAAATTATGCAGAGATAAAATTCTACTGCTAGTCTGCTAGTCTACCCACCCAGTTCAGTTTTTCCCATATGGGTGCATATATATATATATATATATATAATCAGTTACCCCAAGGGAAATATACTAACAGAGGAATATGTAAATGCTATTACTAAAACAGATATATTTAGCTGTTTGTGTGTATATGTACAGATGTACAGCTGTGTGTGTGTGTGTGTGTGTGTGTGTATATATATATGCAAACAGCTAAATATATCTGTTTTCGTAATAGCATTTACATATTCCTCTGTTAGTATAAAATCTACTTATTATACAAAATGGTCAGTGAGTTTCCAAAGTCTACCAGGGTGATGAGTAACTATTTCAAAAATTGGCAGGACTTTTGTTTTCTGTAAAGATGATTGAAGCATGACTTTTTGTGCAAATTAGATTGCTATTTTTTTGGAGTAAAAGGGTCTGAATATATCTCTGAGAAGGTCAACACTTGTTGAGCCCTTTATAGTTTTCAGTGAAATTTCATATTCTTCCTTTTATTTGATCCTTACAATAGCCCTGTAAAATGCTGGTATTTTTCCACTTTTCACATACAGGAAGGAGGATCATGGAGTCTGTACGACACACCTGACTCCCTCCAGCTGTTACTCAAGCCCATGGCCACCACCCCAGTGTCCTTAACCTTGGGTGCACATTGGAATCACCTGGGGAGTTTTGAAAAATCTTGATGCCAGGCTGCACCACACATCAATTAAATCAGAAGCTCTGGTGGATGAGACCAAGGCATCAATAGTTTTGAAAATGCTCCAGGTAATTTAGTGTACAGCTGTGTTTGACAGCCATGCATTGCTCCATCCTTTCTGGAACACCATCGTCTCCCAAATTCAACGCCCTCCTTTCTCATCTTTAAAAAGGGTGTTTGCCGCATTTTACAGGGAAGATGACCTCTTGGGATGAAGTTTCTTGCAAAACTTCCTTATAAGGAAGAAAAAGCATGAAGGAACAATAGCAATAAGTTTAGATATATAATTTTCCCCCAAGCCTCTGATGGAAATTTCTACATCTATATCAATTGGAACATAAAAGATGTCAAAAAGTGTGCAGTGTGATTGATGGGAAGTATTAAAACATTTAAGCCTGTTTCATAGTTTTTCACATATCATATGGTATTCATATTCAAATTCACCTTCAAATATTTCATGGATATCATCTTCTTATTCTTTCTAAAAGAATTACAAATGTGGTCCTAAAAGTTGACTTACCTGTTTTATTTTTAGTAGCTAGAGATAATGTTAGAATGGTTTGAGGAAGACCCCAAGTATCTTAAATGCTTGTCCTAGAAGTGCACTCTACGTATGTAAGATCTCACAACTGCTAGTTGTAAAAGAATTTTTACAATTTCACTGCTTGGCTCTGAGGGCTGGCTTTGAAAATGGCAATTATTCTGCTGTGATAATGAAATAGCTCTGCACCTAAACATGCACTGGGGAGAAGCAGTGTTGGTAAAATATAAGCCAGTAGCACACTGCCATTTTTCAACTATTAAGAGAGTATTTTCCTTGCAAAGTTGGGCTACGTATAAAAGTAAGTAGAAGTAGTCCCAGAATACAAGTATATTACAAGACTAATAGCAATATTATTGAAAGAATCATAATATAAAAATTTGTTTTAAATGGTGGTTCTTAACAGCAGTTCTTAAGAATATAAGATTACATTGTTATATTATATGGTGAGACCATTGCCTCACTTTGCCATATGTAAAATGAGAATATTCTTCTGAAATTCACACAAGCCTGGAAAGTTTGCTCTTAATTTTCTCAGTATCTAAAGAACAGAATAAAATCAAATTTTGTTATTACTGAATTAGTTTCCATTACCATATTTTAAGTAAAATAAATTTAATTTTTTTTTAGGTGATTGATAATAAGGGGGCTGTTGGAGACCATTACGTCACAACCATTCATCTTTAAGGATTTAACTGGAAGAGCAAACAACTCTTTCTAGAATGTCATTGCCATCAGATGAATGCCCGGCTTGAGAAGTGGCTTCCTGTTATTACGGTGTGAAGTCTAATTCTTTCACTCTAATTTCTTAGACCACATCTACCCATTTTGCTTCTTCCTGTTTCCCGGCATGCACTCTGTTGCAGTCAGGCTGCTTCCTGCCTGTTGCCCCACCCACTCCTTCATGCTGTGTCTGTTCATGCTGCTTTTTCCACTGGATCCTCTCTGTCTCCTCTCTCCCCAGAAAAAGTACAATCATTCCTCAAGGCACCATTCAGGTCACATCCCCTCCATGAAACTTCTAACTACTCTGGACCACAGTGATCTTGCCATTCTCTAAGGCTCCACTTCTCTCACAGGACCACAATGGCTACATGTCCTCCTGGCCCTTCTGTAATTTTCTACTCCATGCTAACCCTTGCTCTGAGGTGCCAAGGAGAGTGCACACAGATGCCCAACACTGACAGACCAAACCCTATAGCATAGAGAACTGACATCCTACTTCCTGTGTAAACACAGGATCCATCAGAACCTAAAGGCAGTTTTGATGGTTAATTTTATGCATCAACTTGACTGAGCTACGGGGTGCCCAGACATTTGGCCAAACATTATTCTGGGTGTGTCTGTGAGGGTGCTTATGGATGAGATTAACATTTCAATCAGTAGACTAGTAAAGCAAATGTTCTTCCCTGATGTGGGTGGGCCTCATCCAAAGATAATTGAGAAGAAACTTCTCCTGCCTAACTGTTGTTAAGCTGGGACATCAGTGTTCTCCTGCCTTCAAACTCAGTCTTAAACTGTAACTTCTCCCTTCAGTTCTGTTGGTTCTCAGGCCTTTGGACGCAGTCTGAAATGATGCCATCAGCTCTCCTGGGTCTCCAGCTTGC
This sequence comes from Homo sapiens, assembly GCF_000001405.40. Lineage (NCBI taxonomy): Eukaryota > Metazoa > Chordata > Mammalia > Primates > Hominidae > Homo > Homo sapiens. The sequence goes on along the minus strand of NC_000008.11, from coordinate 26,909,804 downwards.
CTACTACAGATCTTGAGGCATGTCAACCTCTACAACCACATGAGCCAATTCCTTATGATAAATCATAAACACACACACACCGCAAACACACACACACATTTCCATCCTATTGGTTCTGTTTCTCTGCAGGGTCCAGATTAAGACAGCAATATAGACTGTGCTCAAACACTGCTACATTTACCATCTCAAGATGGAAGGAGCCCTCAAAGTAGCTCTTTAAATGTTTGCAATGTGCCGGGGTAGTCAGCTGACCTTTTTCTGCCCCTGTTTAATTGTCAGAAAAACATAAGTTGGATTTAGTGCTCCTTGAAGAATAATTCATCTTTAAAGTTCTGTAACTCTGATTTTTATTCTACTCAACAGATGGACTTTGGCCCATTGATTTAGCACCATGTCAGCATCATTAAATTTAACTAAACAAAGTCTGCTCATTGTGCATTTACCTGAGTGACATTATCCGTGTATACATGTACAAGTGACATGTCAGGATTTCAGCTGAGGTGTGATTGATAGACTATTAGGGACTATTGGCAAGTAGTCTAAGCTATTCCTATCTTAATACGTACCCTTTATGTCATTCAGTATTAACCAGTATGTAAAGAATTAGTGCTACTTGGCCCTGTTTTCTCCCCAAGTCTAAGGTAACACAGTAGACTGAACCTTCTGCTCCTGCTGGTGTAGCAGTCTGCCAGAGCTGCCAGGATTCTGGAAGGGAGGGAGAACCATGTCCTCTACCCCAGGATTGCAGTCAGCTAAGGATATTTCATGCCCAAAATAACTGGGTTTCTTAAGGTGACAGCTCACAAATACTTAAGAACTTAAATCTGTCCCTGCCTGCACCCCACCTCATCCTACTCCCTGCCGAAGCAGGCTGAGTTAGAATAGATTAGGGTGGAGGTTCTCAAATCTCATGGAATATTGGAATCACTTCAGGAGCTTTCTTTTTTATTTTTTAAGTAATGGTTTTACTGAATTTACTCACATACAACACAATTCCTCCATTTAAAATATCCAGTTCCACGGATTTAGTACATTCACAGAATCATGTAATTATCACCACTATCAGTTTTAGAATATTTTCATAATTTCAAAAAGCAACCCAGTATCCTTTAGCTGTCATCCACCACCTTCCCTATCACCCCAACCTCCCAGCCCTAAGCAACAACTAATCTACTTTTTGACTCTATAGATTTGTCTATTCTGGATATTTTATACACATGGAATGATATATGTGTAGTCCTTTGTGGCTGGCTTCTTTAATTCAGCATAATTTTCCAAGGTTTATCTAAGTTGTGGCATGTATCTGCACTTCATTTTTTATGGCTAAGTAATATTCCATTGTATGGACATACCACGTTTTGTTTTACCATTCATCAGTTGGTTGACATTTGGGTCATTTTCATCTTTTTGGTTTTTATAAATAATGCTTTTATGAACATTCTTGTCCAAGTTTTGTATAGACATATGCTTTTATTTCTCTTGATATATACATGTGAATGGAATTGTTGGATCACATGGTAACCTTATGTTTAATTTTTCAGAAACTACCAAGTGGCTGTACAAGTTTATATTACTACCAGTGGTGTATGAGGGTTCTGCTTTCTCCACATCCTCACCAAACTTACCATCTGACTTTTTCATTCTAGCTATCCTAGTGAGTGTGAAGTTTCTTACTGTGGTTTTGATTTGCATTTCCCTAACGGTGACATCAGCAAGATTCCAGGATAGGTGGTCCCAGGTAGCTTGATCCCCACAGAAAGTCCAATTAGAAACTAGCCACAGACAAGAACACCTTGTGAAAACCCTGAAACATGGGAACAAGACCAAGACACCTTTGTGGGCCATGGAACTTAATAAAAAACACAAGAGAGAGTAAGAGAAAAAGTCTCACTTTGACCACATCACCCCCCTTGCTTCCTCTCTCCCAAATTGGCACAGTGCCATGAAGAGAGAATTCCCTAGGGTTTATGGTTTTTATTTTGAGAAAAGAGAACCAGAAAGGGACATTCATCTTCTCTAGCATTCTGAGATGTTTCCTGGGAAGCCCCCTCCAGTTTCACCTCATGGAGAACACTGAGGGTAATGGCACCACTAGACAACTCAGAGTCAGGTAGAAACACAGAAGAGAAGTGAAACAGAGTTCACAACAACCAGCACGAGGATCTTGATGGCAGCTGTGCTCCTGCCAGCCATGGTGGCCAATGAGAGGTACCAGCCAACAACAAAGCCCACCTGCAAAAGCTCAGCTGGTCACTCCTAGAAGTGGTGGACAGTTCTACCTGGCTTGAATCCCTAGATCCAGGCCTAGCCTCAGACCCGGCCCCAAGACCCCCCTAGGGAGAGAGATGCTCATCACAGCACATTTCAGCAAAAATCAGGGGCTAATTATGGCATACCTGTGAGTTTAAACAGGGCTCATTGTGGCCTCAAAGCCCACCACAAGAGACCATGACTGGGGAGGGGGGTGCTGGGATGAAATCTACCACATTGCCTTTCTGCAATAAATGTCTAGATCAAAAAAAGAAGAAAGATCGGAAATAACCTAGTCTTACACATTAAGGAACTGGAAAAAAAAAAAGAACAACTAAACCCAAAATTAGTAGAGGGAAGGAAATAACAAAGATCAGGGCAGAAAAAAATAAAATAGAGCCTAGAAAAACAACAGGAAAAAAAGTCGATGAAACTAAGAGTTGGTTTTTTTGAAAAGCTGAACAAAATCAGCAAACCCTTAACTAGGCTTACTAGGAAAAAAGGGAAATAAATAAAATCAGAAATGAAAGAGAAACAATTATAATTGACACTACAGAAATACAAAGATCAAAAGAAATTATTCTGAATAATTATACACCAATAAATTTGATAACCTAGATGAAATAGATAAATTCTTAGACATGTATATCCTAGGAAGACTGAATCTTGAAAAAACAGAAAATCTGAAAAAGACCAATAACAAGAGTTTGAATCAGTCATTAAAAAGTTTCCCATCAAAGAAAGCCCAGGACATGATGGCTTCACTGCTGAAATCTACAAAACATTTAAAGAAAAACTAATATCACTCCTTCCCGAACTCTTCCAAACAATCACAGGAGGGAATATTTCCAAACTCTTTTTACAAGGCTAGCATTATCCTGATACCAAAGCCAGATAAGGACATTACAAGAAAAGAAAATTTTAGGCCAATATCCCTGATGAACAAAAATGCAAAAGTACTCAACAAAACACTATCAAAGTGAATTCAGTAGCACATATTAAAAGAATCACTCCTCATGATCAAGTGCAATTTATCCTAGGGATTCAAGGATGGTTCAACATATGCAAATCTGTAAATATGATACAACATAGTAATAGAATGAAAGACAAAACCCATATGATGGCTAATGATGTTGTGTATTGTTTCATGTGCTTTTTGACCATTTGTTTATCTTCTCTGGAGAAATGTCTATTCAGATACTTTTCCCATTTTTTAATTGGATTTCTTGCTTTTTTATTGAATTGTAAGAGTTGTTTATATATTCTAGTTATAAGTCCCTTATCACATATGTGATTTTCAAGTATTTTCTGACATTATTTGGGTTGGAGAGCTTTCCAGTAATACTAATAATGCCTGATGCCTACCCTTCAGAGATACGCATTTATTTGATCTGTTGGCTGGGTCCACTCATAAGTTTTCAATGTGTAGTGGACAAATAGAGACCTACAGAGTTAGGATATCTGCCATCTTGGGGGCCCAGAACCAACCACTTAAGACTCCAGAGCAAGGGCCAGCACACTGGTAATGACTATTTCCAGGCCCACAGTCATTTTATTTGTGAATTTTGTTACCCTTTGCTGTCCCCAGAGCTTTGATTAGGGCCAGGTTCACACAAACAGATTTCTGTAACTTTTTTTAGCAATATTATGAGAATGTTTATTCCAAAATCCTTTATCCCATACAACACAAGAAACTAGATGGTTTAGCATTAAATTGTAACTTTTCTACCCATTAACCTTGAGATATTGCACCACTCCAAAGTGAATTTGTACTCTCGGTGGCGTTCAGAGATTTACTCCTTCCACTAGGTAGCCACACAGTAGTGAACTTAGGCTAATGTGCTTTCACTAAAAAGGTGACAAATGTGAAGCATTTTGTATTAGTTTAAGAAAATGTCTCAATCACTTAAAAATGAAATTTAACTTCTTAACACATATCCTTTTCCCCCCTTTAGCTATAAAATCACCTGTTTGTTTAAGTAATGATGACCTGGCAGAAAAGAATAATAATTGTAATATTACCTGCAGGGAAAACCCTATCCAGGAGTCTCTAAAACTGTTATAAACCATGAATATGCAAAGAGATTTCTCTAACTTTTAACCTGAGCAGAAGAGGTTAGGAGGATCTTAATCCCTTTCCTCCCTCTGAGTTTCTTATGCAAAAATCTTTGAATTTACTTTGAAATTCACTGGCCACAGCATACCTGTTCACTAGACACAAACTGACATGTTAGCAAAATGTTCCTTTTTAAAAGGGAAAATACATAAAATCATTGCTTTATTTTAACCTGAGCAGAAGAGGTTAGGAGGATCTTAATCCCTTTCCTCCCTCTGAGTTTCTTATGCAAAATCTGTGTGAACCTGGCCCACACCCCCTCCCACAGCCTTGTAGATCTCAAGCAGTTTTGAGAGGGACAGAATTTACCACATCACAAAGAGAAAAGCAAGTGCACATCGTCTTCTTACACCTTTTCTCAGACAGAAAATGCCTTCTTGTCTTGTATTTATATACCTACAAAAAACAAATCTTTATCATACTAGAGAATATGCTCCCAGATGACCTGCTGTCATCACCTATAGACACAGGCATAGCTGCAGAATCTTAAATAGCAGCTTCCCTTGCTTAAAGCACAGATAGATAGATAATGACAGATAAATTGGTAGGTAGGTAGATAGATAGAGATACATACATACATACATATATACACAGATTCTGATGGATTCTGTGCTTTTCTACCAAGTCTACAGAGGCTTATGGTTTCTACCAGCACCTTCACTGTTTTTCAAGAGGGTGCTGAGTGGTAAACGGGTGCAGCAAGCCTGTCACTTTTGTTTCATAGGGTAGTTCAGCATCCTTCTCTCCCTCCCCCTTGACTTTAAATGTCAGTAGCACCCCTTCCAGTTATTTTGATAACCCAAAACATCCCATGCAGATCCAAATTATTTTTATGTGGATAAAAAATACATAACATAAAAGCTACCCTTCGGTTATGCTTTTAAGTCATTATAGTGCATGCACCATGTACCATTCCATGTGTAAAGCCCATGAACAACTGAAACAACATATTCCAAGGAAACTCATCTTCCCTCCCTCCAAACCTGCTCCCACATCTGAATTCTTTCTCTAATTTACATTCCAGTGTCTATCCCAACACCTTAATCCCTCTTCCGGCTCTCCTCCAACTTAATCACCTTGTCCTGTTGACTCTGCCTCCTCAAAACCTCTTGACCTCATCCCTTCAAATTCCTGCTCACTTTTACCTGAGTGGCTGTTGCCATTGCCTCCCAAGTGTTTTCCTGCCTTCAGTGGCTTCATTGTCCAATCCAGAGTGACTTGTCTAAAAGGAAAATCTGATGAGTGTGTCCCCTTCTTAAATCCCTTTATTAGTCTTTTGACTGGCTCTGCCTAGTTGGTTGTTAGAGGATTTGATAGGGATTTAATGGAAGACTTCCAAAAGGTTCCAGAAGGTTCATGTCATTCACAACCACAATAGTGTCTATTCCTTTCGACTTTTATCAATGAGTTAATAGAACAGAAACAAAGTTTAATGAATCAATAAATAAAGCAATGATTTTAAGTATTTTCCCTTTTAAAAAGGAACATTTTGCTAACATCTCAGTTTGTATCTAGTGAGCAGGTATGCTGTGGCCAGTGAATTTCAAAGTAAATAAGCCTATGTCTCATTTATTTGTTACTCAGATAAACCCTACTAGCCATGATAGTTTTGAATTGCTTTTACTTATAATCTTAGAGTCTTCCTTTTGTATCCATAATGGATCACTTGCTAAAGAAAGCATAAAGAATATAATGTCAAAATGTAACTTATGAGAAGAAACAAAATGATAACAATTCTGTAACCTTATCTCAAGTTGATATTCACTGTATCTGTAACTTGTATATAAATTCTTATGCAGCAAATTAATATATATGAATTTCTTTTCAAAAAATTGAAAATGTGAAATATAGTAATGAATATATCTAAATTGACTATTCATTTATTGGATGCAAAGAATAACACACTATGTTATTTAAAGAGAAAAGTTAAACACAGCAACCAAAAATCATCTTTTGTTTTATCATGTAGAACCATAAAAATAAAACCATTGATTTTTAAGCCATGACAGTTTTTGTCAATTTTTAGTGCAGTAATAAGTAATTGCATTTCAACCTACATATTAACATACATTCCATTCTGAAACCAAAACAACACAGTCATTTCTAATTTATTTGTCAGCAAACTATACTTTCTTTACACAGTTAATATAAAATAAATCAAATTGTGCAAATTATTGTTAATGAGGAAAAAGATTTTGGTTTTAATAGAACTATTATTAAATATATATTATATATATATGTGTGTGTGTGTGTATATATATATATATATTTTTTTTTTTTTGAGACAGAGTCTAACTTTGTCACCTAGGCTGGATTGCAGTGGCACAATCTCGACTCACTGCAGCCTCTGCCTCCTGGGTTCAAGCAATTCTCCTGCCTCAGCCTCCTGAGTAGCTGAGTCTACAGGTGTCCACCACCACACCTGGCTAAGTTTTGTATTTTTAGTAGAGATGAGGTTTCACTGTGTTGGCCAGGCTGGTCTTGAACTCCTGACCTCAAGTGATCCGCCTGCCTTGGCTTCCCAAAGCGCTGGGATTACAGGCGTGAGCCATGATGCCCAGCCTAAAATTATAATATAAGAGAGCTTTACATATCTAGAAGAGGCTGTTATCAGCTGAGTAACATGCTGCTGAGAGATGAAGGAAGATGAAGGCTGAGAACCCATCCACTTCTCTGGATTTTTCTGGAAAGTCACAGAAAATTCCCGTCTACTTCAGGCAATGCTATCAAACATTCAATTCCCCTAGCCACTGATTATTCGCTCAACAAATATTTTGAGTACCTACCACATTCCAGACCCTCAGATTCAATGCCAGCAGGTGGTCCCTGCCCTCAAGAAGTGTAAATTTGAAAGGGAAAAAAATTAAAGAAGTAATTACAAATTATTATATGTACTAGTAAAGAGATGCTTTCAGTCTGCCTGAGATGAGGACATTTAAGCTGAGACCCATAGAGTAAGAAGCAAGGAGCAGCCAGGGAAACCTTCAGCATCAGTAGCCCTGAGGGAAGGTGAGTTTGCAGCATTCTTGAAACTAGGAGACCCGGTGACTGGAGCTTAGGAAGCCATGCAGGGATGGGAAACAGGGCCAAAATGAAGTCAGGATGATAAGAAAGGACCCGTGGGGAGTCCTGGTGAAAGGTTTTGATTTTGTTATATAATAAAATGAAAAAGAAATAGTGAAGTGGTTTAAGCAAGTGACTAACATGATTCAATTTACATTTTAAAAATATCAATCTAGAGAGTTTTGTTTCTGGTATAGAGGAGTGAGGTCCTAACAAGCCATCCTCCTACAAAGAACAGTATAAATTCTGGTCAAAATAGAAAAGGCAACCCAAGTCTCTGGAGTCTCAACAAAGCCTGGCCAGCTCAGGGACCCTGACTTTCTCTTCTTATTTCCTTTCACTGCTCTCCTTGCTCACTCTCCTCAGCCACACCACGCATACTGCAGGTGCTTACTGCCTGCCCACCTAGGCCCTCTGCACCCCATACATGCTGGGCTAGCTCACATCCTCTGCATATGTGCACGGAGACTTTTTCTGACCATCAGATATAAAATAACAGCCTCCCACCTTTCCATCCGGTCCAGGACATCTCACTCTCACCCTACTTTATTTTTCTCCAAAGCACTCATGACCATCTGACATACTATATATTTGTTTGTTTGCTATTGTCCCTTCTATCCATGCAAATCCACTAAAACATGGAATTCATCAGAGCACAGATATCCCCAGCACCTAAAGCAGCACCTGGAACAAAGCAAAAGAGAAAACTATAGAGTAGATGGGTGGATGGATGAATGGAGATATTCTGAAAGGCCTCCCGCATTTGGCAATCTGGCAAGAGAAGGGCTCTCTGGGCACTGTGATGTTATAGACAAAGGAATATTGTCTGGCCAAGTACAGCATGCATAAGGGAGGCTAGGCCGCTGAACTCACTGGACAGACTGGACTGTGTGCAATGTTAGCGTGAACCATAGGACCCTGGAGGGCCCAGCTGGCAGGAGCCTTGCGATTGTCACATGCATATCCTCCATATGAGATCAACAAGACTCAAAATGTGAAATGACTTGTTGAATTCATATAGGAACCAGGGAAGAAAAGAAGCTTTCTAATTCCTGGTCCAAATCTCCCCACATACATGTGCATTCTCCAGTCCACCTGCTAGGATTGAATAGTGTCCTCCCAAAATTTGTATGTTGCAGCCCTAACACACAATGTGGCTGTATTTGGAAATGGGGCCTATACAGAGGTAGTTATGTTTAGATGAGGTTGAAGGGTGCGACCATGATGCAATGATAAAACTACATCGTATTTAATAAGAAGAAAACCAGAGAGTATGCATTCTCTCTCTCTCTCTCTCTCTCTCTCTTTCTCTCTCTCTGCCATGTGACAACACAGTGAGATGGTATAATCTACAAGCCAGGGAAAGAGGCCTCAGTAACAACCAAATCTTACTGTAACCTTGATCTTGGACTTCGCAGACTTCAGGACTGTGATAGATAAATGTTGCAGAAGCCACTCAGGCTGTGGTGTGTTGTTACAGCAGCCCAAGCTGACTCCCACAGCACTGACTCTTGACAAAACGAGAGTCAAACTGCTCACTTCCGTGATCAGGTGGGTGTATCCATCACTAGGAGGGAAACAAGAAACAAAACTGGAAAATTGTATAATTGTCCAGTTTTATTGGCTATAATTGATGTCTTTCCTGTGGCTAGCCATCTTTAGTAGGCCAACATTCTCAGACATGGCCTTCACAGATGACTTGTTCAACTAATTCAGTGGCTTAGTTTTGACTTTTATGACAGCTATCAGGACCATATCTGTGTGAACATTTCAGAAGAGATTTAAACAGTATTCTCCTGTTGCCTTGCTCTTTGGGCACAAACTGAATATGAAGGCAGGGACAGCAAGAGAAGCTAGGGAAAGACAGACTGTTATTCTCATTTTCAGTTTATGGGCTTCCCTGGGTAATTCACTCAGTATGAAAGCAATGAAGCATGGATTTTACTTGTAATACTACAGACCCAGGCATATTAACCCAATTATTTTATTAAATGAATTACAGAAAATTTCTCTTATCTGGTGCTCTAATATTACCTTTTTATTCCTGAAACTGAAAAAAAGAACTAGAGACTCAGCTCTTATTTTAGAAGAATCCCAGCCGCAAAAATATTGATATTTAAAGCCTGGATTTAGGGGTAGGGAAGTGGGGAGAGATTTCATTAGAATTCAATTCCTCCAGTGTTTATAAAACATAAATGATATGCAGAACATTGATTGGGCTGTGGAAAATATAAGAAAACCTAAGGACAGCTCTCTGCTGTCTACTTAGAGACATACATGAAACTCAGAAAGCATTCAGAAGCAATGTGAAGACCAGCCAAGAGGATGATGTGTGTACAAACATCAAATCACACCTCCCCAGTTTCTACGTCAATGGCTATAAAGACTATGAAAAGGAGAAAAATATCACTATCAATGCTGCAGTTCAAGGAAAGGTCACATTCACACACGCAGAAACACACACACACACTCACACTCACATGTTCCAGAAGCATTAAAGCATTCACAATACCATTTAGAAATAGTGAAGTGAACAAAGAACATGAACAGACATTTCTCAAAAGAAGACATACAAGCGGCCGTGAAACATATGAAAAAATGCTCAGCATCACTAATCATCAGAGGAATGCAAATCAAAACCACATCGAGATACTGTCTCACACCAGTTAGAATGACTGTTACTAAAAAGTCAAAAAATAACATGTTGGCAAGACTGCAGAGAAAAAGGAACATATACACTGTTGGTGGCAATGTAAATTAGTTCAGCCACAGTGGAAGGCTGTTTGGAGATTTCTCAAAGAACTAGGAAGAGAACTTCTAATTGATCTAGCAATCCCATTACTGGGTATATACCCTAAGGAAAATAAATTGTTCTATCAAAAAGACACATGCACTCATATTTCGTGCAACACTATTCACAATAGCAAAGACCTAGATGCCCATTAATGGTGGATTGTATAAAGATGATACGGTACAGATACACCATGGAAGACTATGTGGCCATAAAAAATAATGAAATTATATTCTTTGCAGAAACATGGATGCAGCTGAAAGCCATTATCCTAAGCAAATTAACACGGAAACAGAAAACCAAATACCACATGTTCTCAGTAATAAGTGGAAGCTAAACATTAGGTACACGTGGACCTAAAGACAGAAATAATGGACACTAGGGACTACTAGAGGTGAGAAGATGGGAGAGGAGCAAGGTTAAAAACTACCTATTGGGTACTATGTCACTATCTGGGTGACAGGATCATTTGTACCCCAAACCTCAGCATCACTCAATAAACCCAGGTAACAAACTTGCACTTGTACCCCTTGAATCTAAAATAAAAGTTGAAAAAAAGTGAGCCTCTTGCAGACAGCAGAAAACAAAATAAAACTTACGCCAGCTCTGTGCTGTCTACTTAGAAATATGCATGAGAGTCACAGAAAGCATTCAGAAACAATGTGAAGACCAGCCAAGAGGATGATATGTGTACAAACATCAAATTGCTCTTCCCCAGTTCCTGCTTAAATGGCTATAAAGACTACACAAAGAAGAAAAAAGTCAATAGCCAGTGCTGGAGTTCAGGGAAAGATTATACACACACAAATGTTCCAGAAGCACTAGAATATTCACGATGTCATTTAGAAATAGTGAAGTGAGATGGGATTTTATGGAAAGAATGATCTACCACCGTACTATTTGCCCAGAAAACAGGTGGAAGAGAATCCAGCAAAACTGCATTCAGATCCTGTAATGCAGAGGAGAAAGGTTGAGTGCTGAAGGCCCTGGTGTCACCTGCAGGGAGCTGGGCATGGGCAGTGACATTTCCACCCTACCAGCATCTGCTGGATGTTCTCCCAGGCTGCAGCCACCCAGAAGAAGCACAGCAGGGAGCTGCCTCCTTGGGGATTCGCTCCCTGCTGAGATCCCCATCCCTGGTTCAGGCTCCCAGAGGCAGCACAATGACCAGTATTGAAGTGGGGCTAGAAGAGAGACCACCCAGGACTGTAGTAAAGTAAACCACAGAAAAGCCCAGCTGCCCTGTCTTCCTCCAACTAGACTGAAAGTCTCTAAAAGAGACAAGAGCTACCCATTCTTAAATAAAGAACGCACACACAAAACTCATCAAATCCTAACTCTATAAGCCAGCACTGGGTAAACCTGGACCTCCCTCCCTTGGGAGGACTAAGCAGAAAGCCATTGAAACCACCGTATTTCATATCAAGGGGAACAAATGTCATCTTCTGAAATCTACAGTTGTTATCAGAAACTGGCATTTTAAAGAAATTGCATAGTCTTTGTTCTCAGTTTCAAAAGGGCACTGCAGGTATGAGATTAGAGCACGTATTCATTGAAAAATCAACTGTTTGAGACCAGGAAAGAAAATTGTGATGAAAACTACAATTTTTGAATTAAAAGGTGCAATGTGATGTTGAATATTGATTAGATACTACAGATCTAATCAGTGAAGTAGAAGACAAGCTACTTCTCTAAGTAAACAGAAGAAATAAGAAAAATGACCATGATATAATCTGTGGCAGGAAATACAAGGATATACAAAATATATTTAATTGTAGTCCCAAGGGTAAAGAACAGAATAGAACAATAGTACTAATGTTTTTTTAAAACCATAGAATAAAATTTTTCAAAGCAATGTAAACCTAAGTCTACAGATGAAAAGGGTCTACAATCTACAAGGTCAGCGTCAAAGACATCGTAGCAAATGTTTAAAAAATGCAAGGCCAAATAAAATGCCCAAAAGGCATCTGGATGATGGCCGGACGCTGTGGCTCATGCCTGTAATCCCAGAACTTTGGGAGGCCGACATGGGAGGATCATTTGAGGTCAGGAGTCCGAGACTAGCCTGGACAACAGAGTGAGATCCTGTCTCTACTAAAAATCCAAAAAATTAGCTGGGTGTGGTGGTAGGCACCTGTAATCCCAGCTACTTGGGAGGCTGAGGCAGGAGAATCGCTTGGACCTGGGAGACGGAGGCTGCAGTGAGCCGAGATGGCGCCATTGCACTCCAGCCTGGGCCTCCAGTGAGACTCTGTCTAAAAAAAAAAAAAAAAAAAAAAAAAAGAAAAAGAAAGGCATCTGGATGGAAAAACAATCACCTCCAAAAGAATGAAAATCAAGAGGACATCGAACTTCCTTGCAGCACTAAACACTGTAAGACAACGGAGCAACATCTAGTTTTGAGGTAAAATATTGTGGCTCCAGAATCCTGCACTCCATTTAAATGTGTGCATAAGAATAACAGAAAGACACTTTCAGATCTACAAGAGATTAGAAAGTATATCATCCACAGACTAAACCAGAAAAAATTATTCAGAATTATCCTGCAGGAACTAGACTACATTAAAATCATAAATGGGAATAAAGTAGTATAAAAAGCTACAGTAAGGCAGGAAATTCTATCTTATACAGATTGAGTTAAATGATATCAGTACAAATACAAAACATTTTAAGAGAGGTGATTCATACACAAAGGTAATAATATGGGTCTAAACATCCATAAATGCAATTTAGGAAGTAGAATGGAGAAGAGTAGAGGCAGTAGTGGCAAAAATAAAATACGAAAATGTCTTATCTCATGGTTTATGTGTTGTGAAAACAATAATATTGTTTTAAGTTTCCTTTGAGTTTAGGAAAAATAGATTCAAATACGATTTTTAAAACTTACAGGTAAGCAATAGTAGAATTAAATGTTATACAACTTCTAAATTATTGCAGAATAAATAAAATATAAGAATAACTCAAATTTGTACAGGAAAAGTCAAAGAAAAAATGAAAAACACACAAAAACACTAATATTAGTAAACAAACTAAATGAAAAGAAACACAAAACTGAAAATGTTATATAGGAAAAAGTCATTTAATATTGTCAAAATATATAATGAAAATTAAAATACAGCTATCACAAACTTTTCTCTGCCACATAATATTGACCCAAAATACATAAAGCAAAACCTGCTAGAAATATAAATAGAAACAAACAGAAATTAAATAGTAGTGGAATAACTTCAAATATACATCCTCAGTCTAAGGCAGATTAACATCCAAAATATAGAACATTTGAACAATATCCTTAATGAGAGTTATTAGATAGATAACACTTTACCATTTAAGCATAAAAGTATCTTCCTTTTCAAGCTTACAAAATTTGTCTTAATAGCCATAATAAAAACAAAACAAATTAAATATAGAAAGTAGAAATTGTACAGACCACAGTATTGGCTGCAATGCAATAAAATTAAACTTATAACATAAAAACAAAAAACACAAACAAATATATTCTGAAACTCCTGGACAATGTTCTGAATAATTCTGAGATCAAAGAAGAGATCAATACCATTGTTAAAGAGCTATTCAGATTATGACAATGAAAACACTATATATATTAACATTTGTGGGATGCTACTAAAGCTATTAAATGTGTTCTTCCAAAATTTCAAAGAATAAATTATTCCCATATGGTCTAAACTGCTCCAGAGCATAACAAAGGATAGAAACCCTCCCAATTTGTTTTACTCTGATATCCACACCTGAAAATAATAGCACTAGAAAGACTACAGAAAATACAATAAAATTCAGCAATTATTCAAAACAATAATAGATTGTATCAAGGAAGCCTCATCTGAAGAAAAGAAGGTTGACTTCTTTTGTGATTTGTGTCAACTGTCACAAATCACATTAATAAAGCAAAAGAGAAAAGTCATATGGTGGTCTCATTAGAAGCCAAGAAAAGATATTAGTCAATATTCAACATCTGTCCTTGCAAACTTTAAATAAAGAAGCATCTAATTAATTAGCATAATAAAGACTATCTCAAACTAGCCACCAATATCACACATATATAAATGTATTGAGATATGCTTGGCACTTTTTAAAGAGATAGGAAAATAACAGTTTTAAATGGTATAATTTATAATACCATAAAATTACATTTTATAGATTTTATATATACACTACATTAATACATACAGTATGTATTACTGTACTGGGTTAAAAGCCCCAAACTAGGTGTATGTGCTTATTTTTATGAGCACTTTAAGGAATTCTCACAGTTTAGTGTAGCCTATGTTTTATTTTTGTTCTATGCGTCCAACTTTAGCACCTAATGCTTCCTCCTGCCATCACAGGGGACTTTGCTTGCATTTTTACATCCTCCCAGTAATCCACGTGTTACCTTTCACTGACTTTGCAGGAAACTTTCCACTGTGGCTCAGCTCACATGAGTAGTAACCCTTTTTATTTATACAGAATATAGAAGAAATCTTTCATCAATAAAAACTTCATCAAAGTAGAGTATTACACACATGCGCCTCCTGGGGTTCTTCTCTTCTATTTACAGGAATCAGGTGCCACAGGACTTCGTTTCAACAATGATTCAGAATAGAATAGATCCTCACCTTCACTAAATCTTATTGTTTTCTTTATGAAAAGCAATTCAATATTATTGTTAGACATGACTTGGCACAATGAAATGTATAATATGAGACTCTGAAGGACTCTGCTGAAGATCAGCCCCGTCCCTTTGAGTTGGCATAATGTCTAGAACTAAGTGACAGAATAGGCTGCTGAAATAACAAGCCAAGCTAGAGACTTAAATTTGCTGAAATCGCTAAACCATTGGATTACTTTCAAATTCATTTTTTTAGAAACTGTTAATTTTTAAATTGATACACAATAGTTGTATATATTTATGGAGTACATAGTGATGTTCTATACATACAATGTAAGTGATAACATCATGGTAATTAGCATATCCATCATCTCAAACATTTATCAGTTCTTTGTGTTGGGAACATTCAAAATCCTCCTAGCTATTTGAAAATATATAATACATTGTTAACTATAGTGATCCTAGAGTGCTGTACAACACTAAAACTTATTCCTCCTCTCTAGCTGTAATTTTGTATCCTTTAATACAGCAGTCTCCAACCTTTTTGGCACCAGGGGCCAGTTTCATGGAAGATGATTTTTCCAAGGACCATGGAGAAGGATGGTTTTAGGATGATTCAAGCACATTACATTTGTTGTGCACTTTATTTCTACTATTATATTGTGATACATAATGAAATAATTACACAACTTACCATAATGTAGAATCAGTGAAACCTTTGAGCTTGTTTTCCCACAACTAGATAGTCCCATCTGGGGGTGATGGGAGACAGTGACAGATCATCAGGAATTAGATTCTCATCAGGAGCATGCAACCTAGATCCCTCCCATGTGCAGTTCACAATAGGGTTTGCACTCCCTTGAGAATCTAGTGTTGCCAGTGATCTGACAGGAGGTGGAGCTCAGGAGGTAATGGGAGTGATGAGGAGCAGCTATAAATACAGATGAAGCCATCACTTGCTCACTTGCCACTCACCTTCTGGTGCAGCCTGGTTCCTAAGAGGCCACAGATCAGTACTGATTCATGGCCCAGGGATTGGGGACACGTGCTTTGATAAATCTCTCCGTATTCTTCCCTTCTCCCTACCCTTCCCATCCTCTAGTAATCTGTTTTACTCTTTAGTTCTATTAGATCCACTTTTTGGCTTCCATATATGGGTAATAACATGGTGTTTAAATTTCTTTTGGTGACTTATTTCACTTAACAAAATGTCCTCCATGCTCATCCATGTTGCAGAAATTGACAATATTTATTATTTTTATAATGTTTTATACTTATTTTTATAAAATGACATTATGTATTATTTTTCATGGCTGAATAGTATTCCACTGTGTATATATACCACATTTTCTTAATCCATTCATCTGTTGATGGACAATTAGGTTAATTCCATATCTTGGCTATTGTGAATAGGGCTGCAATAAACAAATGGAATTATATAAAACTAAAAAGCTTCTGCACAGCAAAGGAAGCAATCGACAAAGTGAAAGACAACCTACAGAATGGGAGAAAATATCTGCAAACTAATTCATCCAATATGGGGATTAAAAACCAGAATGTACAAGGAACTCAAACATCTCAACAGCAAAAACATAAACAATCTGATTTTAAAATGGGCAAATGATCTGAACAGAGATTTCTCAAAAGAAGACACACAAATGGCTAACAAATGTATTTTTTAAATCTCAACATCACTAGTCATCAGGAAAATGTAATCAAAGATAGAATGAGATATTATCTCATCGCAGTTAGACTGGCTATTATCATAAAGACAAAAAAATAACAAATGCTGGTGAGGACATGGGACATGGAGAAAAGGGAGTGCAGTGGCATGATCATAGCTCACTATAGCCTCAAAATCCTGGGCTTAAGAATGGGATCATTCTTATCCAAGACCTCAACATCGCACAATGTACCCATGTACCAAACCTGCAAATGTACCCCTGAATCTAAAATAAAACTTGAAATTATTTTTTTAAAAAGATACCACTAGTGAGAATCCTGTATAATAAGCAGCCTCATCCCAAATTGTTTGATCAAAGTTTAAAGTTCCCCCCAAAAGCTCATCTTACTTGTGTCCAATAAAATAAAAAACATCATAATCTTTGGTTAAAATAGCCTCAAGAAGCATATTAAAAATTATAGCTTTTGTAATGGAAAAAGGTGGCTGGCTGTTTTAAAAAATTCCCCTGGGACTGAAGAAACTCGAAGCATGTATCTAATAAAATAGAAACTCCTTATGAATGATATTGCAGATTTCGTGTCCTCCATTAAATTTCTCCCCATTCAGCAAGGAAAGCATTTTCCTTCGGTCTCCATGTGCAGTTATCAACCACTGACCCAGCACCCCGGGCCCGACTCCCTGATAAATTGTGACCCCAGAGTCTGGGGACAGGAGCTTGCTGCCTTGAGCCACAGTTGTCTGAGCCAAAGATGTCAGTTTTGGTGTGTTTTGTTTCTTACTGGGAACAAGGTTATTGGAAAGGGGTTTTAAGTTAAATGGTGCTTATAAACCAATCCAATGCAGCATAATATTGTACTTCTGCTAAAGAAGATGCGGGCTAATAGTTTATTTGGCATCAAAATTGTATTTTCTTCAGTAAGTTAATGTCACATTAAAAAGGTGGAGGAGATTGATATTTATTAAAAGAGAATTTTAATTCATAATGACCACATAAAATGCCTGGAGCTTAATAAGTTCAAACAAACCAAAGGTAGAAAATATTTGATATACAACTGGGGGAATTTGGCTACAGGCTGGGTATTAGAAATGTCAAAGAATTATTATTTTTGTTAGCTGTAATAATAATATTATGGTTATGCAGGCAAAAGTCCTTATTTTTAGAGAGATATTCTGAAGTATTAGGCATGAAGAATGTCAAGATATACATAATTTTTAAAAATTAAGCAAAAAAATAAAGCAAATGTAGCAAAATGCTAATAGTTATTGAATACAGAGGATTATTCAGAGGATTTTAAGATTTTGTCTACTTGTCTCTATGCTTACAATTTTTCATAATAAAAGATCTTACTAAAATTAAAATTTGAATATTTTATTCAAAATTAAGTATTTAACATTACTTAAAATATTTAAAAATAATTTTTAATTCTTAAATCTTTTCATTATAAAAATTTTTAATTTTCCAACAGTAGAAACAATATAAGGTATGAGAATACAATGATAATAGAGACTTTTCGAGCTGCGAAGTGTATCAGAGAACATTGATTCCAACACCCTCACTGAAGAGATATGGAAGTTGCTGCCTCAAGTGACTGGAAAGTTACCTGAGGCTACATAACTGGTTGGTGACTGATATGGTTTGGCTGTGTCCCCACCCAAATCTTATCTTGAGTTGTAATCCCCATAGTCCTCATATGTCCTGGTGGGAGATAATTGAGTCATGGGGGCGGTTTCCCCCTTACTGTTCTCCTGAGAGTGAGTGAGTTCTCACGAGATCTGATGGTTTTGTAAGCATCTGGCATTTCCCCTGCTGCACTCGATCTCTCTTCTGCCACCCTGTGAAGAGGTGTCTTCCGCCATGATTGTAAGTTTCCTGAGGACTCACCAGCCATGTGGAACTGTGAGTCAATTAAATCTCTTCTTTATAAATTACACAGTCTCAGGAAATTCTACATAGCAGTGTGAGAACTGACTAATACAGTGACAGAATTTAAAGGAGAGACAAGGTTTCCTGATTCCTAGGTACAACTCTGCAACCACATTCTGATTCCTAAATTCTGTCCTGCCCACAGGTGGTCTGCAGCTAAGCCAATACCGCTGCCACTCAACAGCCACCAATCCCAACTCCTCTGGGCCATCTGTTGGGCCTTGGACACCATCACCACAGTTGTCGCTGCCACCACTATGGACTGACAGGAGCTTCAGTCACTCCACCTTTATGCCAATCCCACCTCAGATACTGCCCCCACCCTCAATTTGGCAATGAAAAAACCAATGCAGTCCCCACATCCTTCCAACACTGGAACTGCTTCCATCTTTGACCTCTTGGGTTCTACCAGAGTAAAAAGAAGACTCATTGTCATTTTTAACAAAGCAAATACCTCCAAAAATGCTTTAGTCCTAGAAGATATATTAATTGAGCCATATTTGCATTTCTTTAATGTAACGATCTTTTTTTAGGATATGAATTTTTGAAATATGTTAGCAATGAACAGGAGAAAGAAATCACGTGGATTAAATGCCTGTTGTTTTCTCAGCAGGAAGGCCCTGCAAACATTTAGGCAGGTTATAAAATTACAAAGTGCCTAAAATCGCAAAAACAAGATTGGTTACACAGTTCATATTGATAAAGAAAACTTAAAAGTTGTGAATTTAATTCTCATTTATCATTCTAGGTTTAAATATAATCTTCCTTTCTTCTTTTTTAAAATTTAATTTCAGGAAGATACATCTATTGTATTTTTAATTCATTTATTCTATATATTTATTGAGCAACATGATGTTTTGATACACATATACAAACTGAAATGATCACTACAGTCAAGCAAATTAACATAACTATCATTTCACATAGTTACTTTTTTTGTGTGTGGTAACTATGAACATTTCCGGTGTACAATAAAATATTATAAACTCTAGTCCTCATGCTGTACATTAGAGGTATAGGCTTATCTATCCTGCAAAACTGAAACCCGGTAGTCATTGGCCTCCATCTCCCCATTATACTTTTATAGTCAGAGTTGCTGAAGGTAGAACAGTTGAAGGATTATACAAAATACTGAATGCAGAGAGAGAGAGAGTAACATTAAAATATTACTTTTATTTATTATAATTTTGCTTTACCACAAAACTTTCATAAGTCTATGTTGTCTTCTGGCAAAGAATTTTAGCTTCCTTGTCTTACTTGGGGATTAGAAATTAATTTCAGCTGTGGGATTTTTGCTACTCTTAGTTCTATTTAGTGCCTATCCCAGACCTGTGAGGCCCAACAGGTAGCAGGGAATATAGGAAAGAGTAGATCACTCCAGACTGGGAGTCCCTCCACGGTGCTCCTGCATCCTGCTCTGCTCTCTGCAGTGGTGAATCTCAACCTCACCTTCCTGCACTTTCCTGCTCCGGCTGCCTCCTGGGACTTCACTCCTCAGCTGTCAGAACTGCAACAGCTTCCAAACTCCCTCCCATCTCCCAGACTTTTCCTAGTCCTAAACCTTCCAAACAACTGTTCCATTGCTTCTTGTATTCCAACATAAAATAACAGTTTATGGTTGAAAATAACTGCCACCCTCTCCCCCCCAAAATTCTAGAACTAAAAAAAAAAAATCAAAATTGAGATTTAATTTGTTTAAAAGGTGCACACTGTTTTACTATCGGTTTTGTGGTTATCCTAGAGATTTACTCATTTATGTTAACATATTTAATAGCAGAGTAAACACAGCTAAAGAGAAAATTAGTAAACTAGCACATAGGTCAGAAAATTTTATCAAGAAAAATGCATAGAGTGACAAAACAAAGAAGAGAGAAGAGATGTGGGGAATTCAGTGGCAAGATCTAACATATAGTTGATTAAAATCCCAGAAGGTAAAAGAGAAAATAATACAGATAATAATTGAAGAGATAATGACTGAGAATTTTTCAAAACCAATAAAAGACGTCAATCTATAGATTTAAGAAGTCCAGTAAATCCCAAGTGGGATAAATAAAAAAGAAATTCACACCTAGGTATATCATATTGCATAAAGCATAATTGCAGAAAACTTAAGATAAACAGAAAATCTTAAAAGCAGCCACAGGTAAAAGGACAGATTATGTTCAAAGGAGTGACAGACCAAAGCCTACCTCTCAGCAGCAATATCAGAAATTAGAACACAGCAGAATATGACCTTCAAAATACTCAAACAAAATAACTCTCAACGTAAAATTTGATACTCAGCTGAAAATATCCTTTGAGAATGAAGATGAACTAAAAACATTTTCAGATACACAAAAATGAGAGTATTTGCTCCCAGCAAACCTATACTAAAGGAAATCTGAAGGATATTCTTTAGGCAGAAATAAAGTAATCTCAAATAAAGGTTGGAGATATAGAAAGAAGAGAAAAATGACAAAAGAGATAGATATAAGGATAAACTTAAATAAGCATAGATGGTACCACAATAATAATAATAATAATAATAATATCTAATGTGAATGTTATATATGCAACTGAAATAAATGGCAATAATAACATAAAATCAAAGAAAGAATTAAAGGAAGGCAAAACGTTCTAGGGTCCTTTTGTTGTTTCAGAGGAGAGTAAAAGGATCAATTATCAGAAACTTTGATAGGTCAAATATATATGTTGAATTTTTAAAGTAACTACTAAAATAATAGTAAAACAGTGCATAAATTCCAAACTAACAGAGGAAATAGGTGGAATAAAAAAGTCTCAATAAATTTTAGAGAAAGCAAAATCAAAAAACAAACACAGTAGCAGTAGCACATGCTAAGATAAGAAATTTAAATCTACACTAGTAAGTACATTAAACATAAGTGTACAAAATATTTCATCTCAAAGCTGAAGATTGTCAGACTGGTTCAAAACAAGAGCAACAGAGTCCCTTCAAGAATTCCTCTAGATTTCCACAAAGCAGTGATTCTCACAACCACACACATGGGGACCTCACATGATCTGAACTGTGCCCATGTGGCCAAAGCAGCTGTGCCTTTTCTTAATATTCTTCCTTATTTCCCACTAAAGATGAGTATTTCCCATCATATGTATTAGGTGTAATTTATTGTGTGTTTGTGTGGGATGGGTTTTATTTTTGTTAATAGAAGTTGGACTTCACTGTCTTTTGAACTATTATAGACCTGAGTAGCTCTTTTAAGCTCTAGAATTTCAGTATAAGAAAAATTTTTGTGATAAGTTTTGGTTGCCATTCCCTGAAATTACTGGCCCTTGTGGGAGGGAAATAACTAAAACCACTCAGAATTTCTCAAGAATTGAACTTAGGTTGTCCTGATTTGTTAGATCAAGGTACCTCCAACCAAGACGTAAAGACAGGGAAGTACATTGAAGTCCCTAAAATAAATTGCATTGAGAAAAGTGGGAGTCAAGCTGAAGAGCAGTATTCAAGATAAAGACCTAAGGTTTCATATAAAAGGATTGGTTTCTTCAATGATGCTGATGCTGGAAGCTCCTCCAGACCAAACCCCCTGTTACCTTGTTTGTATCGTTGGAAAGTAGCTGAACATGAGAGCATCAACGTGAAAAAAGTCCACGTAGGAGCATTCTGGCTGAGTTTGGCACTTATCTGCCCTTAAACAGCCTTGACAACCTATATATTAGTGATTTATTGCTGGTTAGCAAATTACCCCCAAAATTAGTGGCTGGAGACATTTGTTATATGTTGGTATTTGTGGGTCAGCTGGGTACTCCTGGCTGAAAGTCTCTGATGAGGTTGTAGTCAAGATGTCAGCTGGGGCTGTGGTCTCATCTTAAAGTGCCATTGAGGGGTAGGGAGCGCTACTCCAAAGCTCGTTCACATGGATCTCAGTAGGCCTCAATTTTTTGTTGACTGTTGACTGAAGTCCTCACTCAGTACGTTGCTTCATGGGCCTTGCTACGGCACAACAGCATAGAAGCCACTATCTTTTGGTAACCTAATCTCAGAAGTGTCATGCTATCACTTACCATATTCTGGTTATTAGAAGTGAGTCACTAGGTCCATCCCACACTAAAGAAAAGGGGACTACACAAGGGGATGAATGCTAGGAGGCAGGAAACCTTGTAGGCTTTCTTAGAGGCTTCCCACCACAGGGATGGACCAATAAGGTCTCACTACAGAGAGGTCGGCACCTTCTGACTGCAGAGAACAGACCGTCAACAGTGACATCATGACATTGTGTGGCTGGGAGAAGTAAGGGGAATGGCAACAATAAGAAACACTATTTATGGTACATTTTTCTAAGTAAACACTAATCTAACCAATTTACATGTTTTCATGGACTGAATGTTTGTGTCCTCCCACCAAATTCGCATGTTGAAATTCTAACCTCCAATGTGATGCTATTAAAAGATGGGGCCCTTGGGAGATAATTAGATGTAGATGAGGTCAGAGCCCCTTGTGTGGGATTAGTGTCCTTGTCAGACACTAATCAGACAGGAGTTCTCTATTTCTTTCTGCTATGTGAAAACTTAGTAAGAAGGAAGATGTCTGCAAGCCAGAAAGAAGGTCCTTAACAGGAATGAATCTGCTGGTACCCTGATCTTGACTTCCTAGCCTCCAGAACTTTAAGAAACAAATGTATGTTGTTTAAGCCATCCAGTCTGTAGTATTTTGTTATAGAAGCCATAGCAGACTAAGACATGTATACAAACTAGTTTAATCATCATGAAGACCTGTTCTTATTATCTATACCCCATCACTGAGGAAAATGAGGCACAGAGAAATTAAGAAACTTGTCTAAGATCAGATAGGTAGTAAATAGTGGAGTCAGCACTCAATCCCAGGAACTCCGATCAGAGTCTGTGCTTTCATTCACTACTCTCCATTGGGTGGGCACAGTGTGAGGACATTAAATGGACATCAACATCCACTTCTAAAGCTTGGGTTTGGTAAGATTTGGATTAGAGAATAAAGACTGGCAAGTGGGGGCTTGAGCAAGTGTTAACCAAAAAAATAAAGAAATATGGTGTCATCTGTGCCTTCAAAGATGAAGAGTTATGGAGTGAATTGCCCAAATTCACACAAAGTGACAACGGAGGAGCTTGTCTTCTTTGGATTAACCTTCAGATCCCTCTGCTTTTGGGTAACTGTGGAGTGTCTCAGACACAAGGAAGTTGAAAGCCTCAGGAAAGACATCCGTGGTTCCTATCAAACTCCACAAAGACAAGTCCGAAGAAATGCAGAATACAGCCTGCTTTCCTCAATGGTTTCTGGCGGTCAGTTCTTCCCTTCTCCAGACTCACCCCAAATGCATGTAATGCAAGCCCAGCCTTCCGTTAACAACCTGCCATAAAAATGAATTGGAATACATTGACTGGAGTCGGATACAATCTAAAAGTAAAGGAGATTTTTTTTACTTGGTACCTCTGAATTTCTCCTGCTTCAGAGAACATTCCATTCCAGATGCCCCCACACCTAAAGTCATGGTCCATCTGTCAACAGCCATCACTGTATCTCCCTGCAGTACATGCTGTTTGCAACACAGCATGGGATAAGCTCCCTCACAAACTGGAACTAAAACCTATTTGCATTTCTTCCTACAAACATGAAAATTCTGAAGGGTCTTAGATCAATTTTGCTTTTGCCTTTGAAACAGATGCCTCTTACTTTTCTAGCTGATTTAGCTCCAGGTAGTCTTTCTGCAGGGGAGGGTATTTTAAGTGGGTATATGCTGCAATGAGCCAGGATAAGCACCCAGTAAATAATTGTTGGGTGATACAGTCAAAGAAGGCTTCCCCTGAATGCTTTGCATGAACCTAAGTTTTCATGGGCCTAAAAGGAGAATGACTATTTCCATTTGAATTTGGCCTGGCATCAACACTTCTTGCTTTCTCTAGTTTTGATACCACTTCTCCCACTGCCAATTTCTCATAATTCATCTGGAAGCCTGGGACAACTCAAACTGTCCTGATAGCCAAAGTAACTCCAGAGCGTGAGAGAGTAATTCTGTGAGCTCCAGGCAGCAATACCCAGGGATTGGAGGCCAGTGTAGCAAATTCTCCTTTTGGAATCTTGGAGTATAGAGGGAAATATGTTGCTGGGGGGAGACTTGTTTTTGGTGTGGAAGCTTATTTTACTCCAGGGTAAAGTAGAAGCTGTGACATCTGAAAGTGGGTAGAGAACACTGGCATGTGAAAAAAGCAGAGGCAGCTCGTAATGGCAGTGAATGAAGGTCACATTTGCATGTGATTCAAAATGCTGAGGACAGAGCCACCCCAAGTAGCTGTCATGTAGCAATACCTGTCCATGTAGCAGTGCCCCAGGGACTTCTCTGCAACAATTATTACACCCATTTCCCATAGCTGCTTTGATTGCTGGAGCTGGACTGTCACTGGGTTCCTTGTAACTTTCTCAGGCAGACACAGCAAACGGATGTAATTTCTGGTTGTACCTGTCTGAGTTGCCACTAGTCAGTGGTGGGATTCCTAGTTCAACACCTAATTGGAGGTTTACATGGTTTTTGGTATTGGTGCCACTTGCCATTTATTTGTAGAACTTCTTAACTGGAAGAGAAGAAGCCTGCCTGGTAGATATTTTGTTCCTAATAAATAGAATTTGTAGAATTTACTAGACCTCTACTGATCAGTCATTGATAAAGAGCTACCTCTAATATTCATGTTAGTAGTAAAAGAGCTACATGCTGTCAAGACACAGACATACTCAGTGCCAAAAATACACGCATATACGCCCATTACATTTCTCTTTAATACTTACTATAATGTGTTCATGCAATTATTTACATGCTCACCACCCTTGTCAGTCCTTGAAATCCTTCAGGACAAGTAGAGTGTCTCATTCATCTTCATGGTCCTAGCACTTGACACAATGTCTTTACAGAGTAGGTATTTAATAAAAGACTGTTAAAATACCATCTTTAGCAATCATCATCCTACATTAAATCTTTTAAATGGTAAAGATAAGAGACTAAAGCCATATGTCAAGTGGAAGGAAACCTATTCAACTCCCTAATGCCCTTTACCTCCTCTCACACAACTGCAGTGAATTAGAAAGTGAGAATGGGAAAACCTACCTGGTTTTGTGCTCACTATTGAAAAATACTCCTTAAGCTACTTTGATATAGGGTTCGACACCAAATATTCCTGAAAATTCTTGGAGAATTTTGAAATACAGAGAGGCTCCATAATTGTTCTCCTACGCACAATGCTGAAGGATGCCCAATATCAAGTGTACAATACTAAATGCACAGCAAACATGACCCTGTAGGCAGAAGCTGCCCAGTGGAAGCCAGGATTCAAATCAATTACCCTTTTCTGCTCAGGTTCAGCTCCCTAGCTTCAGAAACTACATAGGTCAGTTCCTAGAGACTTTCTGTGAGGTGTTTCATTCTGCTATGTATACCACTTTCAAGAGTGCACTGAAAACAGCCTAGACAACCCTCCCCCTAAAGCCTTCAGCCTGAGGGAGCATTTGCCAGCAAAGCCTCCTGCTGCGCCCAATACCTACACTGCTATAAACAGGGTTCAGCAAAACTTGCCTGTAGAGAACAAAATTGTAAGTATAGAATACTTTGTGTGTCACCTACATGTCAATTGCATATTTTTCTTTGCTTGCTTTTTTTTTTAATACTTTAAGTTCTGAGATACATGTGCAGAACGTGCAGGTTTGTTACATAGGTATGCATGTGCCATGGTGGTTTTCTGCAACCATCAACCCATCATCTACATTAGGTATTTCTCCTAATGCTAACCCTCCCCTAGCTACCCCCACCCCCCAACAAGCCCCGGTGTGTGATATTCCCCTCCCTGTGTCCATATGTTCTCATTGTTCAACACCCACCTATGAGTGAGAACATGCGGTGTTTGGTTTTCTGTTGATTGCTTGCTTGCTTTTTGTTTGTTTTTTACAAGCATTAGAAGCATTACAAAAGCATTCTGCACTGGAGGACTCTACTACAAAAATTTAGGCTGCAAAACTGGATTTGGCCCACAAGATCCAGTTTAGCAACCCACGAGAAAGGTTAGCAATATTCTTTTACCTTGGTGGTACTACCAACACAATAGTAAGTTCATTTTATGGAAGGTTTTCATATTGAAAAGTTAATGATGTAGGTTCAGAAAACCCAGTTTTCTCCCTCCAAGTCACTGTGTGACTTGGGCCTGCTCATTGGTCTTCTCTAATCTTCAGTTGCTTCATCGTGAAAACATGGGTCATAGATAAGTGTCTTACAAGGTTGCTCAAAGAATCCAATGAGATAATGTATGTGAAAGTTCTTTGTAAACCATAAGTTCTATTTAAATGTTAGCTGTTATTATTGTTAATGCTACTGAATTCTCAGGAAACATAATTACTCTGATGACATTATGGTTTAGTTTGTATATATACAGTTCCAGTGATAGATAGAGTGTGGGAAAATCTCCAAAAAAAATTGGTTTGAATTATAAATTATTAGAAAGCTTCTAACTTTTCTTAGAAGCTATTATTTTGTTTGTGTGGGAAACTACTTTTAAGGAAAAAAATGTTGTGGTTTCCTAACTTTCCACATTCAAGGCTAAAAACCACAAAAGAAAAAATATATTTTTATAAAACATATTTGTAGAGGTCAATTTTCAAATGCCAAAGATTCTGTCCTCTTAAAATTAAAATAAGTGATGACTCATTTCTTTGAAAAAAGAGAAATTGACATTTTGCTAAAAATTAATATAATATACTTTGGTAAGGAGGAAATGCATATTTAACTAAATGCTACTGGCTGGTTGTGGCCACAGTGCTTTCTTGCTTAATACATTTAGGAATTGAACACCTACTAATTGTCACCAAACTTGGTCAACAGTCAAGACAAAAAATAATTTTTTATTCTTTCCCTGAGACTTTTAAGGTATTTCTCGGGTGAAAGCAGGTATATTCCTGGCAGTATGGCAATAGACTCTTAAGGTATGTCTCCCAAAAAAGTTAAATAAGAGCTTCAACAAATTGTGGTCAATGCAATAATGAAGTATACCTATTTCAAAAATATGTATTACAAATTTTGTTGTATTTTGTTTGTGCAAACATTAAAAATATGAAAAGCATACAAAAATATAAAACACTATCTCCAATTTTCCAGTTTATTTTAATCTTCAGCATTCAATATCAGACCACATCTTTGTTTTAAAAACCTTGAAATGCTTAACATTTAACTCTGCCAGCTCTTTTATTCTCTGGGCCCTCATCCTCATGCTCCCCTGAAAACATGAGCATTTCCCAATTTTGTTTTTATTGTTCCCAAACTCTCTCCTCAGTTCCATCCCTCAGATGATAAAATCACTCATAAATAGTTATCTAATGTGCCTATTCTAATTCTCATAAGCTCTTCGAGAGCGGGGACTTTGTCTCATTCCCTGCTAAATCCCTATGTAAGGAATATGAAAGCCGGCTCACAACATCACTCCCAGGGCTTCCGTCACCCCCGTCTATCTAACACTCTGTGCATAACTCTGTGTTCTACCCCATTGCTCACCAGTGACCTCAAACTCAACATATCCAAGCCACACTTATCACATTTAATAGCTGCATTACAAATCTCCTCCTCCTGGCTTCACTATATCAATGGCGCCAAGATTTTTAAGTCACTTAGAAGTATCTCTTTTCCCCTCACTAAACATTGATTTAATTACTAAGTTATCATTGCTGTCAAGTCTTTTGGTTTTTTTTTATTCTAATATGAATACGGTGACCATATAACACCACATATAAACCAGGGTAATGTTGAGAGCAGAAAGAAGTGCTAACTAGACAGGCCATCAGGACCAGCAGGAAGTAGCATCAACCTGGGCTGTCCTGAGAAAATGGAACATACAGTCACCTTAGCCAAGAGTTAAGTTAGTGCAAAAGTAATTGCAGTTATTGCCATTACTTTTGGTGGGGAGAGCTGCAATTACTTTTGCAGCAAGCTAATACTATGCTAGAAATCATACATAATACCAACAATTCATGTCCCCTGGCACATTGGCTATATTGCAGGAGACCAAACAAATACAAATAACTATGAACTTAAGTACAAAGTGATAATTACCAACACTTACATAAACATTTTGCAAAGTCTGCTAGATAAATAGATCTATTTTGGCTGGGTGTATTAGGGAAAATATCAGAGAAAATGTGACCTTTGGATGAGTTTTGAAATGTGTTTATGATTTAGATATGAGTATACTGGAGGGGAGAGCAAGTCTGCTGAATGAGTAGTAAGAATACAGTAGAAATTTCAGAAAAAGAACTAACCAGACAAATCACACAAAAAGATAGTCAAATACCCAATAAACATATGAAAAGTTGCTCAACCTCATTAGTAATAAGGAAAATGCAAACTAAAGCTACAATGAGCTATTTCTACACACCAAAATGGCTAAAACTAAGAAGACTCATAACAGAGAATCTTGTACTATTGATAGGGATGTAATTGCTACCACTGCTTTGGAAAAGCATATGCCAATATTTACTAAAGAAGAACATATAGAATTTATACTTGTCCTATGATCCAGCAATTTCATTTTCTAGAAAGAGACATAGAAATAAAAATTCAGGTACATACGCATCAAAAGACTTTTACAGTATGTTCATATCAACATTATTCATAATAGTTAAACACTGGACATAATCTAAATGCCCACTAAGAATATAAAGAATACATAAAATTGGTATATTCATACACAGAAATAAATGAATAAACAGTGTCAGTAAATGATCTACACGATTTACAAGAAACAGCATGATCCATGTAAAACAGCATGATTAAGTCTCACAAATATAATCTTGAATTAAAGAAGCTAAATATGATCAAATATATACTGTATGATTTACATAAAGCTCAAAAATAGGCATAAGTATAAAATTAGACATCAAGATAGTGTTTACCTATGGGGAAGAGGATGATTGGCTATGAAGGAGGCTTCTAGGGCTTTGGTAATGTTCTGGTTCATACTTGGGCAATTGTGATAATCTATCAAGTTGTACATTTACAGTTGGTGCACTGTGTATTTTGCTTCAATTTCAGAAGTTTAGACAAAAGATAATCAATGAGAATGTTCAGGAATTAAAGAATTACGTGAATCTTCATTTTAAAATGACACAAGTAGTATCCAACAGAATAGAAACAGATTTACATTTTATGAAACTTTAGGACATAAAAGACAAAAATAAGACCCTAAGAGCTACTAGAGATAAAAGATTGTTACAAAAAAAAATAACTACAGCAATAGCAAAGTTACCATCAGCAAAAATGAATAACATCATACAAATGATTAATCATTATAATGGTGAAGAGAAATATATTAGAATTTTATCACCAAAGAAACTATCTTTCAAGAGAAAACATGAAATAAGGATGTTTTCAAATATACACACATTAAGAAAATTTTATGAAACTTAAAAAACATCTGTGAAATAACTGTTAAAGTTTGCTATTTTTACAGGAATAAAACATACATTAAAAAAGAATTGTAAGGAGAAAATGGTAAATCTGCCATCAGATTGAAATACATTAGGTCACTTTGATCAGAGACTAGTGGATCAAGCAGACCTAAAATTTGAGAGAACAAATAAAATCCTCATAACGAAATTAATGTGTTTGATCTAATAGTGGTACAGGTATCCCCAGACTCAACAAACAGAGAATATACATGTTTTCCAAGCACATAGGAAACATTTCAAAAATTGGCCACATGCTAGATTACAAAATGAGTCTCAAAAATTTTATAGAGTACATATCACATAGATGATTTTCCCACATATCTATGTAATTAAATTACATATCAACATTAAAATAATAGTTTAAAGTTTGATACTAAGAAAATAGCATTGCTAATTAATTCCGAGATAAAGAAGAAAACCATATTGGAGTGTGTGAAATATTTAGAACTGAATGGCTATGAAAACACTAGATATCGAATCAAACATTGTGGGGTATTAATTAATTTCTGAATTTCTGTAGAAATTCAGTTATTTATTGTTATAACAGCATTTGATTTGCAAAGAAAATTTAAAGATAAATTATAAAACATTCAACTGCTAAAGTCTAAAGTGCCCAAAAAATGTGTTCATATAAGATTAAAAAGAATGTTTTTTAAAAAAGGGAAAAGTAATTTAACAACAGCAAAAGTTAGTGGAAGAGAAGGCAGAGTAGCACATTATGATCCCAATGCAATTAAATTTGAAATCAAAATTAAAATATACATCAGTTTAAGGAAATAAAACCAATACTAATGGAAACCAAAAGGAACAATGTTAAAAAGTTAATTGTTAAAACTATGGAACTTTAGAGAAAATAGGAAAAAAATGGGATCTAAGGCTAGACAGAATTCTTAGACTTGACACCAAAAACATGATCCATAAAATAAAAAAAATTGATAAACTGTTCTCATTGATATTAAAAACATTTGCCTTTGTTAAGAGGATGAAAATACAAAGTAAAAACTTGGAGAAATGATTTGCAAACCACATATTTCAAACAGCAGGTTGACCCAGCCTTAGAGCCTAAATCAAGGCTCCACTCAGGGAGGGAAACACCTGCCACAGCACATTTCAGCAGAGAACAGGGGCTGGTCTTTCTCCACTTGGGAGTCCAAAGAAGTAAGGCAAGCCTCGGAATTCAATCCAAAGCCCCACCCAGGCTGAAAGACAAGTCTCAATCAGACATTTCTGTGGAGCAAAGAAAGACAGTTCTATGGAACAAAGAAAGACAGTCTCATGGAACAAAGAAAGGCAGTTGTATGGAGCAAGGAAATACAGTTCTATGGAGCAAGGAAAGACAGTTCTATGGAGCAAAGAAAGACAGTTCTGTGGAGCAAAGAAAGACAGTTCTGTGGAGCAAAGCCTCTGGACCCATTAGTCCTAAGCTGTAACTCCACCTGACCTCAAAGCCCAGCCTTCAGCCCTACGCAGCTGCAAAATGCAAACAGTAGTTCAACCTGGCCAGGGAATACATACTGCAAATCTGCCCAATGGATGGCTATTGCAGCGCCCAGCCAGCAGCTGGGCCTGTTTGCAGAGACCAGCCAATAGTACCTTGCTAAATGGTGGAGCCCAGCCAGTAGTCTCTTTAGACCTCGGAGCAAAGACAGCAGACCACCCAACTAAAGAACCTGACAGGAATCTCTGCCTGCTCAGGGTTGGTACAAGCTGGCCCATCCAGGATCAGAGCTAGACTAAATAATGAAGTTCTATCCCTGCCGATAACACCTGCAAAGGCCAGCGCAGGTGGCTGTCTCCTTAAATGTGTAGACGTCAATGCAAGGACAGAAGAATTATAAAAAAATCAGAGAATCGTGACACCACCAAAAGGAACTAATAAAGCTCTAACAATGAACACTAAATAAATGAAGATCTAAGAAATGGCTAACAAATAATTTAGAAAAATCCTCTTGAGGTTCAATGAATCACAAGAATATACTAATAGAAAATTACATAAAATCTGGAAAATATATGCAAACAAATTTAAAGTTTGACAAATAAATAGAAACAAAATTGTTTTAAAAAGTAGAAATTCTAAAAATGAATACAATGACTGAACTAAAAATTTCAATGGAAAGCTTCAATAACAAGCTTCAATAGCTGATTCAATCAAGCCAAAAAAAAAAAAAAAAGAATCAGGCAAGGTGTGGTGCCTCACACCTATAATTCTAGCACTTTGGGAGGCCAAGGCTTGAGCTCAGGAGTTCAAGACCAGCCTGGGAAACATGGCAAAACCCCATTGCTACAAAAAAAAAAAAAAAAAAAAATACAAAAAATTACCTGGGTGTGGTTGCACATGCCTGTAGTCTCAGCTACTTGGGAGGCTGAGGTGGGAGGATTGCTTTAGCCCAGAAAGTCAAGAATACAGTGAGCCAAGATCACACCACTGCACTCCAGCCTAGGTGACAAAGTGAGACCCTGTCTCATTAAAAAAAAAAAAAAAGAAAGAAAGAAAGAAAAAAAAAAGAATCAGTGAGCTTGAAGGCAGAATATTTGAAATTATTCAGTCAGAGAAGCCAAAATAAAAAGAATTAAAAATAATGAAGAAAGTCTGAAGGAATTATTGTACACCATTAAAAGAACTAACATTTTCTTCTTTTTTTTGGACGTTTTATTTTATTTTATTTATTTATTTTTACTTGATACATGTGCTGAATGTGCAGGTTTGTTACATAGGTACCTATGTGCCATGGTGGTTTGCTGCACCTATCAACTCATCATCTAGGTTTTAAGCCCCACATGCATTAGGTATTTGTCCTAATGCTCTCCCTCCCATTTTTCCCCCATTCCCCAACAGGCCCCATTGTGTGATGTTCCCCTCCCTGTGTCCATGTATTCTCATTAGAACTAACATTTTCATAACAGGAGTTCAAAAGGATAAGAGACAGATAAAAAACCAGTAAACATAACTGAAGAAATAATGGCTGAAAACTTCCCAAATATTAGAAAAATGCAAAAATCCAAGTTTAGTAAGCTTAGTCTTCAGTAAAATTCAACCCAAAGAGGAGTTCACTAAGACACATAACAACCAAATTATCAAAAATCAAAGACAAAGAAAAATTCTAAGAGTGGCAAGAGATAAGAAACATAACACATATAAGGGAGTCCTAAAATGGCTATCAGTAGATTTCTCCACAGAAACCCTACAGGCCAGAAGAGAGTGCTATGATATATGCAGAAGGCTGAAGTTAAAAACAAACAAACAAAAAACAGAAACAAAACAAAACAAAACCTGACAACCAAGAACAGTTTTACCTGAAAAATCTGTACTTCAGAAATAAGGGAAAAAAAAAAGCTTTCCCAGACAAATCTAAGGGAGTTCATGACCACTAGGCTTGCCTTACTGGTATCGCTAAATGGAGTTCTTTAAGCTAAAACAAAAGTCTGCTAATAAACAACATAAAACATACAAAAGCACAAAACTCAGTGGGATAAGCAATAGAGAGTCATATTCAGAATATTCTGGGATTGTAATGGTAGTTTTTAAAGGAATTTTATTTGTAGTACAAGGATTAAAAGGCAAAACTATTAAAAACAACTATAGCAGAAAGAAGCTATAAAGAGAAGCAAATTACAAAGTGATATTGATTTTGACACTGAAAATATAAAATGTGGGTAGGAGAAAGTAAAAGTGCAAAGTTGTTGTATGCAACCAAAGTTAAGTTGTTATTAGCTTTAAATAGCCTGTTTTAAGTCTAAAATGTTTTATGTAAGTTTCATGGTAACCACAAAATAAAAATCTATAGTAGATGCACAAAATATAAATAGAAAGGATTCAAAACATCCCACTACAGAAAACCATCAGACCACAAAGACAGAAAAAGAAGAAAGAAACTAAATATCTATTAAATACAAAACAGAAAATTATTTACAAAATGACAGTGGCTAAGTCCTTACTTATCAATAATTACTTTGAATGTAAATAGATTAAGGTCTCCAATAAAAATATGTAGAGTGGCTAAATTGATTTTTTAAGACCCAAATATATGTTGCATACAAGAGATTCACCTCACTTTTAAGGACACACATAGACTGAAAGTGAATAAATAGGAGAGATTATTCTAGGCAAATGGAAGCCAAAAGAGAACAGGGGTAATCTGATACTCATACTTTACTTCAGACAAAATAAAGTTTAAGTTAAAAATGTAAAAAATAAGACATTATATAATGATGTAATTTACATATATAATTGATGTCATTTACATATATAATTATATATAAATGATGTAATTTACATATATAATTATATAATTTACATTATATAATGTAAAAAGAAAGACATTATATAATGATAAAGGGATTAACTTAACAAGAGAATATAATAATTGTAAATATACACATACCTGACATTGGGGCAACTAAATATATAAAGCAAATATTAAAGTACCTGAAGGGAAAAACACATTGTAATACAGTAATACTAGGCGACTTCAATAGCCCACTTTCAACAAAGGACAGACTTTTCAGACAGAAAATAAATAATGAAACATTGAACTAGAACTACACTTTAGACTAAATGGATCTAACAGACATATGTAGAATATTCTATCTAATAGCAATAGTATACACATTCTTCTCAAGTGCACACAGAATATTCTTCAAAATAGGCATATGTTATCACAAAACAAATCTGAATAAATGTAAAAAGATTGAAATGACGTTAAGTATCTTTTCTGATCACAGTAGTATAAAACTAGAAATCAGTAACAGGAATACTTGGAAATTTGGCTAATGGAGATGAATCTCCCTATGTTAGTTTAAACTAGTGTTTATATCATTAAACAACTTTCTGTCTTCATATTTATAAACTCATTTGTCATCGAAAATGTAAAATAGATTACTAGATCCCCGGCTTTCAAGGTTTATTTTCCCCAAGATTTTCTCAGCTGATAATTCAACCATTCTTTCCAAGGATTCCCCAGGTACAATTGGTACTTCTGATAAAATCAGACTGGGCTGACTTCTGATGCGTGTCTTTCCTTATAGGCTTAATTCCTCATAATTGGATTCATTTGACTGCTACAAGGGAGTAGGAAAGGTAATAAAGGTGGTTTCAGTAAGTAAGAAAAAAAAGAACTGAAAAAATTATTCTGTTTTGCTTTTTCTGATGCTGGACAGAGAAACAAAACCATTTTATCAATACATGTCCCACATCTTTGTTCAGAAAGTAAATAAACTGGCCGTTAAATTAACACGACTGGAGAAACTCTGAATATTGATTCAGAACTCAAGCTTATCCATCAATAAAAGTGACAAAACACTCTGATTTTAAGCTTTTAAAGTAATAGTGTTATTATCTGCTGCTCCTCAGCCAGAAGAAATTGAGGGACTGCTCGTTATCAATACTCACTCTTTTCATTTCAGAAGGAAAGACTTTAAAGTTAGTACAAATTCTTATCTTCTTCATGTAGGTTAATTTTAGGAAAATTCCCTGAGTAGAGAGAAGTGAGGAAGCCCCTGTGGGTTTTTTCATGAGGTCAACCATCCTGATCACTGAGAAAAATCACTAATAAGTAAAATTTTATAAAATCTGCACAAAATATATGAAGCTTACAGGTTACCCAGGTATAAATAATATGATACTTTATATACTGATTATGGAAGAACTTATGTGGGAAGAGCCTCTCTCTTTATATAAATTCATGAAGTTTTTCTTTTTAAATGTCTGTGATGAGAAGAAATGGCAACGAATATCACAAAGTTCTAATATCTTTAATATATGTGTTACCTTTGGCCCTCCAAAAAGCATACACCAAGATAAGATTTCATCATACAAGAGATTTACTAGGAAGTGCCTGTAAAGGCAAGGAGGGAGGGAGCTGGGAAAGGTTATATGGTTTGGCTATGTCCCCACCCAAATCTCATCCTGAATTGTATCTCTGATAATTCCCACATGTCGTGGAAGGGACCCAGTGGGAGAAAATTGAATCATGGGGGAAGGTCCTTCCCATGCTGTTCTCGTGGTGGTGAATGAGACTCATGAGATCTGATGGTTTATAAAGGAGAGTTCCTCTACACAAGCTCTCTTGCTTACCACCATGTAAGATGTTGACCTTGCTTCTTATTTGCTTTCAACCATGATTGTGAGGCCTCCCCAGCCATGTGGAACTGTGAGTCGAATAAACCTCTTTCCTTTATAAATTACCCAATCTCAAGTATGTCTTTATTAGCAGCATGAGAACAGACTAATTCAGAAGGTAAGGAGAGCCTCCAGACTATGGTCCAAGTTGACACCTTCTGAAGAAGAAGGGAAGGAAAAGTGTCAGACTGTTGCACAGTTACAAGGAAGTTTTAGCTGACGTGAGACAAATTCACCAATTCAAGAAATCCCATATATTACAGTAATGAGCCTGCATTAGAACCTTTGCCCTGCTTTGCCATTGGTTGAGAACAGCCTATAGAAAGTGTGGCATGAATGCAGGAATGGACCCAGAAGAGCAAAATCTAAGAGAATCTAAGTCAATTATGCTCCTTGCTGTAGATCAAATGGCATGTTTTCAAGGCCACCATAATACATAAGAAGTTCTTACAAATCAATATGATAAAAGAGGAAAATACCAATATCAAAATGGGTAATGGACATTATACCAAATTGTCTGTTGTCCACTCAGGGTCATTTTTTTTTTCTTTCTATGCTCTTCTCTGCATTGCAAAGGCTAGAATAATCTGTGCCATCGGGATTCTGGGTCACAATTCACCAATGAGAGGAATTTTGTGAGATTTTGGAAAGTGGAAGAGAAGCGGAAGCCATTTCTCACCCTGTAGCAGTGTTGTGCAAGGATGAAGACTTCAGCCAACAGTAGAGGTGAGGTTCTGCCAGGATCTCCTGGGTGACCTGCACATCATTGGTGCTTTAGGCAGCTGAAATCACCAACACGGTTTCCTGATACACCTGCACTTCAGAATTCCCAGAGGTTAACAGTAGCTTTCTCTAATCTGTTTCCCAATATTTCCCAGCAATATTATAAGCCTCTGATTCCCTGTATTAAATCCTTCCTACGTGAAACAACTACAGCAGTTTCTGACCAAATCCTGGTGTATTAGTTTGTTTTCACACTGAGACTGGGTAATTTATAAACAAAAGACGTTTAATTGATTCACAGTTCTGCATGGCTGGAGAGGCCTCAGGAAACTTATAATAAGGTGGAAGGTGAAGGGAAAGCAAGGCACCTTCTTCACAGAGCGGCAGGAGAGAGAGGGAGTGCAGGAGAAACTGTCATTTTTAAAGCTATCGGATATCATGAGAAGTCCCTCGCTATCACAAGAACAGCATGGGGGAACCCACCCTCATGATCCAATCACCTCCCACCAGATCTCTCCCCTGACACATGGGGATTAGAATT
This sequence comes from Homo sapiens, assembly GCF_000001405.40. Classification (NCBI taxonomy): domain Eukaryota; kingdom Metazoa; phylum Chordata; class Mammalia; order Primates; family Hominidae; genus Homo; species Homo sapiens. The sequence continues at coordinate 26,872,518 of NC_000008.11, read as the reverse complement.
TGAGATGAGATTTGTGTGGGGACACAGAGCCAAACCATATCACCTGGCTAGCAGAAATACGGACAAGCAAATCACAAACGAAAACATAGAAATGCCAAATAAATGTAAAGAAATAAAATCATAACTAAAGAATACAAATTTTAAAAAATGAGATATTATTTTTTACTTATAAAATTGCCTACGGTTTATTTTATTTACATATATTATGTACTTGTCTAGTTTATTATAAACAGTCAAAGTTGGCAAGAGACAAACAATAAATAAGTAAAAAAACAAAAAACAGGTTCTGTTATGCACTCCTATTGGGAGTTTATATTTTACATCTACATTTGTAAAACCTTTCTAGAGGTCAATATCTGTTATAACCTCTTAAATGTTCATAACCTTTGTTATTCTAATTTTAGTTACAGAAATTAATCTTAAGGAAAATTTGGAGTACAATATTATATGTAAGAGTATTTATCAATGTGGCACATATACACCGTGGAATACGATGCAGACATAAAAAAGAATTGAATTCATGTCCTTTGCAGGGACGTGGATGAAGCTGGAAGCCATCATGCTCAGCAAACTAACATAGGAACAGAAAATCAAACACCGCATGTTCTCACTCATAAGTGGGAGTTGAACAATGAGAATACATGGACACAGGGAGGGGAACAACACACACTGGGGCCTGTCAGGGGATGGGGGGCAAGGGGAGGGAAAGCATTAGGACAAATACCTAATGCATGTGGGGCTTAAAACCTAGATGATGGGGTTGATATGTGCAGCAAACCACCACGGCACATGTACACCTATGCAACAAACCTGCACATTCTGCACATGTATCCCAGAACTTAAAGTAAAATAATAAATAAATAAGAGGATTTACCACAGTTCAAGTTATAGATCAGAATTTTTTTTAAAGCCTGAATATTTAAATATTTAATTTGTCATGACATACAGTGTCTTAGTCTGTTCAGGCTGCTATAACAAAATACCTTAGACTAGATAATTTATAAACAAAAGAAATATATTGCTCGGGAAGTTGCAAAGTCCAAGATCAAGGTGCCAGAAGATTTGATGCTAGGCAAGCGCCCATTCTTCATAGATGTCGCCTTCTGTGTGTTCTCACATGGCAGAAGGGCAAAGAGGCTCCCTCTATTATAACAGCACTAAGTCCATTCCTGAGGATGGAACCCTCGTGACCTAATCATCTTACAAAGACCCCACCTCTTAATACCATCACCTCGGAATTTAGGCTACAACATATGAATTTTGGGGAGAACACAAACATTCAGACAATAGCATATACATATAATAGAATCACTGTGGAGCTCTTATAAACCATGTTTTGGTATAAATGTAATAATAGAATGAGTTCATGATATAATATAAGTGAAAAAGTAAGATATATAATTATAGGTACAGTATGATTACACTCTTTTATATAATGTATACAATGTATAATATGTGAAATATATATGTATGCATAATAAATACATGTACATAAAATATTTCCTGGTATGTACATGTGTATATATATTTTTCCATGTATATAATTTATACACATTAACAAAAAATGAGAAAATATGACAAATATTTAACAATAGCTATTTCTCCAGTGGCAGGATTACAGATAATTTTTATTTTCATACATTTCTGTCTGACTTTTCCAAATGTGCTATTATGAGCATAAATTTTATAATTAAATACAAGTCAATAAGCATTTTAAAGTGCCTATAACAGCCCATCAGCAAGTGAAGAGATGAGATAAAAATGTGTCTGCACTTGGTACACATATTGACTTTCTTTTACTTCCATTTCCAGATGATATTGACAAAGATATTGAAAAAATTTGATTAATATGCCTCAGCTTAGATTTGCTATGCGAGAGCAAAGTCTTATTGTTTTAAAGGAATTATTTGCTGATCAGCTATAGGCTGACTTGACCTCATATTCCTACCATGATAGTCCCACAGTGTAGGGATGGGGTGGTATGACTCCCAAGACTTGGAGTATGTTATTTTCTCAGGGCAATGAAGATTTGGAAAAATGATGGCAAAGACAGAATTACTATCTCATCAAAGACATCCCTCAGCAGTATCTGTGGGCTGTGCAGTGTTCTCAGTTCGATAAAGGATTAGAACACAATGCTTCTTTGGAGAGCTGTGACTTGATACTGCATCAATACCTTTCTGAGAATTGTTTTTCATTTTCTTGCCTCTTTAACTTATTAAGCCTTAGGAGAATTAGTTGAAAAGCCAAGTCTTTGGGGTAGATACTAACATTAAGTCTTCTACTCTGTCATTTGCAATCATAAATTCCAGAACACAGCTCCTAATTCCATTGTGTATTGTTTTCTAAGGGAATGATAGACAGATTCTTTATTTTTTTAAACCTCTAAGCCTACCACACTTGCCGAGTTCCTCACTAGTCACTAAGAAAGTCCTGCCAATCAATGCATGGGTTTATGTCCATTGCTCAGCTCTTCTCCAATCAGACTCATTCCCCCAGCATCCCTGACACACCACTCTAAAATGCGGCTGCTGATGGTTCACCTTCCTCACTTTTGTCTACAAATCTCAATCCTGCTGATTCCACAAATCCTACATCAAGCAATATCATTTTATGAGTCTTTCCACAACCACCCCTTCAGGGGATTCTTCAATTTCTGTCACACCGGAAGTCTTCAGAGTATCACCCTCAGAGCCAGGCAAGAGGGACCCCGGCTAGGGTTTCAGGCTTTAGAGAGTCCAGCTCTGACTCCTTTTGGCCATAGGACTAATGTGATATGCCCACCTGGAGCCTGTGCCCTCCTTTCTAGACCATGCCCTGGGACTCAGAATCCCTTGCCCCAGATGGCCACACAATCACTTTCAGGTCCATTCTCTCTGGGCAGACAACATCACAAATGTGTGTACCCCAAGGCCTGAGGCCAAGAAGGCAGCTTTCTGGCTGTAGGGGCTGAGGTGTTCACACACATTTGCATGGCCCCTCAAGACAAAGAACAAGGGGGAAAGTGAGAAGAAAAGAAGCAGCCAGTGATCAGGGCCAGCTCTTGCAACTTAACCATGTTGGGTCATTCTGATTAAACCACTTAGCTCAAGTGTAGTGCTCAAGACACTTAGCACATTCTCCAGCTGAATTTACCAGTGTTCATGGACTACCTGGGTTAGAAATATATTTCACTATAAAGTAGCATACAAAATGAGCAGAAAGGGAGTTAATAAGATTAATAATAGAGTTAGTGAATATTATGAGCTGAGTTTTTGAGAAACGTAATTTCTTTCAACACTAATAACAACCTTGTGGGGGTTCATTGTCTCCCTTTAAAAATTAGGAAACCAAGGCTTTGCCATGGTCGCATAGGAGGGTCAGAATAGCATCTTTATGACCCCAGAGCATACTCCTCTCCACTCCACCTACCCATGTGTACAACTCAGACACTTTCTGGGATGTCCACGTCAACTATTCTTTAAAGAGTAACCAACAGATGGATAGTTTTCTGTTTGTGAATCAATGGTAGGTGACTGAAAAATTGGTTCTGAGAGGTCGTTTTGCAAGGATTGATGGTCACAGGCTGAGAAGCAGATTTGAAAGACCTACCTGCTAGCAGCATGAAGAGCTGCTCTTCCTTATCTTAGTATTAACTAGTTAATTATTGGAGGTGGGTGCAGGGGTGGATTATGTGTATTCTTAATTGTTGTAGAGTGGGGACTGGGAGTTACAAAGACTTTTGCAATTTTCGACCTTGCAGAGCTGAGCAATTTTCAGTTGCTTTGCTTGCTGATAGCACTGCTTCCCTTATCTACCATGGAACACATCTTAATGAAGAATTTGCATTCACAGCATCAGGTTAATGAATACAAAACAAAACAGTGTATATCCCTCTGATGGATGGGATTTCGGAAGCACAGACATTATACACATATTTGATGATAAAGTACTAGAAGTGCAGGGAATTGAGGTCAAGCTTCCTCCTAAGGGGACTGAATCCCAGAGAGAGCAGGTGACTTAGTAATGAGAAGTGGAGCTGTCTGTTCAACCAGGATGCTCCTCCTATGGCACGAAATTCAGTTTTAAAAATATATTAAATTCAAATCAAATGTGTTAGGTGTGAGTTCTATCCCTACAGGTATGAGGCAGAGGTGGAGGACTTTGTATACAATAGAGAAATAAATACATATATTAGGTCTTCCATGACATAGGATTTACTGACCCTCTCATGGGCATTCCTCTGAGGCATTTTGAGATTTATTGCTATAAAAGAGCCTCCCAAACATTATCTCACTTAGAAAAGGTAATCATATTAATATGATTTTGTTCACAGGAGAGAATTTAAGTGCCACTGCTTAAAGTTATCTCCTTGTTCCTAGGTTTAAGGAGACCTAGTAAATAAGAACATTCCACTTTGTCTGCATCAATAAAGATGAAAGATGACTTAGGAGGTGGGAATTGGAGTGGGAAACATTTTTCTATGTTCCCGATATTCTGAAACACATGTGACTTTATTCAATCACAAGGTAAACAGATTATGTAATTTACCAGAAAAAAAGTAATAAGACTGGTGGTGCTAGGTTTTCATACTCCAGCTATTAATGAATTAAAGAGAGTAACACTCCTGAAAGGATACCATTTTCTCAAGAAAACTGGAAAAGATTGTGTGGCATTTAAAAAATACCAAACTCTGTGGCCATAATGCTCTTAAAATTCATCTGTCTAAAGAAATTAGAAGTGAATCATATTAAATAAGGTTTAGATATGTCCACTTTATCTTCCTGAAAATATAATTTCATTACAATCAGATTTGTCATATTTTATCTGATTTTACTTGCTATTTAAAACACCTTATAATTTACTTGCATATTTAGAATTACAATATTCTTAATATACTTCTTGATCTTAACAAAACCTAGGCCAAATGTTAATCAAATCAAGCTGTTCAAAGTTACTTTATAGCACATTCCTATGAACACACCATACACACAGCAATATCTAGCAAGGGTGTCAATTTTTCGTTATTTTTAAAAGCTCATTTAAAGAAGTTATTTACTACAAATGACTCTACACACACACACGCGCGCGCGCGCGCGCACACACACACACACACACACACAAACCTTTTTAAAGAAACGCTAGAACCCAACCCCCTCTAGGCCAGAGGAAAACATTACAGCTGTATACGCACTTGTGCCTGTTGCCGTAGAGTAATACGGTAGCAGCAGGAGATTACGGTACTAGCTGGGCTACTGCCTGAGTTACGTCAGCGAGAGCTGCAAAGTTCCTTGCTATTCTTTTCTGGTGTCGGGGAGCTGAATATTAAAAGGGTGATTGTGGAGTTACCGGTTATCTGCATTTTTTTTTCTTTTCTTATTTTGACTCTTTTTAAAAAATGCAGGTAAAGTGACAGCGGTTCAGGAGCTTAAAGACATCAGTGGTGGAGGGGTGAGTCAGCGGGTGCAAAAGGACAAGGATTTGGTGCCTCGGAGACACGGTCCCCTCTCCGCCTCCAGAGAAGAGCAGGCAGGCAGCTCCCGGGACCGAAGCCGGGTCCACATCCCCCGCGCGCGAGCTGGTGGCTCAGCAGCGGCGCTTCAGGTGAGTGCGCCGGGGCCGGCGTCCCGCAGGGCCGAGTGGGTGAGGGCAGACCTCCCCCGCCGTCTGGTGAGACGGAACCCCCACTTTTCCCAGCGCCTCCCGCTTTTTCCACCAGGTTTTATACCGGCCCCTCTACCCCACCCCCGATTCCCTTACATCTTCTGCGAAGTTGCCTTCTACTGAACAAGTGTCTTTTTAACCCTGTGTTTATCACCCTCGAGGTAGGAGGAAAAGGGTTTCTGCAGTGGCACGTTTTTAATACCACCTGTGAGGTCTCCAACTTGCGATTTTAACAAGAGTCTTTGCCCGAGGTCCCACCTCAGGGCCCAACCCCAGAAGGCAAGGTGGGCACTTCCTCACGCCGCGCTGTCCTGCCGAGTCCCTGCGGTAGGTTCGCAGTTGTGGAAACCCAGGTTTCTTACGCAGATGGTGGCCCCCAGCCCAGAAAATCGAAGGCGGCCCCTGCCCGCTGGCATGCCGGCTTAATGTTTACGCCTGCAAAATCCGCAGTGACTGTCACTTGCAAAGCTCCCTCTGCAGAGGGACGTCCTCCCCACCCCGTCCCCCGCCAGTCCCGCTACGGCTGGCAGCTGGAGCCCCTCGGGTGGCCAACAGTGAGGCTTGGAAAGGCGTCGTGGACAGACCTGGGTCGCTTTCTGTCTTCGGGTCCCTCCCGGCTTCGCTCGGGACCTGGCTCTCAAGCCAGCTTGGCTGGTGGACAGACCGGTGCGCTCTGCACACCCGAGTGCGAATTCCACCGGCGTGAGAGTGAGCGTGCTCGTGGTCCTGGCCCTGAGGTCCCTGGGTCGCAGCTGTTCCCTCTCCCAGGCCGCCCCCTCCAGGTGACTGCGAGGCAACCTGTTCTAACGGAAACCGAGTACATCCTCCAGAATTCCCCGGCTAGGATCCGTGCGACACACTCGCCAGCCGCAGTCGCCCCTCCGGGGCTTCGAGGATTTTAATTTCGTGGTACCTGCGCTCGAAATCCAGACTTCGAGCGCTGGAGCCTGGGGTTTTGGGGATTTGTTTTTTTGTTTGTTTTTCGCTTCGGATCCTGAACTCGGGCAGAGGTGACTCAGTAGAGTGCGCTAGGCAGGTTCCCAGTGGTGGGGGCGCGAGATGAGCTCCGAAGTCGCCTCCACCGCTGCCGGGCGAAGCAGCTTCTGGACCGCAGAACCAACCCGGCTCCCAACTGGTGTCCCCCAACCCGTCAAGCTCAGCACAGCCTCTTTCCCTGGGGCGCCTAGCTCAAAGCCGCCTTTCTCTTTGCGCTCTTTCAGGTGGACGCGGTCAAACGATGCCCCGCAGCCTCCTGGGTCTCAGCACATATTCCACACCTACGTCCCCTGACCTGTGCTCCTAGAAGCTGGAGAGAGCAGGAGCCTTCGGTGGGGCAGCTCAAAATGTAGGTAACTGCGGGCCAGGAGCAGCGCCCAACCTGTAGCGCTGCGCTACCCAACCATCGGTCCCTGCCTTTGAGCGTCGACGGCTGATCTTTTGGTTTGAGGGAGAGACTGGCGCTGGAGTTTTGAATTCCGAATCATGTGCAGAATGCTGAATCTTCCCCCAGCCAGGACGAATAAGACAGCGCGGAAAAGCAGATTCTCGTAATTCTGGAATTGCATGTTGCAAGGAGTCTCCTGGATCTTCGCACCCAGCTTCGGGTAGGGAGGGAGTCCGGGTCCCGGGCTAGGCCAGCCCGGCAGGTGGAGAGGGTCCCCGGCAGCCCCGCGCGCCCCTGGCCATGTCTTTAATGCCCTGCCCCTTCATGTGGCCTTCTGAGGGTTCCCAGGGCTGGCCAGGGTTGTTTCCCACCCGCGCGCGCGCTCTCACCCCCAGCCAAACCCACCTGGCAGGGCTCCCTCCAGCCGAGACCTTTTGATTCCCGGCTCCCGCGCTCCCGCCTCCGCGCCAGCCCGGGAGGTGGCCCTGGACAGCCGGACCTCGCCCGGCCCCGGCTGGGACCATGGTGTTTCTCTCGGGAAATGCTTCCGACAGCTCCAACTGCACCCAACCGCCGGCACCGGTGAACATTTCCAAGGCCATTCTGCTCGGGGTGATCTTGGGGGGCCTCATTCTTTTCGGGGTGCTGGGTAACATCCTAGTGATCCTCTCCGTAGCCTGTCACCGACACCTGCACTCAGTCACGCACTACTACATCGTCAACCTGGCGGTGGCCGACCTCCTGCTCACCTCCACGGTGCTGCCCTTCTCCGCCATCTTCGAGGTCCTAGGCTACTGGGCCTTCGGCAGGGTCTTCTGCAACATCTGGGCGGCAGTGGATGTGCTGTGCTGCACCGCGTCCATCATGGGCCTCTGCATCATCTCCATCGACCGCTACATCGGCGTGAGCTACCCGCTGCGCTACCCAACCATCGTCACCCAGAGGAGGGGTCTCATGGCTCTGCTCTGCGTCTGGGCACTCTCCCTGGTCATATCCATTGGACCCCTGTTCGGCTGGAGGCAGCCGGCCCCCGAGGACGAGACCATCTGCCAGATCAACGAGGAGCCGGGCTACGTGCTCTTCTCAGCGCTGGGCTCCTTCTACCTGCCTCTGGCCATCATCCTGGTCATGTACTGCCGCGTCTACGTGGTGGCCAAGAGGGAGAGCCGGGGCCTCAAGTCTGGCCTCAAGACCGACAAGTCGGACTCGGAGCAAGTGACGCTCCGCATCCATCGGAAAAACGCCCCGGCAGGAGGCAGCGGGATGGCCAGCGCCAAGACCAAGACGCACTTCTCAGTGAGGCTCCTCAAGTTCTCCCGGGAGAAGAAAGCGGCCAAAACGCTGGGCATCGTGGTCGGCTGCTTCGTCCTCTGCTGGCTGCCTTTTTTCTTAGTCATGCCCATTGGTAAGTCTTGAACACCCCTCACTTTAGCATCTGGGGGTCTTCACCCTCCTCGGCTTCTGTTACCCCAGACTCCCAGTCCGGGATGGAAGAGGAAGGATTAGCATTTCAAACAGCACAGCTCTAGGGCAATTAGAAAAGGCTCCCTTGTAGAAAAGTGAATTTTCATTCTCTTTCTACTCCAGTCTCATTTATATTAGGTCCTAGAGCACTTTTTCGACTGTAAAGTGGCTTCCAACTGATGCAGATTAATTGGTCTCTTTAATAAGAATGTCAACTTTTCTTAATGCCTATAAGCACGTGTTCAATTTAAATGCATCTGCTCTCTCTAGTCTCAGAGTCTCCACCAAGTGCTTAGGCTGACTGTGGAATGCCATTTTCACTCTGCTACAGAATGCAAATTCTCTTGGCCTGAAAATAAGTACCATGCTTATTCTGGACAAATGTGTGATTTTATTATTGCATTAGGTTATTCATAAGGGTTTGTTATAATGGTCTGTTTATGTTCTATATCTGTGCTAATTTTATTTTCTGGATTCAGTATGGAAGGAATTATGGTCAGCCACTAAGAAAAAAAAATGATTTTATGTCCAAACCAATTTAAGCCTTAAATAATTAATCATAGTATTTCCAATAAGTAAATACTTATTTTTTTATTTTAATAATAAGTATTAAAACAAACACTTCTCTTATCCAAAATCATCCGGGAAGTTGCAGATAACACTGTTTGAAAATAATACAGTACACATAATGTTACAAATCCAATTTTTGCAGATGCTAAATTAGCTGTTGTCAAAATTAATTAGCTCATTATAAGTATCAGCAAGCTGATCCACTTGGAATAGACATCTATCTCCTTCAATGAGATCCCAAAATGGTTGTGTGCTATTTTTAGTTTGTAAGCTCAAATACAGACCCAAACATCGATTATCCACCAACTCTAAAAAACAAAACATTATGCCTAACATTAATAAAAGTCCATTTCAAGTGCTTTACAGCCTAATTTAAATGGCATATACTTAAAGTACTTTAATTTGCAACTCTGTGGAATAATAGCAACTATTATTTTTTTGTGCCACTTATGTTCCAGACATTTTCCTAAGCTTTTTATTTCATTAGTCCCCTCGACAACTCAGTGAGTTATACACAATTATCCTGCAATCACAAGCCATGGGAAGGGATTCTTCAGGTTCTAATACCATAGCCACCAGCCAAGGATAGCTATTTAAATGTTAATTGAAATTAAATAAAATTCTTTCAGTTCCTCAATTCCTCAGTCCCACTGACCACATCTCAAGTGCTCCATAGTCACACGTGGCCAGTGACTACTGTTTTAGACAGCAGAGATATAGGTCATTTCTATCATTGCAGAAATGTCTGTCCTGTAGGGCTGCCAGAGAGGCCCTCCTTAATCCAATACCTGGCCTTCCATTGTGCCTGCCCATCATTATTACTTACTCTGCTCCTGGAAGTACATCACAGCTTTGAAATTATAGAAATTACACTCTTTACCTGAGCCCCTTTGCACACGTATTCATGCGTGTGCTCGCTCAACAAGTATTTATGGACCATCTGTTCTAGGCACTTTGGATGAACAGGGCAGAAAAGTCCTTGCCAATGAGACGGTTGTATTTGGAAAGGGTAGACATAAGCAAATGATTGTATCCTAAAATGTCAAGATTAACATGCACTATCAAAAAATCAACAGGATGAGAGGCTAGAAAGTGACAAAGACAATGAGGGCCTGCTTTAGTGGGTAGTGGGGAAAATTCTGTCTAAAGAGGTGATATTTGAGCAGAGTCCTGACTGGACTGAAGAGCAAAGCTTGCAAGATCTGGGAAGAAGAGCTTCCTGGGCAGAGGGAGCAGCGAGTACAGAGATGGGAAAGAGCCTGACCTGTTCAATGAAGATCACAGAGGCCAGTATGGCTCAACTACAGACAGGGAGGGGGCAGTCAAGTTCAAGAAGAGATTGGAGAGATAGACAACACCAAAGTCATATGGGGTCTTTCAGGCCAAAGTAAAGTTTGCATATTATTCTAATTGTGGTGGGAAGTCATTCAAGGGTGTTTAGCAGGTGAGTGGCCAGTCTCATTTATATTTTTGAAGGATCATTCTGGTTGTTGGGGGGAAAATTGGCTGTTTGGGGGCAAGAGCAGAAGCAGAGACTAGTTAAAAGGCTATTAGAAGTCGAGGGGAGAGAGGTCATGACATCTTGGACTCAGGTGAGACAGGTAGAGGTGGTAAGACGTGATCACATTCAGCACTTATTTTACAGGTAAAGTTGATGAGTGTGGACAAGGGTGTGAGAAATAGGTAGGTTTAGGGCCTGAATAGCTGAGTAAATAGTAATGCACTTCACTAAAACTGGCAAAACCAAAGAGTTATGTGGCTGCAAGGGGCTGCAGGGAGTGAGAAGTATGAGCCTTTCTTTTGTATCACTGTGTTGAGAAACATTCATTAGACATGGAAGTAGAGATGGCAAGTAGGGAGTTATACACTTTACATAGATTTGGAGCTTAGAGAGGAGGCGGGCTACAGATATAAACTTGGGATATATCAACATCTTTAAAGCTACAAGAATGGAGAGGTTGACAAGAGAAAAGATAAAGAGAGTAAAGAGAGATAAGAACAGAGCCTCTGCACCTTTAGTCCCAGCTATTTGGGAGGCTGAGGCAGGAGAATCGCTTGAACCCGGGAGGCAGAGGTTGCAGTGAGCCGAGATCATGCCTGCACTCCAGCCTGGGTGCAGAGCGAGGCTCCATCTAAAAAAAAAAAAAAAAAAAACAGAGCCTCTGGGGGTCAGGTCAGGAAAAACAGGAGAAACAGCCAGCAAACAAGATTGCAAAGGAGTAGCCAGGGAGAAGAAAAATCAGGAGAATGTGATGTCCTGGAAGCCTAGTGAAAATGTTTCAAGAAGGCAGGAGTAATCAGCTGTGTCACATGCAGCTGAGAGGTCAGGTTAGAGGAGGACTGGGAGCCAACACTAGATTTGGCAGTAAGCAGGTTTTTAGTGATAGGAGGAAGGCACGTGAGGCTCACAGGTCCAGAGGAGTGATGGAACCAAAAGCCTGATTGTGTACTTTCTAGAAAGAACAAAGGATAAAAAAAGTGGGAACAGGGAAAATAGACAACTCTTCTGAAAGGTTTTGCTATACACTGGAGCTAGGAGATGCGGTGTAGCTGGAGGGGTATAGAGAGAGCTTTCAATGGTGGGAGGTGGGGATATGACATGATATTTATATTCTGATGGGAACGATGGGATAGAGAGAGGCACTGATGGGATAGGCAAAAGAGGCAACGGGATTCAGTGCCCAAGGGGAGCATTGGGAAGTGACAAGGAGAGCAAAGTGTGTGAGCCCTGAGGCAAGTAGAGACAGAGGGAGAGAGATAGTGATCTCTTTAGGATATGTTTATGTCCTCAGTGAAATATGAAGCAAGGTCATCAGCTAAGAGAGAGTCAGGAATGGGGAACGATGGCAGTTTTAGCCTCAGAGAAGGTGTGAAAGATTCATCTTTGAGAGTGGGACAGTAAACATTTTATGGAAGTTTGGTAGAGTCACTGGGAAGTCCTGAAGGCCTATCTGAGATTTACGGTCATAACATTAAAGTACAGCGGGAAGGAGGGTTGTGTGTTTTTCTCTAAGAGCTAAGCAGCTGAGGGATACAGGAGGCAATGCTGAGGACCTACTGTGAGTCCCAGAGAGTGTGTGTGTGAAGAGACACAGACTCGGTCAGGTTAGGGAGCATCCACAGCCAGGTTGTAGAAGGAGCCCAGGTGACGATGGGTGGCCTGAGAGTTTGGAGCTTGCAGTGGTGGCTGAGCTATGCATAGAGATGAGAAACAATGGCCTGGGTCCTGGAGTCATCTAGGGGAGGTGGATGCTCTGACTAGTCATAGCCCGCTCTTGGATTTGCTCTCCCAGGGAGTCAGCAGTGTGGAGGAGAAGATGTTGTGGTGGAGAGAAGTGGTGGTAGACAGGAGCCCTCGGAATCACTGGGCTTCTTTTAAATCCTAGTGAGGTGCCAGGCGCGGTGGCTCATGCCTCTAATCCCAGCACTTTGGGAGGCTGAGCAGGCGGATCACTTGAGGTCAGGAGTTCGAGACCAGCCTGGCCAACATGGTGAAACCCTGTCTTTACTAAAAACACAAAAATTAGCTGGGCATGGTGGTGCACGCCTGTAATACCAGCTACCTGGTAGGCTGAGGCTGGAGAATCGCTTGAACCCGGGAGACAGAGGTTGCAGTGAGCTGAGTCACACCACTGCACTCCAGCCTGGGTGACAGAGCGAGATTCTGTCTAAAAAAAAAAAAAAAAGAAAAATGATATGACAGGAGGGAAGTAGGGAACATACAGTTCACAGGGTCTGAGTAGCTGCTCAGTAGTGCAAAGGATCCCTGAACCTGCCAGTCTGTGGCTCTCAATTTCTTCCTGACACCAATTGAGTAAGAGATGATTTCCTCCAAGAATGTACTGGCTATGTAATAAGCACCAGGCTCTCAGCTACACAGAATAAAAAAGATGAATAAAACACAGTGCCCTCAAGGGCCTCACAGTCTAGTTAAGGAGACAAATTGTCAACAATTATTGCAAGTCTATGACATAGGTGCTCAGAGTGATATTATTACATGGTGCTCAGGATGGTGCTCAGAATGATATTATTACAGTGTGCTAAGGAATATAGCAGTTCATTGTGCCGAGAGGTCACTGAGAAGCTTCTACATGCATGACCATTGACAGAGCAGAGACTTAAAGAAGATGGCACTACTTCTGCTGGGTCGTCAACGAGATGTTATATGTTTTTTTATTAACTGTCTTAAGTATGTTTTTCATGCAAAATGTGAGCAGAAGAATAAATATACTATCATATTATTATATTCAAGGGACATACATTCTTAAATATGACGTGCTGTTTTGGAGAAAAGGGCTGTCGGTCTGCACTAGGCTGCGGGAGAGGAAAGAGATTAAAAACTGAAACCAGGGCAGGGATGAGTGTGCTATCCACAGCTGAGAAGTGAAACACCCATGTTTAATAGGGACTGACCCAGGAAAATCAGGTGAGTAGGCTATTTGACTGCAAAGGTCCTTCCTGTATATTGTGAGAAGTCTCACGTTCCCTTTTCCCAAGCTTCTTTCCACTAAGGCTGGGTTGCTTGCTGCATTGAATAGCATGACTGTTGGGAGGAATCTGACTTGCCTGCTTCCAAGTCTAAATCTTGCTAATCTTGTTCCATTTTTGCATCCTAAATGTTTGGTTGAAATTCAGAATGCCTTCAAGGGAGGGGGGTGCCATGTGCAGTTGTTAACAGTCATTTATACTTTGGAGCAAATGCTTTCAAAAGCAAATTTTGGCCATGGAGATGAGTAGAGAGACTATGACGGTGTCAGCCTTCAACCTACGAAAGAGAAGGAAGGATAAGAACTCTGCTTCTCAGGAAGCTCCAGCATCTAAAGCCTATGAATCATCTTTGTTGATTTCATCTCATTGTCTAGAGCCCACTAGTTCCAGAGGCAGTGTGCTGCTGAATGGAGAAACTGTTGGCCTGAGATTTAAACCTAGGCTTTCTTTTTCATATAACAGGGGATGTTATATAGGTCAGCTGCCCAGCATAGTGCCTAACTCAGAGTAAATGGTAATAAATGTTCATCTTACCAGAATTCAAATGATTCACAGACCATTACTGATGTATGTCAACATGCAGATGTTGCCATGAGGGGTGGATGTCCTTGGCATTCTAAGAAATAGAAAGCATTGGAAAGAAGATGAAAAGGCAACAATCACTGAAAACATAGTTACGTGTCTGAATTCTGGATATGTTATCTGATTTAAACACAAAACCCAGCGTTATTATAGGACCTAAGCCATTGATTGCTGTTGCCACTGAATCAAAGGAGGCAGCATTGGGCTGAGATGTGGCTTACATAGACATAGAATATTTGAGGATTATGTTTATAAAAGAACAGGAGGCAGCACATTGATAGAGCAGAAAAATGTGTTTTAAGATTGGATGTTTGAGGAGGGCACAGCTGGCAGTGGATTTATCAGGTGGAGGCAATGAGGCAGAGAATGATTCATTCATTCATTCAGCAGTTTCATTGAACATATACTGTTTGCCAGGAAGCTATAGAATCACTGGAGATAAAGACAAATAAATCCCTGCCCTAATGGAGCAGAACATCTGAACAATTAGATACCTAGCAAAGGTATATGAAAAATGACAAGGAAAAAGGACAAGTACATACAATGATATATGATAATCCCAAACCCTCTGCGGATGCCCAAGATAACCAGGGGTTGAGGGTTGCTTCACTGCAGGTACAAAGGGAGCAGTTCCCTAGTTCTCATGGAAAAGGTTCACCTCTTAGAGATAATGGTGTGAAGAAAAACTAGTGCCATTAGGATTTATTTTATTTTATTTATTTATTTAATGACAGGATCTCATTCTTTCACCCAGACTGGAGTTCAGTGGTAATCATAGCTCACTGCGGCCTCGAACTCAAGTGATTCTCCCACCTCAGCCTTCTGAGTAGCTGGGACTACAGGCATGCACCACCATGCCTGGCTAATTTTTATATTTTATTTTTATAGAAATGGGATCTTGCTGTGTTGTCCAGGCTGGTCTTGAGCTCCTGACCTCAAGCAATCCTTTTTCTTTAGCCTCCCAAAACATTGAGATTAGAGGCATGAGTCACCACACCTGGCTAGAATTTATTTTAAGATAAGAAGCCAGCGTTTCAGTTACTCTTACTACACCACAGACCATCCCAAAAGGTAGTGGCTTAAAGCAGCAGCCATCTATGTCTCATGATTCTATGGTCAAAAGTACGTCAGCACCCAGCTTGCCTGGCAATTGAAGCTGGCTGTGAGTCTTGGTGGCCTCTGTTCCCTTCTAAACCACCTTCTTATAGCATGGCAGCTCTCCCCCAAGAAAGTCAAGGCAGAAACTGTGAGGCCTTTGAAGAGCTAGGCTCACACCTGGTCCAGCATCACTGCTGTTTCATTCTGCAGTCACAGCAAGTCAGGAGACCAGCCTAGGTTCAAGGGGAAGCGAGACAGACTCATCTCTTGATGGGAGAGCAGCAAGTGTGTACACAGAGGGGCAGATCATTGTAGTCCTCTTGCAGATCACCGACCTCACAAGTGTGCCAAATTACATTTCTCTTTAATCCATCAGTTATATTGAGAACTTCCCATATGCCAGGCTTCATGCAATGCACTGAGTAAAACCAACTGGGATCTTTGCCTCCCTGCAGGCTTCTAATCTCCAGAAGGAGATAGACATTAATCAGATAGCCACACTAAGTTATCGAAAACCGTGTACAGAGCAATGAAGGGAACATAAATGGTGCCTTGAAAATATGTCCTGTGGCTAAGGGTGGTCCTGGACTGGGAGGGTAGAAAGGTCTTTCTGGGAAGGAGGGCTTGACTATTAAGTCCAGATCTATTGAATGAGTAGGTGTTTAAAGGCAAAAATGGGGAGGGAGGGAAGAGAACGTGCGAAGACTTTAGTGGGGCTGGCTTAATGTCCATAATGACTTTCTAGAAGGCCACTGTGGCCAGAAACAAGAGGCCAAGAGATAACTGGTGTCCAGTGAAGCTGGAAAGGGAAGAACCAGACTAAACAAGGCTTTATAGCCATTATACAAGTTTGTGTTTTTATCCAAAGATGAGCAGGAATGACATGATAGAGTTTATACAGCATTTCAAGATTATCAAAGGCTTAGTGAAAACAAGATTGTGGATAGACCAGTTGGGAGACCTTTATGCAGGACAAGGGGAGCTGTATCCTGCCAAGTGCAATCCTTCTACCGTGCCATTTAAAAAACTTATTTCCGTGAGCTGCCACATCGTTCTGGAATGCCTCTTTTGTCACTGCCTTCAGAGCTTAGATTTATGAGAAAAGCTTTCTCGTGATCAGAAATAGTATAACCAGACTTGGCTTTAAATTAATTTTGGCTCTTTCCACAAGACAAATCTGTCAATGAAGATTTACCATCATTTTCAAAAGAACGTGCTGCAGGCTCAGAAGACATCAACAATGAGCTCTAACAATGCTTTGAACAATAGCTGACTCTTTCAAGTCAGGCTATAGACAAGTGAGTTATTACTTGGATGGAGTAATAATCCTTAGTCACTTAGTAACAAAGTCATTGCTGTGTTCTGTCACCTCATGGTTTCATGGTGGATATGAGGACAGTTTTCTAAGGCATTTTCTTTGTCTAACAAGTTTACTGTATTTTAGCCCTGCTATTTGGTTTGCCAGTTTGACACTTGCCTAGTGGCTTTTCATTTTTATGTTTTCTATTTCTTCGCTATTTGAATGTTTCTTTTCTTTTCTTATTTTTTTCTTTAAGTTCTGGGATACAAGTGCAGAATATGCAGGTTTGTTACATAGGTGTACATGTGCCATTGTGGTTTGCTTTACCTATCAACCCATTATCTAGGTTTTAAGCCTGGCATGCATTAGGTATTTGTCCTAATGCTCTCCCTCCTCTTGCCCCCCAACCCCCAACAGGCTCCAGTGTGTGATGTTCCCCTCCCCGTGTCATGTGTTCTTATTTGAACATTTCTTTTTATATTTTTATCCATCACTTATATTTCTCCTCTTGTGAAATTTCCTATCTGTGCTTTTTGGCCACTTTTTATACAGCAGTTTTTCTGTCTTTTTTTTTTTATCGGTAAGCTCATTTTATACATTGAAGATAAATAATTACTTATTTATCACAAATCCTGGGTTGCCAGTCTTCTCACACTATATGCAAATGTGCCAAGAAGATGTAGCTTATTTTCCAAAAACGGATGTGATCTTTTCTACAAACTTCCATGGAAATACACATATGCATGCACTCACATGCACACACACACACACATGCATGCACACACACTTTTAGTTAAATTTAATAAACTCATTCAAATCCAATAATTTATGCATCATCTTTGCATATTCAGTCTCTTGGATGCCTTGGTGTCCTAGTCCATTCAGGCTGCTATAATAAAATGCCATAGACTGGGTGGCTTGTAAACAGGAATTTATTTCTCACAATCCTCGAGGCTGGAAGTCTGAGCTCAATGTACCAACAGATTTAGTGTCTGAAGAAGACCTACCTTCATCTTTATGGATGGTACCTTCTAGCTGTGTGCTCACTTGGTGGAAGGAGTGAGGCAGCTCCCTGGGGCCTCTTTCTGCATCACCTCCCAAAGGCCCCATCTCCTAATATCATCACACTGGGGGCCAGGATTCCAACATAGGAATTTCGGGGGTGGGGCACAAACATTCAGACCACAGCACAGGGCCTTTCAGATCTGCCCTCTAAGATACTGACCACGCCTAGGGGCTTACAAATGTCATAGTAGTCAGAGAGGGTTTGACTATGACTCCATTGTTTCCTGGCTCCAGTGACACTGGCTCTGTTGCTGTTGGCCAGGGAGTCACTTTGTCCCTGCAGCCCTGTGAACAACTTTGACAACCTCCTGCACCAAATTCTCAACAATGTTTCCATCCCAGTCTCAGGGCACAGAGAGCCTGGTGGGTTCCTTCCACACCACACTCTCTACCCCACCACACTGGCTGCCACATTAACAGGTATGGTGGCTCTCATGGAAAGGACTGACTACACCCAGAATGGAGAATGGGAGAAAGCACCTCTGCCTGCTCCCCCCCCCCGCCCCGCTTTAACTTCAGGCATTTTTTTGTTCCAGACATGGTCTTGCTGTGTCACCCAGGCTGGAGTGAAGTGGCACAATCATGGCTCACTGCAGCCTAGAACCCTGGGTTCAAGTGATCCTCTCTTCTCAGCCTCCTGAGTAGTTGGAACTACAGACATGCACCACCGTGCCCAGCCAATCTTCAGGCATTCCTACCACTCTTGTTGAGAGAGAGGGCTCAGAACAAATGCCAACTGCCTCTTTCCACTACCTTCTTCCCCACCTTTCTCACAGTCCCTCAGGGAAGACAGGGAAGTCTTTCCTCTTCCTTGTTCTGGCTAAAGGGGACACTCCTCCTCCTTTCCAGAGTGGCATCCACCTTCTATGGAATAGCAAAGCCAAGTGGACAGCAGAGAGAGAGAGAGGCAGAGAGAGAGAGAGAGGCAGAGAGAGAGAGAGGTTTACTAAGAAAAGAATAAAGATGAGGAATATTTTAAAATATTATAATCCTTATACATATTTAAAACTATCTTTTCCACTTGGTTATTTGCATTTTGTTGTTTTATGGTTTTTGCAAATGTTTAGACATTTAAAATATTTATATAGTCAAATATTTTCATGTTTTTTCATTGAATGTGCCTTCTCAGGGATGCTCAGAGAGACCTTCCACAATGTAAGTCTGTTTCCTCCTCATTCTTTTAGAGCATCATTTGTAATCTACCTGGAATTCATGTTTGTATTTTGGTAGATTATGCCTCACAGTATTTATTTTGAAATGGTTAGCCAGATAGTCTCAAAAGGCTTATCAAATAATCCATCATTTCCTTTCTTATTTGGAAAACCACATTTGTTATATTAAAAAGAATTTTGGATCTATTTTGGAATACACTCGCTTCTTTTCCATTTATCTGTCTCTCTGCTCTAGTATTGCTGTCACATTACTTTAATGGCTGTGGTTGCATAATACATTTTAATATTCTCTAGGTTAAGGCCTGGATGAATATTCTTTTTCAAAATTATTTTGTCTATTGTACATTCATTCTGCCAAGAAAACTCTGGATTCATTTTGTCACTCCATTTACTTCCCAAACTACTTTTGAACTGTTGTTTAGACTTTAGTTTTAAGCACATCTGCTAACATCTCCTGGAAAATTGATTAAACAATGATGTTGGGAAATGCTGCTTTGATATTTTGACAGATATGACACTGTCCATTGGTTTTAGATTGATATACTCCATCATATCAAAGAAATATCTTTCTAGAGTTTACAAAACTATACAGATCTAGATTTAAAATGTATTTTAATTTGTTTGCATTTTTAATATTATTCAATAAAAATGAATTTTTAATTTTGTTAAATTAAACATTTGCTTTATTGATATCCATCAATATAATCTTTTTTCATTGACATTGATTTGATAAAATTTTATTTCATATTATTAACCTTTCCATGTATTCTTGGATTAAATTCTACTCAATCAGGTGACATCACCGTTATTCATGTTGCTGTATCACAGGAAATATTTCACTTCTCATTTGCATCTGTGTTTCTGTGTGAAATGAGTCTATTGTTTTACGTTAATGCACTGTCTTTGTTACATTTTGGTAGCACGTTTATGTTAATTTCATAAAGCGAATTGTGACACTTTTCATTTTTTTTCTATAAACTGTAACAGCTTAAATACCGTAAGAATTATGTGTTCCTTGAAGGTTTGAAAAACTTGCCTATAAAACATTCGGGCCCAGCTCCTTTTATGGATGCAATTCTTTGAGACTGGTTTCTATTTCTTCCATGGATAGTGGTCTGTTCTGATCGTCAGATTTGATAATCTTTATTTTCGTATTTTCCATTTGCCTTCTCATTGAGGTTCAAGTTTTTAGCATAGACTTCTACATGAAATTCTGTAACTTTTTATTTCTTTGCTATCTTTCTTCTTTCTTTTTGTCTTTGCTCAGACTTTCTGAAAGCCTGTATATTTTATTAGTTTTTTTCAAAGAATCCAAGTCCTGAATTTATTAGTCATTTTAATCTCTTTCCCAGTACATTAATGTAATCTCTAGAGATTTCTCTCTTTTATTTTCTGGTTATATTTTGCTTTTCAATATTAGCTTACCCAGAATGTTTAGTTCATCTATTTTAATTCTTTCTTGTCTAAGATTAAAAACAATCCAAGCTGTACATTTGCTTCTACGCAAAGTTTAGTTTCTTCCCTTATGTTTGGGTAGGCAGTGCTGTCATCCAATCAGTCTGCCTTCCTGCTTTTAATATTTCCCTTGTCCTGTGTAGACAGGAAAGGATTCATTGTGTTGTTGTTGTTGTTGTTTGTTCATTTGAAAATCATTGGTAATTTTATCTCCCACTTTCTCAAATGTAATTTCTAATTTAATGCATTGTGGTCAGAGAGTGTGAGCTCAATAATTTTTAGCTTATGGGACTTATTGAGATTTTCTTAATGACTTAATATGTAATCAATAATTAATACACAATAGATTTAATCTTTAGTGTATATATTAACTAAACATTAATAGTGGTGTTTTCCAGATCTTCTTTATCCATTAATCTTTATTTATCTTACCATTATCTATTATATACTTTACTTGCCAAATATTGAGAGAAGTATGATAAAGTTTCCCTTTGCTACCAGGTTTCTTCCCACTATTTCTTACATTTTTAACAAGTTTTGCTTTATATATGTTTATGTTTTTGCTTCATGCATAAAAGATCAAATCAATAATATCTTCATTTAAAGATAGACTTTTTGTTCTATTTAATTATTTTTCCTGGATATGCACATTTAAAAAAATAATATTTCAATCTCTAATCTATTTTTATTCACATTTGTTCACCATTTTATATAGCAGCTTGTGTACTTCACATCAAATGGATTTCTCATAATCCATGTTTCTAATATGGGTATTTGTCCTTAATAAGGATTTAACTAATTTTCATTTATTGTGACAGATTATTTGGTGTGATTTTTGTCAACTTATCATATGCTTTCTGGCTCTATGCTTCCTTCGTTTTCACTATTTTCAGTCTTTCGTAAAACGGGTAACTTTTTTCTTTGCTTTTTAATTCTGTGGTGGTTTGGAAAGCTTGTCTCCTGTTTTTAATTTTACTAGACATAACTTTCTAGTTTTTCAAAAGCATGTTTAAACCTTCAGTTCTCTCTGTTACTCCACCACCCACCTTTGCCCATGGAAGGTGAGAAGTTTAGCACACTCTTCTTTTCCCTTCTCTTTAAAACCTCTATCTTTTAGTTAATAAAATAGTGCATTTTAAAACTAGATTATTTTCATTAAATTTTGTATTGCCTCTCCTGTCTTTTGTATCTCTCTATAATTTAGTTTACCAATTGTCCTCCTATTATATATTATGACTTACTCACTCCTGTGCTCTGGATTTTTCTTAATCTCCCAGATGGAACAGAGGTCGGCAAATCATGGCCTGCTTTTGTGAGTAAAGTTCTACCAGCTAGGTTGGCCATGCCCTGTAATTGACATATTGTCTGTGGTGCTTCCATGCGACAGTGGTGGACTTGGGTAGATGCTACAGAGACTGTATGGCCCACAAAGTTTAAAATATTTATTATTATATTAGAGAAGACTATAGCACCAAACAAAATTTTACCTATAAAGATATAAGCAAGGGCCATGTGCAGTGACTCACACCTGTAATCCCAGCAATTTGGGAGGCCGAGGTGGGCGGATCACTTGAGGCCAGGAGTTTGAGACAAGCCTAGCCAACAAGGTGAAACCCCGTCTCTATTAAAAGTACAAAAATTAGGCGTGGTGGCACACACCTGTAATTCTAGCTATTCAGGAGCCTGAGGCACAAGAATCACTTGAACTCAGGAGGCAGATGTTGCAGTGAACTGAGATTTCCACACTGCACTGCATCCTGGGCAACAGAGCAACACTTTGTCTCTGACAACAACAACAAAAAAGATATAAGCAAAACACATTTTCTCAGCCCTTCCAGGCCTAAACCTTAACACATGAAAGACAACTTATGTGACATAGAATTCAAGTGAGGGTTTTGTTTTTCTTTTTTGTTTGTTTGTTTTGCATTTCAAAATACTCTTGTTGCTTCTTTGTTTCTTGGCATTTAATGCTTCATAAATGACGTGAGGTCCCCTTGATTATTGTTTTTTTGTCAAGTACTCTCTTTGTGTATTTATTTTTCAACTAAGATGTTTATAAAATTTTTTTCTCTATTAAATTAAAAAGTATATATACTGGGGACTTCTGTTTGGGGTAACTTTTCATTGCTATTGCTTGAGATCCAGTGCACCTTTTGCTCTAAAGCCAAAGGCAGCCTCCTTTAATGATGATGTCCTCTGCTCTGATCTTCCTCTTGGAATTTCAATTCCTATACCTGCCCTGTTTTTTTTTTGTTTTTTGTTTTTTGTTTTTGCATTTCTCTCTCATTAGTCACTTTTTTACTATTTTTTTTTAAATTTCCATTTGAATTTCTCAAGTTCATGTTCCACTTTACTTATTTGGTTTTTGTAATACACAATCTCCATATTCCCTCCATCCCACTCCATATGGTGGGCACACTGTCCATCTTCGTCACCCCCTACACTTGTTTTGTGAGCCTAATAGCTGCTTAAGTCTTGTTTGAATACAATTTAGAGATCATCCTCCGCATCACCATTTTAAAGGTGTACACTTGCTCTGATTCCTGGGATCAATCTCCTCTATTGAATAGCTGAAGCTTTTCATAGGAACAGTACTTTTTCTCTTTTTCTTCAACCTCATAGAGGGTGACCTGGTATTAAAATTTGAAATGGGCTTTGTTTGAAACTGGGTAGGTTCCTCTTCAAATCTTTCAGATCCAGATTAAGGGGAGAAGGAAATGGATTGTCTTTGTTGTGATTCGAATCTGCCAGAGTACAGAACTCTTTATCCTTCAAGAGATGGAAGTAACATGTTTTGATTTTGCACAGCAAAGGCTGTTTCTCTTGTCTGTTTGGTGCAGGGTGTGTAGTGCCCTCTCCTCCGGGTGGCATGACTGACCGCCTGGGCACCTGTTGTAGAGAACCTCCTTTGTCTGCTGACCTTGCCTGGGAAAGTTCAGGGTCCTTCCCATCCTGCCTGGATGTAAGCATTGAGATTTACCTTTGACAAGCTGGCCCTGATCCTGTGTGTGTCGCAGTTTCTGCTCTCTCAAGCCCCTGGGGCTATTCCTGAGAAGCTACTGGAGCCATTCCGTCTTTCCCGTCTTTTGTTGATGTGAACCGAGGATTCATCAGTTTTTTATTCAGGCTGGTCCTAACCAAACTATAGTTTCAAGAAACTTCTCAGAGATTCTGGCTTATGAACTTTGGCTTTCCCTAAGGTTTTTAGCAGGGAGGTAAAATTTCACCTGTATGTGTATTCTTTTAGATAGATTGAGAATTTAGAAAGAGGACCTGAGAGTTCAGCTCCGTCTGGAATTCACTGCCTGTGTGCAGGCTCCTTTTCATGGGGATATCAGAGTGTGAAGCAGAAGTGGGTCACCCGCAGTGCGATTCTCTCCTTCAGTCCTTCAGAAGTTTGTGGTTCAAGACAAAGCAGACCCATCCTCCTATAGCCTTTGATTCTCAACAGTTAGAGGAAGACAACTGTGCAGTGAGACAGTAACAGAATCCCTACACAGTTCAGTAAGCTGAGCTTTCCCTTGTGGCTGTGATCACAAGAGGATTGTGTGAAACGTGTAGAGTTTAATGACTCTTTTCCTAGGAAAGAAGAAGTGAAACCATTCACACACCTGAGGATGTGTGTGATGTCAAGCGGTAGACTTGTCAGCTCAGGCTGCCATAATGGAATACCTGGGCAGGTATAGACTGGGCAGCTTAGGCAGCTGACATTGATTTCTCAGAGCTCTGGAGGCTGGAAGTCTGAGATCAGGGTTCTAGCATTGTCAGGCTCTTGGTGAGGGTTCTCCTGCTAGGTCACAGATGGTTGCCTTCTCCCTGCATTCTCACCTGATGAAGAGAGAGAGAGAGAGAGCTCTCTGGTACCTTCCTCTTTGTATAAGGGCATGAATCTCATTATGAGGGTTCACCCTCGTGACATCATCTAGTCCTAATCACCTCCCAAAGGCCCCACCTCCTAACACCATCACACTGGTGGTTAGGGTTTCAACATGTGGATTTGGGGAGGACACAAACTTTCCATCCATATTAGTGGTACTTGCATGGCACTTACTGTGTCTAATTTAAATCCCAGAAGTAGCCAGGAAGATGGAGGTTGCTATGCTCATGTAGAGATAAGGAAACTGAGGCACGCAAGGGATTAGTGACATCTTGCAGGAGCTGCCTGGCTGCCTTCCCTGTAACAGAGGAAAGGGGCCTGTCTACAGTTAAAAGCCCTGGAATCACACGTGGTCCTGCCCTTTGCTCTGCACTCTGGTGTCCTCATCTGTAGGAGAGGGGCTTGGGTTGAGCCAGTGGCTTTCAAACTTCTCAGCTTCAGAACTCTTTGTGCAAAATAAATCCCACTCAGAAATCCAAGACATAAAATGGATAAAGGCAGCACTGCGCTGGTGAAGCAGCCAGGGAACCCTGCGTCCTGAACACTCAGCCCTCCCTTCCTGCTGGCAGCGGCTGCTGAGGGGGATCTGGAGCACAGGTTGCTCTCTGTGCTAACAGTGTCTGATCCCAGACTCATTAAATGGTATCAGAAGAAGTTTGGGAAGAAGTGTGGTTTGTATTTTCAAAGGAGAAGGAGGCAAGGTTGACAAAGGGCACATGAGCTGTCATTATACTGGAATGCTGGCAGAGCAGTCGTCTTTGCCCAAAAAGGGTTTGAAAAGGGAACATTGCACATTCACTTTTTTTATGTGCTATCCACATTTAGCTTATTGCCAGGGCATTCGTTGCCAGTGAGAAACCTACTGTCTACAAGTGGACTGCGTAGTTTAGTTCCTCTTAATGAAAAAGGTTTTGGACATTTACCTGGAATTTTCATGTTGTTTTGTTTCATGAGTTTGCTGTCATTTGGAAATTACTAAAGAACAATCTCAGAAATGGGTTTTTAAAAAGAAACTTTAGGAGAGGAAAAAATCCCAGGATAATAAACTTTTCCTAAAGAGGTCACATTAGTAGTTCTCAATCGGGGGTGATGTTGACCTCCAGGAGGCACTTGGCAAGGTCTGGAGACGTTTTTCTTTTTGTTTGTTTTTGTTTTTGTTAGTGTTTTTCTTTTGTTTTGTTTCTTTTTTTTATTTATTATTATTATACTTTAAGTTTTAGGGTACATGTGCACAATGTGCAGGTTAGTTACATATGTATACATGTGCCATGCTGGTGCGCTGTACCCACTAACTCGTCATCTAGCATTAGGTATATCTCCCAATGCTATCCCTCCCTGTTCCCCCCACCCCACGACAGTCCCCAGAGTGTGATGTTCCCCTTCCTGTGTCCATGTGTTCTCAGTGTTCAATTCCCAGCTATGAGTGAGAATATGCAGTGTTTGGTTTTTTGTTCTTGCGATAGTTTCCTGAGAATGATGATTTCCAATTTCATCCATGTCCCTACAAAGGACATGAACTCATCATTTTTTATGACTGCATAGTATTCCATGGTGTATATGTGCCATATTTTCTTAATCCAGTCTATCATTGTTGGACATTTGGGTTGGTTCCAAGTCTTTGCTATTGTGAATAATTTTTGTTTCGTTTTTTGAGACGATGTCTCACTGTTACCCAGGCTGGAGTGCAATGGCGCGATCGCGGCTCACTGCAACCTCTGCCTCCTGGGTTCAAGTGATTGCCCTGCCTCAGCCTCTTAAGTGGGTGGGATTACAGGTGCCTGCCACCACGCCTGGCTAAGTTTTTGTATGTTTTTAGTAGAGACAGGGTTTCTCCATGTTGGCCAGGCTGGTCTCGAACTCCTGACCTCAAGTGATCCACCCACCTCGGCCTCCCAAAGTGCTAGGATTACAGGCATGAGCCACTGCGCCTGGCCCAAGATCTCTTTCTGTCATAGTGTCACAATTGGGGTGGGAGATGCTGCTGGCATTGTGTGGGTTAGACCAGGGGTGCTGCCGAATGTTCCACAACCACAGGACAGCCCCCACAACAGAGAATTAACCAGCCCAAAATGGCAATAGTGCCAAGATTAACAAACTCTGGTTTATGCTACAGGAATTCCTGAAATTTACAAAAATACATCAGAAACAGCACATTTAAAGCAGACATCAATTATTATTATTGTTCAGCTTTTGTTTACTGTGTTGCCAACATCTTAGCTAGTGATTCAAAACAAAACAAAACACATGAACCAAACAAACCCTGAGGTCTCCAGATGCCTTGAGGTCCCCAAAGAGGCAATATTTGTCTACTCACTTTGTTTTAATTGTAATTAAATTCACATAACGTAAAATTCACAATTTTAACCATCTTAAATTGTAAAATTCTGTAGCATTTAATACATTCGCAATGTTATCCAACTATCACCACTATCTAGTTCCAAAGCACTTCATGACCCCAGAATGAAATCTGGGTCCCATTAGCAATCACTCGGCATTCCCCACTCCCCAAGTGCCTGGCAGCCATCAATCTGTATGGATGTGCTGATTCCTGATACTGCATATGAATGGGATCATATATGTGACCTTTTGTGTATACCTCTTCATTTTGCATAATGTTATCAAGCTTCATCCATGTTATGGTATGTTTCAGGACTTCATTCCTTTTGTATGACTGAATACTATTTATTTGTATGAATGTACCATATTTTATTTATCTGTTGCTCCATTGAGGGTCATTTAAGTTATTTCTGCCTTGTGACCACTATGAATAGCATTGCTATGAACATCCATGTACAAGTTTTTGTTTGAGTACCAGTTTTCAGTTCTTTTAGGTATACCCCTAGGAGTTGAATTGCTCGGCCATATGGAACTTCTACGTTTAGCTAATTAAGGAACTGCCAAATTGTTTTTCACAGCAAACGCCCCAGTTTACATACCCACCAGCAATGTTTGAGGGCTCTAGTTTCTCTACATCCTCACCATTACTTGTCATTTTTTAAAATGATGTCCATCCTAGTGGGTGTGAAATAGTATCTCTAGTGATGTTGCTTTGCATTTCCCTAATGACTAATAATGCTGAGTGTCTTTTCATATGCATGTTTGGCTATTCATGTAACTTCTTTGGAGTTATATCTATTCACATCCTTTGCCCATTTTTTAATTGGGTTATTTGTCTTTTTATTGTTGAGTTGCAGGGGTTATTAATATATTCTGGATGCCAGACCCTGGTCAGATAATTGATCTGCAAATATTTTCATTCGTGGGTTGCCCTTTCACATTCTTGATAGTATCCTTTGGTGGACAGCTGTCTTTAATTTTTATGACATCCAATTTATCTACTTTTTCTTTTGTTGCATGTGTTCTTGGTGTCATATATCTAAGGAGTCATTGTCTAATTCAAGCTTGTCCAACCCATGGCCAGGACGGCTTTGAATGCAGCCCAATAAAAATTCATAAACTTTCTTAAAACATTATGATTTTTTCCAATTTTTTAAAGCTCATCAGCTATTGTTAGTTTTAGTGTATTTTATATGTGTCCCAAGACAACTCTTCTTCTTCCACTGTGGTCCAGGGAAGCCAAAAGATTGAACACCCCTGACAAAGTTGCAAAAATGTATCCTTATGTTTTCTCCTAAGAGTTATAGTTTCTCCTAAGAGTTATAGTTACACTTAGGTCCTTGATCCATTTTGAGTTAATTTTTATACATGATAGGAGGTAAGCTTCCAATTTCATTCTTTTGCTTGTAGAAATCCAATTGTCCAAGCATCATCTATTGAAGAAATTATTCTTTCTCCCACTGAGTGGTCTTGGCACCCTTGTCGAAATTCAACTGATCATAGATAAATGAGTTCATTTCTGGAGTCTAAATTCTATTCCATCAAATGGAATTGTATTCCACATTTCATATGTCCTTTATCCTTATGACAGTACCACACTGTTTTGATTACTGTAGCTTTGTAGTAAGTTCTGTAATTACTACCCACTATTTTTTACATCTCTAAAAGTTTAATAGAAACTTTCAAAAAGACTACCTCTTTTTAAAGAAAATGATGTAGAATAGGACAGGTACACAATGTCTGTATTCCTAAGTTCAAAAGCTCTGAAAATTGCAAGTTCTCGATTAATAATTTGGGGCCAAAATCTGACCTTATCAGAACTCATTTGGCAGTGAACTCAATCTGAACTCAGGTGAGTCCATTTGTAGATTTTATATTTTACACGTTGTGTTGCAGAAATATTTCTGTGTTTGATTGTAGGGTGCTGACCCATATCCCACTGGTAGTAGTATACAATATACAACATATGATCCAGATGACCTTTATAAAATCTGAAAAATCCTGATTTCCAAAACACATCTAATACCAAAGTTTTTGGAAAAGGAATGGTGGACCTGTATCACAATACTTGTTATCTCATGATGCTCAAAACTCCCATGATTTTTAAATCTTTGATTAGAAAAACACAAAGGGAAACAAATAATCATAACTTGCTTCATGCACTAACATTTATGGCACAACACGTGTTCGCCAATTTATTAAGCACTTTACCACTGTGTCTCTGCAGCCATTGTGGTCCGTTTGTGAATTCCTTCAGATATTTACACAATGTAAAATATTGCACTTGAATCAGTTCCTTTGTTTTAAACTTTGCCCTTCTGGATCATCCCTTAAGATGAAAATGCCCAGCTTTTCCATGAGGCAGTTGCACTGTGATTCTGGTACATCCAATCCTATATTCTTAGCCCATTACTCATTATTCATTTAATTCCATAGTTCCTCTATATGTTGATGAGGAGGTATTTTTATCCTCATTTTATCTGACAAAAAAAATTTTGTCTACATAGTTTTAACTGCCTCATAGAGCCATGTTGATCATATGGCAAGCAAGGTGTTCACCATGGCCATCAGTTCCAAGAGAAAATAGACAATCCTACACTCTCTACTCCAACCCTGATCAGCCCATGTGGTTTACTGGACAAAGGGAAGAAGTGGACAAATGAGAGGAATTGAAGCTGAAAAGAGCCAGGAGAAATAGAGGGATGAGCAGGAAACTAGGGGACAAAGGGAGTAAATTATTAACAAGGCGAGTCTAATGTTCACTGAGCTCTCAGATGTTGTCACATCCAGTTCTTATCCTGCACTTGCTGATGAATCAAGACATGTTCACAAAGCACTGAGCATCTGCTGCGGGCTCGGTTCTGAGCTAAGTCTTCTGGAGGTCAGGAAGAAGAAGAGCCACTTTCTTCAAGTCTAATCTGGGGAAAAGGATAGCACACTTGAAACAATAGTCATCAGGACAAGATAACACTCATTATAAATGGTCTAGGAATCCAGAGGGGAGATATGCCAGGCAGGTCTTAATTAGGGAAGTTTCCATAGAGGGAAGGAGTCTTTAACTGGGTCTTGAAAGGTAGAATTTGAAAAGCCAATAGCGGATTTGAAAAGCCAATAGAAGCTCCAAGACAGGAGTGAACACAGCACATTCATGAGCTTGTGAGATAATCCTTGAGTGGTGTGTGTGTGTGTGTGTGTGTGTGTGTGTGTGTGTGTGTGTAGAAAGAGAGAGAGGGAGAGAGAGAGTCATGGAAAACCAGACTTGGTGGGACAATATTATTATCCAGACTTGGTGGGACAATATTATTGACCCAGACCAGGGATGATATTATTCTGGGTGTCTTTTTGAAAACCAGACAAAGGTTTTGGCCATGAAATCAGAGGAAGTGGGGAGCCACTGGGGGTTTGAGGCAGGGAAGCAACATTGCAGAGCAGTGTTAGAATAAGATCCGGTCTGCAGTGATCGCAAGGTGTGTTGAAGTGAGAGATTCAGGCTGGCTGTTTAGGTTTGAATGAGGACCTGCTCAGGGGTGTGGCAGTAAAATACAGAAGGTCGGGGAGAGAACAGGGATATTTCAAGGCAGGTCAATGGGAATCAGAGACTGCGTCTGAGGAATCAGAGTGGAATTAATAAAAGAGGCTTTTGAGCTTTGCATGCAGTAGGGATTAGTTGTCCATAGACAGAGAGGCTGGGAGAGGAGTTGGTTCCAGAAAACCTTTAGTATTGATCATATTTTGCCTGAAATGATGGTGTTTAAGTGAAACTATCTGGAACTATGCTGTCCAATATGGTAGCCTCTAGCCACATGTAATAAATTAAATTGAAATTGAAATTAGATAAAATTAAAAATTCAGTTTTGCAGTCAGGCTAACTGCATTTCAAGTACTCCATAGCTCCATATGGCTAATGTCCACTGCATTCAACAGCCCAGGCAGAGAACATTTCCATCCTCTCAGAATGTTCTGTTGGACAGGGTTGACCTAGAGATCAGCAGAAATAATTGGCATTTGGTGAAGAAGAGCTCTTGAGATGAGAGTCATGGGAATAGAAAATAGCAAAGCTAAGGGAATGGGTCATCTCCTAAGGAGGGCTGAATGTTAGAATATGTTGGCATCAGTAGGCAGAAGAAAAAACAAGCAGAACTTGCACAACGTTTTGGAAAAGTGGGAGACTCACCACAGCATAAAATCCTGGCAACAAAAAGAAGAGAGAATTTTAGTGAAGAGAAAGTGGCGCCAATATCAAATGCAGCAGAGAAGTCAAGGGGAAAGAAAAGGAGAAAAAAAATAGCGTTTAGTAATCTGAGGTCATTTGTGACCTATCAAAGCTGATGCAGAGTTGGGAAGAGATGTCACTAAATAGGAATGCCACCAGCTTTCTCTTGTGCTAGGGTAGGAGTTTGGGATCTAGGAACAGTTTCAGCTGAATGTTAGGGACAGGAGGCTTGTCATGGAGGATGTGGAAATAAAAGTGGAGGTGAGGAACAGAGCCAGGACCTGAGAGGACAAAGCAAAGGGATGAAAGATTGTGCTGTCGCCATCAAGGGCTCCACCAAGGGTCCAATTTTGTTTTTGTTTTTTTCCAAGAAAAGAAAAATGAGTACAGAAGGAGGGGAATCTGCAGGCAGTGGTTGAGAGGATTTGAATGCAAAGGATATCTGGGAAAGCCCGATGCCTTCACAGTTAGAAGGGAGTAAGAAAGGAGGTGCAAGGGTGGGGTAGGCTTTGGTGGCTCAGACAGTGGGTGGTAAAGGAAACTGTAGGTGGCCTTGAGACTGTGGTCCTCTGAGATTGGAACGGTCACTTGAAGCCAACCTGTCAGCGTGATCTGCCTGCTACTTCCCACTTCCCTTCCACTGGATTCTTTTTGTGATTGCTTTCCATTTGGATTTCAGTTTATGCTTTATGTGCTTTATTTCATTGAATCCATGTGAACATTTGGGGGCAGTTGGGCATTTTGATTCTCATTTCCAACCTGAGGAAACTGTGGTAGAGGGTGGTTAAGTAACTGGCCCAGGATCATGCAGCAAGTAAGTGACAGAGTAGAAATTGAACCTGTTCCCTCTGGTGCCCTTAATGTCCTCTGTAGTCTTCACCCAGTGCACTCATGCAACCAGCCTATTCCTGCTATCATGACTGGCTTGCTACAACTGTGATCATGCCCACATAAGGCTGTGTTTGCTCTCTATAGCCATAATTCTCCTGTCATTACTGAGAGGTGGAAAAATGTTTGAGGGGAAATAACACAAATAACACTTCCTGGTGTCAACCCAGCCTCCATAGGGGACAAAAATGCTTAGCAACTCTTTCAAAGTATCCAAGACAAAACTTGACCTTTAAGCGGTTTCTCCATTTAGAGTTAAATTTGTCTTTAGCAAATATGGTTTGAATAAATCAAGACTTCCTGTTTTAGCTATTTAATGGGGAAGGTAATAATTCCAATCTGATTTTAAATTTTTCTTTTGCCAAATTCCACAGGGCAAGAAAAAAAAAAAAAGAACGCTAAAGTTCAGGATAAAAAAGAAACTTCCCAAGAAGTGCATTGGTACAAACCACTGCTGTGGTCATCATAAATGTCTTTTACTTTTACTTTCCAAACCAAAGTCTAGGGTTTCCATGGTAACTGCTTTGGCCCCAGCTGGTTTGCATCATGTTGTTTGTATAGAAGCCAGTGGAGCAGGGCTCGACTGTGTCACAAAGTTCAGGTGTCAATATGGATCTCCCGGGACAAATACCAGAAAGAAAAATATTGCATGCAACACCTTCTCCTACCCAACCGCTACTTTCCCAAACCCCAGCACTCTGCTACTGTGCTGACCAAATGCCCAGGGATTTCCAGTCTCCCATCCTCTCAAAGTCAAACCTCCAGCTGCATCCAGTTGTGACTTCTGTATATGTCTAACTGTGTCCATTGGAAGGGAATTAAAGCAGCAGGCTTTTAATTTACAAATGTTGCATCCATTCGAATGTTCTTGAGCAATAGTGTTTCATAAGGGTTACAACATAGATTCAACAACCCCAGCCAAGTGCAAACTTGAGAAATTGCAGATTGCCTTCCTGTGATTCACCCAGAATTCCAGATGGAAATTATTTCTCAAGGTCAGTGCAAAGCTCCGTACAAAGGTGTCTCCTATAGAGAACATGTGGTGTGAGGCTGGACCGAGGGTCAAGGCTTCCATTCCTGTTTGCTCCTTGACCTTGGCAGAGTTAGCCTGCCTCCGAGAGCTTCTCTCTAGCCATAGGGGAATCACATAGTTTGTGCCTTTCCTCCCCACACACCCTTCCCACCATCCCACCCCAAGACCTGCTCCTATTTTCTAGGCTTGGTGAGGGCACTAAGGAAGAAATATGCCTCCTTCCGCCAAATTACTTCCATTTCTTAAAATAAATCCCAGCTTTTCTCTTCTGGGAAGCCACCCCAGAGTGGACTAAGATCTCAAAATATCTTTTATTTACTTTATTCAAGAAACATTGAGAGTCTACCAGGCGCCAGACAGGAACAGACCCTGACTTCAAGGTGGAGACTAGCATGTAATTAAGCCCAATAAAGGACCAAAATCATTGTACAGGTACAGTCAGAGGAGGCTGGTTTTCCAGTTTGAAGTTTAGGAAGTCAAAAAACTTCTTCAGGCCGGGCATGGTGGCTCACGCCTGTAATCCCAGCACTTTGGGGGGCCGAGGCAGGTGGATCACAAGGTCAGGAGATCGAGACCATCCTGGCTAACACAGTGAAACCCCGTCTCTACTAAAGACACAAAAAATGAGCTGGGCGTTGTGGCAGGAGCCTGTAGTCCCAGCTACTTAGGAGGCTGAGGCAGGAGAATCACTTGAACCCGGGAGGCGGAGGTTGCAGTGAGCCAAGATTGCACCACTGCACTCCAGCCTGGGCGTAGATCGAGGCTCCATCTCAAAAAAAAAAAAAAAAAAAATTCTTCACAGAGAAGTGAAGCACCACTTAACTAGCACCCTTATTACTTTCTAATAATTAGCATGCATAGTCCATCATTATATCATATGCTTTAAATACACAAATTTGCTTGCAAGTCTATCTTGATATCTATTGAAATAAAAATCTCTAATGTAAAGACCTGGTTTTCATTATACTGGGTTTAATATCTGACTTGTCCAGGATAGAGCTAGTCACATGGTGAGGGTCAGGTGGCCTTAACTCTGGTTCCAGAGCTGAGGGGACACATTAGAGGACACACTGGTGGTTTACCTGAGGGGGTGGCCCTATGCAGACATTAAGGAGGGAGGCCTTTCCTCTGTGTCCAGGTAAGGAATGGATCCACATCTAAGGCCAAAGCTACAGAATAGGGACTTGCACACAGTACCTTTATCTTCTACCACTTTTTTGATAGTAATGGCATCTACATTTTTACCATTTCAAATTTTTGAATGACCCTGGTTCTCCCTTGCTTTGTGCCATTGGGAAGCTTCCTTCTCTCCAGGGCTCAGTTCTTCACCAGCTGAATGATGAAAGTGGCTTAGGTGATCATCTTGTAAGCTCTAAATTGTATTCCATAGGCCTAACCTGAATCAGTCTTATCAGCTTGGAATCCTCAGGGCCTAAGCACAGTAGTAAGTCCTGAATAAATATTTGTTCAATTAAATTGAAGAGACTCAAAGTCAAGTCCTGCATTATTGGAGAGCATAGAGATTCCAGTTATTGTCCTCTATTTCAGATGAGCAGCGGGGTGAAGGGTCTGGATTTTCTACTCATCACTAAGCCTCGGAAGGTGGTGTCAGTGACTGGGATCTGCTTGTAAGCTGCTCCAACTTGGCTTCTTCAGATATAGATTCATACAGAGCCTAGACCTGTGCCTTGCTTTGTTAAATATCTGAATGTAAAAAGGAAAAATACATCAATTGTCCAAAGTACTTACATGTGGTCTTATAAACTAAAGAAAGTAACCACATAGATTTCTGGTGCCTGAAAAAAAGAAAACATGTTGTAGAACATCTGTATCATTAAACGCCTGTCCTGGTTTGTACTCAACTACTTGGCTTAACTTTGCACAGTCCTGAGAAATACAAGTCTTGTGATTGGTATAGACAGCCAACTGGAGCAACTCAAGCCGGAAAAACAACACAATTGTCCTGGTTGTACATTGCACTGCATACAATCACTAAAAGACAATTCTAATTCTGTCTTCCGTATTACTTTGGTAGAGACTAAAGTAATGTATTGAGATAGGAATCAAAGGCAGTAAAAGTGGGAACATTCTGAGCATACATGGGAGGTACTGAGCTTCTACTCATTGAGCCTTCTCCAAACATGTCAGCTCACTCAGGTGTGTGTCAGAATAGCCCTTGCAAAATTCTCTCATAAAGCAAAGCTTTTTTCCTTGTGCTATAACACATCCCCACTGTGGGCACCGGTTAGGCCTCAGGCTATCTAGCCCAATGGCTACTGTACACTTTTTTTTTTTTTTTGAGACAGAGTCTCTCTCTGTCACCCAGGCTGGAGTGCAATGGTGCCATCTTGGCTCACTGCAACTTCCACCTCCCAGGCTCAAGCGATTCTTG
This sequence comes from Homo sapiens, assembly GCF_000001405.40. Classification (NCBI taxonomy): domain Eukaryota; kingdom Metazoa; phylum Chordata; class Mammalia; order Primates; family Hominidae; genus Homo; species Homo sapiens. Next base: position 26,837,557 of record NC_000008.11, on the reverse strand, counting down.
TGCCTCAGCCTCCCAAGTAGCTAGGATTATAGGCATGCACCACCATACCTGGCTAATTTTTGTGTTTTTAATAGAGATGGGGTTTCACTGTGTTGGCTGGGCTGGTCTCAAACTCCTGGCCTCAAGTGATCTGCCCTCCTCAGCCTCCCAAAGTGCTGGGATTACCGGTGTGAGTTGCCATGCCCAGCCTGGCTATTGTAGACTTTAATAGGACTCTTAATTTGACTTTAATGTGACTACTTCTCTTCCTATCTGTGCTTCTTCATATAGACTCTGCACCGCACTTGGAGATATTTTATCCCACATAATCAATGTCAGACAAAAATAAATTTAAAAAGCTTTTTTAAAAAGCCTGAAGAGGTCCAGGCACATGCCTGGTAGAGGAAGGTGAATTCTATATGCTTTTTTTTTTTCTATTGACAAGGACAAATATCTCTCAGCACTTATATACTAGCCATTGTATATCTACCTTTGTTTAGTAATCACAGTTCTATTAGGCAGAGTGAGGTGAGGGCCCATTACCCAGTTAGGAAGTGGCAAAGCTGAGATTCAAACCAAAACCCTTGGATTCTGGAACCAAGGGCTTTCCCCTGTACTATGCTGCCTTCCTGGGCTGGTCGTTTGCCCTTCTCTCAGCTCTTTGGAACTGCATTCACTGGCACACAGTCTGAAGGGACCTAAGCACTCCCCTTCACTTGCCACTCAGCCCAAATACCACTGCTGGCCCCTCCTGAAGAGCACAGAGAAGAGAATCTCCTTCTGAACAATGAGCAGAGATTTTGTTTAAAATTTCTCACATCTCTTTGTAGTTTATTTTTGTAAACTTGGCCTATAAGACGCTACTTATTTGCTCTTATATGTGTTACCTGCAGTTTTAAGAAAGAACTACCAGACCAACAATATCACTTTGGTTTTGGTTTATGTAGCCTAAATAACTCGCTACACGTCTCTTCTTAAAGTGTTTAATGAGAGTTTTTAGTGAAATTTGCTGTTTTGTGGAAATATTCACACTAGGTGATGGATTATTTGAAATTTTCTTCCTAATGCAGCGCTGCTGTGTAAGAACATCATCATTGTTCAGTTTGGTGGGTTTTCTCTTCACGGTGTAGATAACAGTAGAAGGGACTTTTGCAGGATTAGCATTTACAATGCTTTGTCAGTCAGGGTCATGGGATTAGACTCACTGAGTCAGTCATCAGTAGCTCCATTAACTGAGACATAAACAGATTCATTAAAGAGTGGAATGAGGTCCAAAGTTGATGTCTTTGCTGAGGGTCACACTGAGCTACCAGCTGCATCATGAGCATCTTTAGAAGTCAGCACCTTGGCAAAAGACATGAAGACCAAAATCAAGAACTACAAGACTGCCCCTTTTGACAGACGCTTCCCCAACCAGACTAGGAACTGCTGGCAGAACTTCCTGGACTTCCACCTCTGTGAGAAGGCAACAACCGCTGAAGGGTGTGATGTCTCTATGTGTGAATGATACCAGTGTGTGTACAAGTTCTTCTGCCCTGCTCCTGGGTTTCAGTCTAGGATGACAGCTGGGCTAAAGGCACATTTCCTGGAAAGATCTGAACTGGCTGCATCTTACCCCTCCTATGTCCTTCATCCTTCTCCCAGGCAAAGGGAAACCTGGGTACATGGTGATCCTCACCCTGGGGCCCTGAATCATGACTTAACTATGAATAAAAATGCTTTGGAAAAGCAGGGGGAAAGAAGTGGAAATAACAAAAAATAATGAATCAGGGAGGGCATTCCAGGGTGCATTCCAGCTTTGTCAGTAACCCCTTTGACCATGTCACTGAATATCTCTATGAGGAATTGCATTTCCTACCTGACATAGTTTGAGTATATCCCCACCCAAATCTCACCTTGAATTGTAGTTCCCATAATTCCCATGTGTCGTGGGAGGGACAAGTGGAAGGTAATTGAATCGTGGGGGCAGTTTCCCCCATGCTATTCTCGTGATAGTAAGTTCTCACAAGATCTGATGGTTTTATAAGGGGCTTCTCCCTTCGCTTGGCCCTCATTCTTCTCTCTCCTGCTGCGCTGTGAAGAAGGATGTGTTTGCTTCCCCTTTCAGCATAACTGTAAGTTTCCTGAGGCCTCCCCAGCTCTACGGAACTATGAGTCAATTAAACCTCTTTCCTTTATAAATTACCCAGTCTTGGGTATGTCCTTCTAGCAGTTTGAGAACAGACTAATACACTATGTGAGAAATTGGGTTTGTAAAAACTGCCCCAACTACCTCAAAATAGTGTTGTTGGAGAGGAAAAGAATTTGCACACTACAAAAAGTTAAGTGTTATAAAAATGTAAGATTGTCTTGTTACTTAGATCACAAGGCATAAAGAATTGCTAGCTAAAGTAGTAGCCAGTTCCCTTGTGATGAGTTATATAATGGTGCAGTCAGTTGATAAGGGTCAGGCCACCAAAGAAAATAAGTGTTTAAGGACATATACGGCAACATGACAGAGTAACTTGATTTCTATGAAATGTAGTAATAAAAATAGGGGCTTGTATTTGCTTGACATTGGCTTTCTTTTTAATTTCATTGTTTATGATTTATTTTTCATACACTTAAAAAACATCATGGTGCACAATGGATTTGAGAAAAACTGGCCCTTTACACGATGATTTGAGAGCTTGGTATATGTGGCATCAAAAATCCCAGGAAACAAGTGAAGAATTAAAATAGAAGTCTGTATGTTTTACCTATCCAGCAAAAGGTGGAAGTGGAAAAAGTCCAGAGTTCCAACTGGATGGGTCAGTTCTCTGCCAGATGTTGGTGTCCTGTAGACCCAGCCAGAGGACATGCTTTGATACTCTGCCCTTGGAGATGCACTCAGTATTGTCAGAGGAATACAGGTCCAAAGTGAAGAACTATCTGACTGCAGGGGCTGATGGCTCTTCTGGGCTGGTGGGATCTACGTGGAGATTGCTGTGCTCTACAAGGCTAAATAACACTCATGAGAATCTATGGTCAACTGAGGAAAGAGAGAATGTTAATTTCCATGTCTGGAAACATCAGAAATGGCTGAATAATCAGCAGATGTCCTGATTTGTGTTTTGGTCTTCCTATCTGTAGATGAATGCAACTTAAAAACACATCCTAATATCAAATAGGAAAAGCTCCCCCTTTCCACCCATCTCATTTTAGTTTTTCACCTATAATTATTCTTCCAGGTAAAATTTAGAATTATTTTGTCTAGTTCTAAGTAAACTCTTTGTTGAAATGCTGTTAATTTATAAATCAGAATGGATAAAACTGATATCTTCACAACCTAAAGACTTCGATCCCAGAATGTATTACTTCTTTCAAGTCAGTTCATCTTTGTAGCTTTCTCTATTGTTTATTGTATACATTGCTTATTAAATGTATCCCTTGGTATTTTATAGTTTTGTTGCTACTGTGAGTAGAATATTTACATTCTAATTACAATTAATGCTGGCATATAAGAAAGCTATAGATTTTAATATATTTAACCTTTACCCAGCTACCTTCCTGCTTTCTTATTACATACTACTAATAACTTTTTCCAGCTAATAACTTTTGAGTTATCCAGACATACAAAAATTATCAATGTTTACTAACTCTGCTCCTCCTCCTTCTCAATACATATAACTCACCTTTTCCTTGGCTCATTGCATTAACTATTATTTCCAGAACAATGCTAAATACATGAAGATATCCTATTGAAATATAAAAGGCTTTCTTTTCATGTCAACAGAAATAAGTTATTTTGAAGCCATATGCCAGCTTCCTCTTCCTCTCCATAGTTTCTTAAACACTTGCTGATAGAAACAAAATCTCATTCAGAGAAGTATGAAAGACAGTCTTGAGGAAAATATGCAAGCCGAATGAATTGTCTCTGCTTTGCCTTAGCAATATGGTGCTAGGAGAAGGTGGGATTTAGGGACTGATTGTATGTCTACTTATCAGGTTCCTACATGTTTTACAGCAGCTTAATTGCTCTCAAGAGGAGTGACTGAGTCATTGCTGAGCTTCTTAGTTTGTGCTGGGTCAGAGCAGTTGCCTGAATTTTCCAGCACCCTATGCAAAGTTCTGCCATGGAGATAGCTGGGTGTCCTTCTGAGGTGTTTACTTTGAATTTTATTTTTGGTTCCAGTTTGAACCCATATTCAAGGTACCCAACCCTGACAAGCAAAAGGGAGACAAAATTTATCTCTTGGTTCTATTCCCAACCCATTCAAAAATAGAAGGCAGTCAGAGTTCTCAGGAGCTAAGACGATGGGGGGCTGGGTTGCATGGCTTCCATGTGGCGAGGTCAAGGGAAATCATCCGGCCAGTGTCACTGCTGTAACTGCCCAGGCTGAGAGTCTTGTCTGTTTCCCACTGGAATGGGGTCCAGTGAGGCTTCAGACTCACCAGTGTTAGAAATAAATTTTATACTCTGAGAATCAGAGACCCTCTTTTCTTCTGCCTACTCTCATCCTTTATCGATTTCCACACACACGTATATCTATAACTTTACTAATATACATACATGTGATCGTGCACCCGTGCAATGGGCGCTGCAGTGTGCCTTCTGTGTCCCTTCCCTATGGTGCTGGGAGGGCCAATGCCTGGCAGCTCCCAACTGTGTCTCACTCCTGGTGGCTGCCCACTGCAAATGAGAGTCTCCTTCTTCCTGCAGGCAGCCAACATCCAATGACTGGGCAGCTGTCCAGAGCAATGCTGCCTTCCCCGGGATGGGCTGAGGCTTTTGTCCTGACTGCATGGCAGCCCAGCTTCTCCTTCCACCCCATCCTGCTTGCCTCCCTCCCCCACAGGTGTGACAAGGAGGGCACATCCTCCTGCAGGCAAACCTCCGTCTCAGAGTCTACTTCCCAGAGCCTGTTTCTCAGTCTACTTCCCTGCCCTAGACAATCTGCTTGAACTGTTAAAGTGTCATCATTTTTCTCATTTTCTTTTCTTTTTTGTTTGTTGGGAGCGACTAACCCCTCTTCATCTCTTGTGCCATACACCATCTTCAGCTTCCTTAATTTCTCCCAAGAAAACACATGTCCACAACCTGATTTGTGTCTGCCAGTGTTTTCATTAAGTTTTCTCTGAACGGTGTCTGTAGTCTATTGTATTCCTCCTTTCCTCTATCAAGGATACTTATCTAGTTTCCAGACTTTTGCCTCCGCAAAGAGTGCACATTGTTTACAGAGGTCCCTTTATACCTAGATGCTTTTACTTCTATGGGAGAGATTCCTAAGAGGGGGATTTCTGGTTTAAAGGGAATGCGTGCTTGCAATTTTAACGATGTTGCCAGGTCACTTTCTCAGGCGTCTGGGACAGGGTTTCACCAGCAAGGCAGGAGAGCAGCCTGCTGCTTGTTCTCACCATGAGCGTCCCACCTGGAGATCCCACCTGAAGATCAAAGGGCTAATCCACTCCAAAGACTTCGTTCCCAACTTCAACATTTCTCGCTGCAAACCGAATCTCCTCCCTTCCCTTGTGAAAGGAAGGGGAGATTGGGAGGGGGAAGAGAAGGCTGGTGGGCCAGAGGAGCGTCCCTGGATTCTCAGATGGCTCCTTCCTCTAAATGGATGAGAAATGTGGGGTGAGACCAGCAGGCCTCTGTCCCCACTCCAGCCTACAAACCACACGGCCAGGCCCAGGTGTCTCTTAGGGAGAGGTGGGAGCCAGCCTGGAGCACAGGACTCCACAGGGCAGGGAGCCCACAGCGCAGGGGCGGTGGCTGCTGACAGCCCCAGAGACCATGACAAGGAGCACTAGACAGCAAAGAAGATGCAAGGATGGAAAGGAAGCTGCATGCAGCGTGTTCCCCCCAAGGCCCAAAAGGGTCCTTCATTCCCTGCGAGTGAAACTATGTTCTTCTTGTCCTGGAAAGAAAACAAGAAGACAATTGGCATGTGGCTGATCTACCCAGGCTGGAAAGAAGAAAGATTGAAGTGACTATTCTCAAATTTAGGAAAATCTATTTAGGATATTTGGACACAGATGTACCTCCTCCAGTGTCTAGGACATTGGGTGTGACCTGACACTTCCGTGACCTCTACACCCTTTCCAAACTGGCCATGATCAGTGGTGGGGTGTGGGCAGGGGGTTGGTACTGGGCAATCCCAGCAGAGCTCAGTATCAGTCTGCCCACTTGAGCACTGGCCATGGCATAGCAGGCTCTCTCTCTTTCTCTCTCTCCTTCTCTCTCTCTCTCTGCCTCGTCATCATTGGCATCTCTTCTCCCCTTACTTGTGTGTGAAATTAAGCTGACCCTATATGCTGTTTTTGTGACACAGAATCATCCATAATAAGCATTTCATAACTCAATCTGTTTCTGCCAATTGTTTTAAATCTCTCTTATTAGCTATGTTAGGCATGCTATTATCTTAATCTTCTTAACATCCATATGAGAGTTTGACAAGTCAGCAGGGGATCTTGCCTTTGCTGCCAAGGATATGTGATTAGGTTACAGCTCCAGAGACTGTGATGGCAGAGCCCCAACCAGGCCAATCTCCTAAGTATATTTCTTTAACTATAAAAGACCTCAGTCCCCCAAAGTCCAGGAAGTAACAGTGCATCCATGAGAACAAAGACACTTCTACAGACCAGTATCTGGGGCTTTCATCCAGTCATTTAACTTTGTGTATATAAGATAAAAAGAAAAAAGGTGAGAAAGACTCCCTCCCGCCCGCAATGACCCTAACCTCATCTGGGAGGCTACTGCAACAACCCAGCTTTGTTCTGGCAGGCTACAGAAACAATTTTAATATTCCAAAAGAGTTAACACAAGCCCAGAGGGAGTAGTTGACACTCTGGTAGAACTTGAATCATGCTTTCCCCTAGGATCATCTCAGGGTAAGAAAATAATTTGAGTTTTGGCAGCTGTGATGACTGTGGGTAGAACAGCTTATTTCTTGGTTAATTCCTTAAATAAACCTTCATCTTTGCAAATTCTTGTTACAGCCACAACTGATGAGAAGGTTCAACTATGCTGTCTCTCTAGCCAAACCGTCTTTGGTTTAACCCTCTGTTAACTCTTCCCCTTTCTTTGTTAGGAGAATATTGTCTGGCTTCAGGGTGTCATCTTTTCATGGCCATTTATTTCCCTGTGGTCCAGTCATGTGTTATCCTAGAACGAACAAGGGAGTCTTGATTAGTACATTTGGGATTCTGGAGATGGCAGAAGAAAACAAGGCTCCAAGCCAGCTTTCAGACTGCAAGATCTTAGGGAGCATCATAATACCACAGCCAAGTTCCTCCCCTTTCTTGGAAATAAGGGTTTCAAGAGCTGCCTTCAAGCTTTGAGGGCAGGTGCAGAAGAAATAAACCATGAAGCATCTCTTCCAATACCAGTCCTGTGTGTCTACCCATCCTTCGGCTTTCTCTGCAGGGGACCTGCCTGGAAGCAATCTGAGAAGCAGGGTCAGCTCTGGGTGGGAGGTGATACATTAACAGTTTTGGGCTAGGCTGGGTTATTGACAGTTCTGACACAGATCTCAGAATGGAGTCCATTAGAGGCCCAGGACAGTGCTCACTCTAATATACACTTAGTGCTGTCTTCAAACATCCGACATTCCTTCTCCCTGAAATACCACAATCCTTCCCCACCCACCCCCACCCCCCAGACACACACCCTTGACATTTAGGAGTGTGGAGCCACTATTTCCCAAATGTGTTGACCTCTACTTGGCTTGTTTGTACCTTAGCTAAGGATTTTCATGTTCTTCTGCAAAAACTTACCAGGGGCAGCGTGGGGCTGTCTATAAGTGATGTGTTATGGAA